>NC_000005.10:80109807-80412837 GCF_000001405.40 Homo sapiens
GAGGGCTCTGAGCTTTCCCAGTAGGCTGGCAACCTCCCAGGCTCCCTCCCCCAGCCCCTATAAAACCATCTGGAAAATGAAAATAATACCTTCTGCTTCCTACCAAGCTCCAGGGACCCTGTGAGGAACAGGGAGATACTATCCCCATACCCCACACATTCCTGGAGGAGGTTGCCCTGGAATAAGCTATTGCCCCGCCTCTTTCACCCCAAGTGGCAGAAACGAGGGCCACTCAGTGCTCTGTCCAGCTGCTCTTGCTTCCCCTCAGGAGCCACTTCTGCTTCCATCCCACCTGATTGGAGTGGGCTTCCCACAGGCCCCCGCTCCGCAGCTCCTCAGTGCTCTCCTCCTCCTCCCTGCTCCCCCGAGCCCAGCCCAGTCTGAGGTCCATCCCCCTGTGAGGGGAGCTGAGCAGTGCTGCAAACTCAGTGCTCCTGAGTACCCTGGGGATTTGCTGAACTGCACATTCTCATTCTGTAAACCGGAGCTGAGCCTCTGCACGTCTAACCTGCTCCCTGGCAATGCTGCTGTTACTGAGCAGAGTGGAAAAGTGCTAGACAATACATTGGGGGGAAATTTCAGTCTCAAATGCATTGGAGCAGAAACCAGAACTCCCTGTCAAGCTGCTCTGTGGGTTTTTGAAGCGAAGTGTGTTGCTCTTCACTGGCTGCTCTGAGCTGCTCAGAGCGGGGGACAGAAGCTGGGTCTACCCGAGCATCTGTCCAGCCACATCCCCTCACTCTTCAGGGTGGCACTGGGCACACAGCCCCAGAGTCAAGGTGGCATTTAGCTGGGCCTTCAGTCCGGCACCAGCAAGTGCTCTTTAACTTGGGGTCCTTGGAGTCCATAGGTGGGCACAGCTCAATTTGGGGATGTACCTGAGAAAAATGCTTCCCAGATGGGCTTCTCTGCCCCATCCCTCTCTCCACCGGGCCTGGCCAGACCCCAGGGTGAATTGTTCTAATTCCTTGCACTTTTTCCTGGCAGGGTCTCCAGGCTCATGAAATCTGCCTCTTGCCAAAGGCAGAGGATCCACTGGCAGCAGGGAGCACTGGCTGCAGTCAGGCAGGTGCAATCATTTTTTAATGACATCTTTTCCCCCTTATCAAAATTGTGCAATTCACTTTAGAATATTTAGAAAATATTGGAAAATGTAAAGAAGGAAGTAATCCTGCAATCCTACAACTCAGAAATGATGTTTCAGCACTTTGGAAAATATCCTTCCAATCTTTCACATGCACAGGTGTGGTCTGTATACGGCACTGGAGATCCCCAGCACCAAAAAGTTAACACTGTAGGAAAACTATTTATCCATGTCAGTTATTCTTTGAAAGTATGATGTAGGGGAAAAAAAAGGGGGGATCAGACTGTTACTGTGTTGTAACCGAGCGAGTTATACAGAAACGCCACACTCTGAGACGAATTGAGGAGTCCTTTATTAGCCAGCGACCGAGAGACGGCTAGTGCTCAAAATTCTCTCGGCCCTGAAGAAGGGGCTAGATTTTGTTTTATACTTTGGTTTAGAGAGGGGAGGGGGAGCCTAGCTGTAGCAGTCTTACAGAAGTAAAACAGGCAAAAGAAGTTAAAAAGACAAATGGTTACAGGAAAGCAAACAGTTCCAGGTGCAGGGGCTTTAAATCCATCACAAGGTGATAGACGCTGGGCTTTGGGTGCTATCAACCAGACAAAAACACAGGGGCTTAGGGTAATATCAACTGGACAAATTCCTGGGAACTGCGGACATAGCTTGCCACAGCATGTTATCAGTTAATTGCATTCTTTGATGTGCTGGGAGTCAGCTTGCACAAGTTAATTCCTTGAGGAAGGGGGTGGGTAAGGAGCCCTTGATGTCTTGCAAATGAAGGAGCCAAATGGAGTCCGTTCAGGTTTCTCAGCTAAGAGAGAGTCAATCAGGTTAATACAAGTTAGGGTATCACAAGTGTGTCTATTTAGAAAAGGAAGACTTAAGAAACTCCATTTTGATCTGTACCCTGAACAATGGTTTTGCCTTGAGATGCTGTTAATCTGTAACTTTTCTCCAGCCTTGTGCTCACAGAAACATGTGTTGTATGGAATTAAGGTTTAAGGGATCTAGGGCTGTGCAGGATGTGCCTTGTTAACAATATGTTTACAGGCAGTATGCTTGGTAAAAGTCATCGCCATTCTCCATTCTCGATTAACCAGGGGCACGATGCACTGCGGAAAGCCGCAGGGACCTCTGCCCAGGAAAACCGGGTATTGTCCAAAGTTCCTCCCCACTGAGACAGCCTGAGATATGTCCTCATGGGATGGGAAAGACCTGACCGTCCCCCAGCCCGACACCCGTGAAGGGTCTGTGCTGAGGAGAATTAGTAAAAGAGGAAGGCCTCTGTCTCATACCGAACGGAATGTCTCGGTATAAAACCCGATTGTAGAAAACCACACTGGCAGGAGGCGAGATATGCTGGCGGCAATTATTCTTTATTCTGTTATTCTTTACTACACTGAGATGTTTGGGTGGAGAGAAGCATAAATCTGGCCTACGTGCACATCCAGGCATAGTACCTTCCCTTGAACTTATTTGTGACACACATTCCTTTGCTCACGTTTTCTTGCTGACCTTCTCCCCACTATCACCCTGTTCTCCTGCCGCTTCCTCTTGCTGAGATAGTGAAAATAGTAATCAATAAATACTGAGGGAACTCAGAGACCGGTGCTGGTGCAGGTCCTCCGTATGCTGAGCGCCAGTCTGCTGGGCCCACTGTTCTTTCTCTATACTTTGTCTCTGTGTCTTACTTCTTTTCTCAGTCTCTCGTCCCACCTGACGAGAAATACCCACAGGTGTGGAGGGGCAAACCACCCCTTCATGTGATGTTTAGGCCGGGTGCAATAGCCCGCGCCTGTAATCCCAGCACTTTGGGAGGCCGAGGTAGGAGGTTCACTTGAACCCAGGAGTTCAAGACCAGCCTGGGCAACATAATGAGACCTCATTTCTAAAAAATAAATAAATAAATAAAAATTGTTTTAATTAGCTGGGCATGGTGGTGCACACCTGTAGTCACAGGTGCTCGAGAGGCTGAGGTGGGAGAATCAGTTCAGCCCAGGAGTTCAAGGCTGCAGTGAGCTGTGATCGCACCACTGCACTCCAGCCTGGACAATAAAGTGAGACCGTGTCTCAAAAATAGTATGATTTTTTTAATAGCTGCATAATAGTCTCCCCTATGGATATTTTTATTGTTTACTTAATGCTTGCCCTATTTGGGGCCATTGAAGTTGTTTAATTCTTTTTCCAATATAAATAATTTTATTCTGGCCATGTTTTTATTGAAATCTCTAACCCTATAATCTCTTTTTTTCCTTAGAATAGGTTTCCAGGATTGGGATATTGGAACAAAAGGTTAAATATTCTTAAAGTTCCTGATAGATGTTGTTGAATTGTTTCCAGAAAGCTTCAACAAATTCATCCCCTCTAGCCATAGTGCCTGTTTCAAGAAATGATCAGCATTGTCCATTATCTTCTTTTATTTTTTCCCAATTTGGTAGGTAAAACTAGTATCATTTCTAGTCTGCATTCTGCTTGACTCTCGTGTGGCTGAACATTTTTTTCTGAGTGGCATAGCCATTCATGTTTCTTCTGTGACGGGTCTGGACACATCCTCAGTGCTCTCATTTTCAGGAGAGCAAGGATGGGGAACGAGGGGATATGCATTGTATTAGTTTGTTTTCATGCTGCTGATAAAGACATACCAGAGACTGGGAAGAAAAAGAGGTTTAATTGGACTTACAGTTCCACATGGCTGGGGAGGCCTCAGAATCATGGCAGGAGGTGAAAGGCACTTCTTACATGGCAGCAGCAAGAGAAAAAGAGGGAGAAGCAAAAGCAGAAAACCCTGATAAACCCATCAGCTCTCATGAGACTTATTCACTATCACAAGAATAGCACGAGAAAGACCGGCCCCCATGATTCAATTACCTCACCCTGGCCCCCTCCCACAACATGTGGGAATTCTGGGAGATACAATTCAAGTTGAGATTTGGGTGGGGACACAGCCAAACTATATCATGCATCACCACCTGATGGCACCCACCCATAACCTCTGCCATGCTGTGTGCCCCCCCACCCATGCCTGTGGGCGAGGCTCCCCAGGCCTGGTGCCTTTGCTGCCAGACTCTGGGTACTTCCATTCACACTCCCATCTCTGGGTGTCCTCAAGATAACCCGATGTTCCCAGGATCCTTCCCTCAATTAACAATGACCTGCCCTAGCCCCATTTCTTCAGCACCGTCTCCATGCTAAGTTACAAGGAGTGGGCCCAAACAAACAACTGAAAGCTAAACGTCTTCACCTAACCAAAATGTTGGCCGTCTGTATTAGTCTGTTTTCATACTGCTATAAAGACTACCTGAGACTGGGTAATTTATAAAGAAAGGAGGTTTAATTGACTCACAGTTCTGCATGGCTGGGGAGGCCTCAGGAAACTTACAATCATGGCAGAAGGTGAAGGGGAAGCAAGGCACATCTTACAAGGCAGCAGAAGAGAAAGAGCATGTAGAAGAAACTGCCACTCTTAAATCATCAGATCACGGCTGGGTGCAGTGGCTCACACCTATAATCCCAGCACTTTGGGAGGTTGAGGCAGGCAGATCACTTGAGGTCAGGAGTTCGAGACCAGCCTGGCCAACATGGTAAAACCCCATCACCACTAAAAATACAAAAATTAGCTCACCATGGTGGCACATGCCTGTAACCCCAGCTACTTGGGAGGCTGAGGCAAGAGAATCGCTTGACATCTGGGAGGTGGAGGTTGCAGTGAGCCAAGATCATGCCACTGTACTCCAGCCTGGGCAACAGAGTGGGACTCCATCTCAAAAAAAAAAAAAAAAAAGGTCAGATCTTGTGAGAACTCCCTCACCATCACAAGAACAGCATTGGGGAAACCGCCTTCATGATCCAATCACTCCCACCAGGTCCCTCCCACAACATGGGGGGATTACAATTTGAGATGAGATTTGGGTGGGGACACAGGGCCAAACCATATCACCACCCACAAAAGCTTTTTGACAAATAACTCTGACTAGGAATTGTAAGAAATGTTTTTAAATGAGTAAGGTGGAAGCAAACATTATTCCCATTTTATAGACAAGAAATGTGTGTCTCTGGATCTGTGACACTCCATAAACCAGGGAAAAGGCAGAGACAATGACTGATTTTCTGCCGCCCAATCCAGTTGCCCAACCCTCCTGGCTCAATGCCAGGACTTCCCTGTCTTTGATTAGGGAAAGTGGAGCCACCCACTCCCTACATGCAACTGTTACACACCCAGTGTCCCAGAAATGACATTCAACTTCACTATAGCGACTGCTTTTACTGACATCATTTTTAGCAGACGTTTTACTATAAAAATGGGTGGGGAGAAATAAAGCAGATAAACTGCTGCCAAGGACCATCACTGCTAGGGTGAAACTGGGGGCACACGGTATAGCTCAAATGCACCCCAGGTCCAGCCCAAGCCTTGCTCAAAACCCACCCAGGAACCAGACCTATCATCCAAGGTTGTCTCTCCAATGACCTTAGCAGGTTCAGAATAACCCTCTAATATTCCTCATTTACTGTAGTTGCTTATTATGAACCCACCAACTATTAATTCAATCTTTTTTGAATTCTCAGTTTTCAGTATATTTCTCTTCAGGCTGTGGTACATATCACAACATATAGTAATTATTTGCTATTTTCTGCTTCCCTGTCTAGACTTTGAGTAAGTTGAGGGTAGAATTTGTTCTATTTCATAATCTTAGAATTTGACAAATAGCAGGTATTCTTAACCATAATTTTGTTGAAGGAAGGAATCAATGAATAAAAATTTCCTGAGTTTACTGTTTACTGCAAAAAGACTGTATGCTGTTTTACGTTTTCTTCTTTTAAGGTCTAACATCAATATGTTGATGTTTGGTAAATATAATTTCAATCCCAGTTGCATCTCTGAGTCCAGGCAAGAGTACTACAAAAAGTATAAATAGAGGTCAAGTGCAGTTGCCCTCTGCAAGCAAGACCACTTAGAACTCTTCAATGGCTCTTTGACAAACCTTCAGTGGGATTTCTGTCAAAGCTGACAATGGATAAAATTATAGAAAGGAGGGAAAGCCTTGATAAGGAGTCCTTAATGAGTTCGTCACTAAGTTAATTCAACATTGAAAGGGATAGAAGATGTTAATTCCACACACACGTGAAAGAAATCAACAATCAGGCCTCATCTGAGAGAACCATGATGGGGAAGGCTGGGGCTGATGGATGAGGGGTGTGAGGCAGGGCAGAAAGCCTCCACGTTGCTGCAGCAATGCAAAAATAGGCACCTTGCCGTAGGCCTCTCTGGCACTCCATCTTGTCTCTCTTCCCTGGAGAAAAGGCAAGCTGTATTCAATCATCTTTTCAATGCTAAAACCAGGCTTTCCTGTCGGAGTTGGGGCCAGAGATGTTTCCATCCCCTCTTGCAAAAAGGGTATTCTTAAGAGGCCTTAAGTCTTCAGCATTGATAGTTTCTGGGAACAAAATAGAAATCAAAATCTCACCTTGTGTTCCCTTCCTCTTCCTGGACAGAGAATGGGACAGGCCCAGGCCATCCAGATCACTATGAACCTTATCAGAAACTTCAGTCCATTTTCTCCGTTCCCTTCCCTGGGACTTGCATGCTATAATCTCCATACCCCTCCTTCCCCACTCTCCAGGCTTAGTGGGTGAGGCAGAGAGTGAGAGCCAGGCTTACCTGCCTTTTCTCCTCAGTGGGAAGAAGCTCAGTAACTGAGCTCAGACGCTAGTGGCATACCTACCAAGAGGATGACATAAATGCCTCCTGTGGCCCTGAGATAGGCAGAGCTCTGCTGGCAGCCCAACCATATGTTCACTCGTTCATTAACAAACATCCACAGAGGCAGGCTGCTCTGGCCTGGAGGGGGATGTCCTACACTAGACGACTCAGGTTCATAGAGCCAGGCCTCATTCCACCCCCACTGGCTCAAGTGACTTTCTGGTGACCAGAAACTGGAGAGCTCTTTTTTTTTTTTTTAGACGGGGTCTTGCTCTCTCGCCCAGGCTGGAGTATACTGACACAATCTCGGCTCACTGCAACCTCTGACTCCCAGGTTCAACTGATTCTCCTGCCTCAGCCTCCCAAGTAGCTGGGATTACAGGCGAGTGCCACCAGGCCCATCTAATTTTTTGTGTTTTTTAGTAGAGACGGGGTTTCGCCATGTTGGCCAGGCTGGTCTCAAACTCCCGATCTCAGGCGATCCGCCCGCCTCAGCCTCCCAAAGTGCTGGGATTACAGGTGTGAGCCACCATGCCTGGCCCAGAGCTCTTAACTACAATGACTATATGCAGAAGAACAAACTAACACGGAAGATGGCTAGGAACTGCGTAAGCCAAGACTCTGCAGTAAGACACACTTGAGTTCTGGTCCTCACTCTGCCGTTTACTCACAGTCCAACTGCAGATGGGACCTCACCTCTCTGAGCCTCAGTTTCCTCATTTGTAAAATAGGCAAATATTGGCACCTACCTCATAGAATTAGTGCGAGGCTTAACTGAGGTGATCTAGGCAAAGCACTTAGCTTGGTACCTAGCACATATTAAGTGCTCAATAATAGGTGATGGTGATGATGTAAGTTGGACACAAGAGAAAAGGACACATACTAACTGATAATCACACAGAGCCACTGACTGGATTTGGTATCTTTCTCTGACATTCAGCTTTTCTTACCATCTGTCAGCATGCCACACTCCTTCAGCCTTGAATTATATGCTGCCTTGTGGTTTTGCTCTTATAAAACAAATAGAATGTACTAGTCTTCCTGTGGCTACTGAAAAAAAAAAAAAAAAAGACCACAAACCAGTGATTTACAACACAGAAAGTTACTCTCTCACAGTTCTGAAGACCAGAAGTCTGAAAGTACTATGTTGTCAGGGCTGTGCTCCCTCCAAAGGATCTAGGGGGTGATCTATTACTTACTTCTTCCAGCTTTGGGTGGCTGTCAGCATGCCTTGGCTTGTAGCTGCACCACTCCAATTTCTACCTAGTCTTCTTATCATCTCATCTGTGTCTGTTTTCTCCTCAGTGTGTCTCTTATAAAAACACTTGTCATGCCAGACATGGTGGCTCATGCCTGTAATCCCAGCATGTTGGGAGGCCGAGGTGGGCAGATCACTTGAGGTCAGGGGTTTGAGACCAGCCTGGTCAACATGGTGAAACCCCATCTCTACTAAAAATACAAAAATTAGCCAGGCGTGGTGGCGGGCTCCTGTAATTGCAGCTACTCAGGAGGTGGAGGCAAGAGAATTGCTTGAAACTGGGAGGCGGAGGTTGCAATGAACTGAGATCACACCATTGCACTCCAGCCTGGGTGACAGAGCAAGACTCCACCTCAAAAAAAAAATAATAATAATAACTTGGCTAATCCAGGGTGATCTCCTCAAATCAAGATCCCTAATTTCATTACGTCTGCAAAGTTAACATTTACAGTTCTGGAAATTAGGATGTAGACGTCTTTTTGGGAACCATCTATCTTAGACTGTTCAGGCAACTATAACAAAATACCAGATGCTGGGTAGCTTACAAACAACAAACATTTATTTCTCACAGTTCTGGAGGCTTGGAAGTCCAAGATCAAGGCACTGGAAGCTGTAGTGTCTGGTGAGGTCTTTTAACTATGTCCTCATTGCGGAAGGGGCCAGGGATCTCTCTTCCTTTTATAAGGCTTCTAGTCTCTTTTTTTTCTTTCTTTCTTTTGAGACAGGGTCTCACTCTGTCCCCCAGGATGGAGTACAGTGGCACAATTTTGGCTAGCTGAAACCTCTGCCTCCCAGGCTCAAGTGATCCTCCCACCTCAGCCTCCTGAGTAGCTGGGACTACAGGCGCATGCCACCATGTCCAGCTAATTTTTTTTTTTTTTTTTTTTTGTAGAGATGGGGTTTTGCCATGTTGACAAGGCTGCCAGGCTGGTCTCGCACTCCTGGCCTCAAGCAATCCACCCACCTCGGCCTCCCAAAGTGTTGGCATTATAGGTATGAGCCACTGCACCCAGCTTCATTCATGAAGGTTCTATCTTCATGAACTAATCATCTCCCAAATACCATCACCCTGGGGGCTGGGATTTCAGCATATAAATTTTGGGGAGATATAAATATTCAGTCCATTACACCAACATTTGGTCCACTACTTGGAGTACCTAAGAACATGGACTTTAGAAGTAGACTGACCTGGATTCCAATACCAGCCCCACCATCACTCACTAGTTGGATGACCTTGATTCAGTTATTTAATATCTTTGAACCTCAGCTTCTGGAAAAGGGCCAATAATGCCAATAATGCTATGTCCCGGGGTTGTTTGAAAGAATTAAATAAGCTAATATGTTAAAAGTACTGGATAATTGGTAGCTCTCATTACTAGTGGTAGGTTTACCCCACTAGTCTACAAGCTCTTAAGAGCTGGAGTTATCTCTGCTTCCTTCACAAGTCTAGCACAAGTCTGCAAACAGTCTATCCTTAGTGAAGGTGGGGTGACAAACTGGCTGAACCAGTGGCCTAGACAGCCAATATCACCAATTATGTAAGATTCCACAGGGATCTAAAGGAGCGAATTAGAGGCACCCAATAGTGACCCCAATCTAAGCAGTGCAGGGATCAGCTGGGTGGGTTTGTCAGCAGAGAACAGGGCCACCAGGGCAGGCACATAGAACTAACTGCACTCACTGCACTGTTGTTAACTATTCTTTGAATCCCTCCACATGACGCCATTCCTACAGATGGAAGGTCAGCTACACTGGAGAAGTTCCAGAAATTCATAAATAGATTATGATCCCAAATCCCAGAGAGGAGGACTTTTCCAGATGGCAACTGGGAATTTACCTTAATGATTTCCCCATCCCAGAAGGGAAAGCTGTTCTGGTATATTACAAACATTACAGCACATCTGAATAACCCAGAGAGCTTGTTTAAATGCACATTTTTGGGCCTCTACCAGGCTGGTTAAACAAAGCTTCAACAGAGTGGGGATAGGAACCAACCATTTTAAATAACCCCCTTTGGTAATTCTGGTTCAACCATAGCAATCAAATTATAGTCCAACCTAGGTAGGGGCTTGCTACCTAGGAGTCAATATGTAATACTGGAAAGAGTAAGAGTTTGGAAACTAAACAGAAATAGGGTCCAATCCTGGGTCGTCCACATAATAGCTGTGGGACCTTGGGCAAGTTACTTCATTTTTTTGGATCTCAACTTCCTCTTCTATAAAGGGGGGGCTATACCTGTCAGGGTAGTGGTGTTAATTCAATGATAATTATGTAAAGTGCCTGCTCATAGTAGATTGAAGCAGAGACTGCTACTATTCACCAATCCATTTCTTCTTCTTGTTCATACACAACTAGACTATATTTCCCAGCACCCTTTGCAGCCAGGCACGGCCACACTAGTTCTCACCAAGGGGATATGGTTCTAAGTTATAGTACCTATTCTTGGCAAAGGCTTAAGGAACAGATATGCCTCCTCCAGGTTTTCTTTTGTCTTACATCACTTGGATGCAGGTGACAGGTTCTAGGGAACTGGGGATCTACAACATGGAAGGAGCCTGTATGCCTGAGTTACTAGGTAGGGGAAAGCTATCCATCAACTAGAATGCCTGCCTTGGACTCTTCTGCAAACGAGAAATAAGCTCATATACCATATTAGGTTATAATATAGTTGCTTTAAAGAAATACCCATGGCCAGGCGTGGGGGCTTACACCTCCCAGCACTTTGGGAGGCTGAGGCAGGAGGATCACTTGAGGCCAGGAGTTTGAGACCAGCCTGGCCAACATGGTGAAACCCCATCTCTACTGAAAATACAAAAAATTAGCCAGGTGTGGGGGCAGGCGCCTGTAATCCCAGCTATTCGGGTGGCTGAGGCACAAGAATCGCTTGAACCCAGGAGGCAGAGGTTGCGTGAGCCGAGTTTCAGGCTGCACTCCAGCCTGGGGGACAGAGTGAGACTCTGTCTCAAAAAAAGAAAAGAAATACCTGCATTGCTATAAAGAAATACCTGAGACTTTAATTTATAAAGAAAGGAGTTTTGGAGGCTTTTTCTTTTTTTTGAGACAGAATTTCGCTCTTGTTGTCCAGGCTGGAGTGCAATGGCGCGATCTTGACTCACTGCAACCTCCGCCTCCCAGGTTCCAGTGATTCTCCTGCCTCAGCCTCCTGAGTAGCTGGGACTATAGGCATGTGCCACCACACCTGGCTAATTTTATATTTTTAGTAGAGATGGGGTTTCTCCATGTTGGTCAGGCTGGTCCCGAACTCCCAACCTCAGGTGATCCGCCCACTTTGGCCTCCCAAAGTACTGGGATTACAGGCATGAGCCAACGCACCCAGCCAAGAAAGGAGTTTGTTTGTTTGTCTGTTTTTCCAAGAAAGGAGTTTTAACTGGCTCATGATTCTACAGGCTGCACAAGCAAGGTGCTGGCATCTGCTCAGTTTCTGGGGTGGCCTAAGGGAGCTTTTACTTAAAGCCAGAGCAAGCATCTCACATGGCAGAGTAGAATCAAGAGTGAGAGTTGGTGTGGTGGTGAGGAATCTCAGGATGACCTCCCTGAGATTGCTGTCCCCTAGTTATTCACAAAAACTCACTGACTATCACAAGGTCAGCATCAAGGCGTGAGGCATCCACCCCCATGACCCAAACGCCAGGCCCCACCTCCAACACTGAGGATTACATCTCGACATGAGATTTGGAGGGGCCATCTAAACTATATCATACACTTTTGGGATCTATTTTACAACTAACCTATAGTCAGTGTGTTAATCCATTTTGCATTGCTATTAAGAAATACCTGAGACTGGGTAATTTATTTTAAAAAGAGGTTTATTTTGCCTTATGGTTCTGCAGGCTGTACAACCATGGCACCAGCATCTGCTTCTGGTGAGGACTCAAGAAACTACCAATCATGGCAGAAGCAGGTGTGTCACATGGCGACAGAGAGAGAAAGAGAGGGGGAGGAGATGCCAGGCTCTTTTAAACAACTAGCTCTCATGTGAACTTAATAGAGTGAGAACCCACTCATTACCTCGGGGAGGGCACAAAACCATTCATGAGGGATCTGCCCCCACGACCCAGACACCTCCCACCAGGTCCCATCTTCAACCCTGGGAATCACATTTCAACCTGAGATTTGGAGGGGACACACATCCAAACCATATCAGTCAGGAAATGTTCACCCCCTTTCTCCACCTCCAAATAACAATTACACAGTACCCAGCATCTGTGCAAACATTTTATTCTATTCACAATTCTCATATGGTGTAAATTGCAATCTCTCTGTAGTAGGACAAATTCTAGGGATGACCTCTGTATTAGTCAGGCTTCTCTAGAGGGACAGAACTAATAGTATATATATATATATAATATGAGTTTATTAAATATTAGCTCACACGATCACAACGTCCCACAATAGGCCATCTGCAGGCCGATCTGATGTCCAATGTTTGAGGGCAGGAAGCATCCAGCACGGGAGAAAGATGTAGAGTGGGAGGCTAGACCCATCTTTCTTTTCACATTTTTCTGCCTGCTTATATTCTAGCAGTGCTGGCAGCTGATTAGACTGTGCCCACCCAGATTAAGAGTGGGTCTGCCTTTCCCAGCCCACTGACTCAAATGTTAATCCCTTTTGGCAATACCCTCACAGACACACCCAAGATCAATCCTTTCAATCCAATCAAGTTGACACTCAGTATTAACCATCATAACCTCCCTGAGAAACACAAATCTAGGTACTCCTGTGAAGGGATTCTGCAAATGTAATTAAAGTTTCAAGTCAGTCAACCTTAAAATACAGAGATGATCTGGGTGATCCTGATCTAATCACAAGAGCCCTTTACACAACAGAAGGGGAATTCGGAGAGATTTGAAGTATGAGGAAGACTCAAGTGCCATTGCTGCTTGAAGATGGCAGCACCACGTGAGAAGGAATACCTCAAGGAACTGAAAGTGGCCCTTGCCTAACAGTCAGCAAGGAAAGAGGAACCTCAGACCTACAGCTGTAAGGAACTGGATTCAGCCAATAATTGGAATGAACTTGGAAGCAGATTTTTCTCAGTGCCTCCAGGTAAAAGCTCTGCAACCAATACCTTGATTTCCAGCCCTGTGCTATTCCTGAGCATAGAAATCAGGCAAGCCTGCCTGGACTTCTGACTACAGAACTGTCCACTAATAAATTTATGTTGTTAAATTTGTGGTGATTTGTCACAGCAGCAATAAAAAAACTAATACATTCTCTTAATCTGTTTTGTCATCAATTTTTCTTTGAGACGGAGTCTCACTCTCTTTCCCAGCCTGGAGTGCAGTGGTGTGATCATAGCCCATTGTAACCTCAAAATCGTGGGCTCAAGCAGTTCTCCCACCTCAATCTCTCGAGTAGCTAGGACTACAGGCACATGCCACCATACTTGGCTGATTTTTTTAAAAAAATTATTTTTTATGTAGAGATGGGGTCTCACTATGTTGCCCAGGCTGGTCTCAAACTCCTGGCTTGAAGAGATCCTTCTATCTCAGCTGGGAGGATCCCAGGATCCCAAAGCGCTGGGATTACAGGCGTGAGCCTCCATGCCTAGCTTCCTCACTTATTTTTTATTAATAAAAAGTGACATGGGGAGATGGTGGAAGTTAGAGTGATGATATCTGAGTATGCTCTTAGCTTTACATTTGCTCAGTTCCTTGTGCTGAGTTGTCTGTTAGGGAGCTTCCTGCCCTTATAGTGAGAATGTGACATAGTCTGGGCATCAGCTGCAGCTCTTTGAACAGAGATGATCCAGCTCCCCATCTCACCAGCCCCCAAATCCAAAACTTAAAAGCGGAGCTGCTGTCAAGGAAAACAAAGTTAAGCAAAATGACTTCAAAGCCCAATGTGCTCACCTTCACTCTCCCAGTGGGTCCTTGCACCTGAGAACGTGCAGGGTCCATCAGTATTGACCTCCCCTTTCCACCAGCCCTGGAAGTTATGGAAGGGGAAGGTAGCTTATTCTGATATCGTGTCCTGTAATAATGCTTCCTGGCCTGGCACATATATCCTTGTTTCTGTGCCTCTTGTTCTAAAACATCCTCCCTTTCCGAAAGCTGAAACTGTTCCTGCACACATTATGCACTTAACCAGGTAAATTTCAGAAGATTTTAAAAAGTTTCCCAGTGAAGGAAGGAGAGAGAGGTATTGTCCTGAGATACTGAATATGCGGATGGCCAGACTAGATATCAAAATAGAACCCTGACCCACAATCTGTGGCAACTAGCCTGGGAAGCCAACATATTATCTGCAGTAACCAATCCAGGAAGCAAAGCAATAACCCCCTTAGCAATGGACCCCAAATGGCCAGGACTCGATTAATAAACTGACAGCTCCCATAATTTTTGCCCCTACCTCCAACTTTGGACTAACCAGAGAAAGCCAAATGGGCACCCCCAACCAATCACATAGCATGCCGCACTTCTAGCTGGCCCACTTGCAGCTTCCCCGTGCCAACAGTCTCAGGGCACGCCCAAAGTGTTCCCTTTTTTCTACCACAAGGCTTTTCCACACCTCTGCCTGCCTTTAAGTGTCTGCCAAACACAAGTGATGGTGGCTGACTACCTTGCAACCTCTCTATAGTAGGCTTTGTTTGTTCTTATTTGGGTGGTCTTCATTTATTTCCACAGTCCTTGTTTTTCAGGGAGATTTAGGGCTTAAATACAAGGAAATTTCATGTAAGGATGCAGGAGTGTTTCATGGAACCTCAAGCTCAGGAAAGCTGCACAGCCATGGGAAGACCCTAGAGCCGGAGTCTGGAAAAGCAATCCGAGCTTGGATCTTAGAAATCTTGTCTTCTTGCAAACCGGGTTCTCTGGTCCAAATGGCCAAAAACATGACCATGGACAGGGCCTGTGCTTATCTCGTCACCTGCAGAGAGGCAACTCTCTGTACGTCCTGATTCCAAGTTCCTGGAGAAGGACACAGACTGAACCACCTTGGGTCAGGCACCATCCTTGACCAATTTACTAACAGTGCCCAACTCCCACCCAGGGTGGGGAGTAGTTGCAGGTAGTCTTGTTTATGAACATGGCAATCAGAAGCCCATCCCTGTCACTGTGTGGAGGGGAGGGGAGAGAAGAGGGATGGTTCCAACCAAAAAAGGTAGGGGGATGGACATCCCAATAGGGGTCCACTCCATTCCTGATGGCACAGTGAGACAGTTGTCATGTGTCACGTGCTAGACTCTTGACTCTGTGCCTCCCAGTACCTGCTACTGACCAACATGGTCTAGTGAGCGATTTTTCTTGTGAAGGCATCCATCCATTCATTCATTCATATAGCAAACAATTGTACATCACAACCTTATGCTAGGTGCTAGGTATACAATGATAAAACAAACACAAAAACCAAAACCACAATCTCTACCCTCAATGTGAGGAGATACCACCACATAAACGAACAATTACAATACTGTGAAACATGTTATGCTCAATCTATGGCCTAAATCAGATGAGAGGCTGGGCAGAGGATCAGGCTGCCAAGAAATGCTTCCTAGAGGGCATGCTGCCCGAAATGAACCTTGAAAATCAGGGAGCTTGATAGAAATAGGGAAAGAGAGAGTGTTTCAGGCAGAAGCAAGGTTCACTGTCAAGGAAAGGCATTTCAGGAAACCAAAAGTAGTATCTGTTTGACATGAGCTATATTGGAGTGAGAGTACTGGGAGGTAGGCTAGAAAGGGGAACAGAGACTAGATATGAAGGAACTTGAAAGCCGTAAGTATATGAAGAAGGCAATGGGCTTTCTACACAGGAATGACCTTGAAGACTTGATTTGCATTATTGAAAGCTCACCATGGCTGGAATGGATTGGGGACGTCCGATGATGGGAAGACTCAGCTGGGCAGTTGCTGCATTAACTGTGGAGTTATAATGGTGACCTACGAGAGCAGCTTTGGATACGGAGAAGAGCAAACTGGTTTAAGAAACGTCATCACCTGGGTCAAGAAAAGGACATGCAGTGGGTTGGGTAGGGAGGAAAATAGATGTAAATAAAGTTATTAGTTGAAAAAGAAAAGCAAGATCGAGAGAGAAATTAATTCTATTGCCATCTATTCATGAGAATCACAAGGCTGAATCAAAAGCCTTCCTGCAAACCTAGACTCACGCTGGTTCAGTTCAGAGACTCTATCAGAAAGATGAGGAGCTCATGAGTCATCCATCAATGTGATCTTGTGATTTTTCTTGTGACCACAAGACAAAGGAAGAGAAGAGTACTTTGGAGTCATTATGATGAAAATTCAGTTGAATACACTGGAAAGTCAAAACGAGAGGAGAAGGAGGAACCGAAAATCTGATTCAGTCTTGACCACCAAGTAGAATTGGGACAGAAACAATTAAGTAGGCACAGATCCAATTTGGATTATAAAAAGCTGGTTCATCAGGAAGGCCACTATAAAACCAGAAGCAAACGAAGAGTCAATTAAGTACAAAAGTTTTTACTATGACTATGCAGTGAGGTCCAAACTGTACTAAATTTGAAGTTCCCTGCCAAAGAGAAATGTAAGCTTCCCTGGTGGTATAAGTCAGAATTTCATGACATCAGCCAGATAACCACAAAAGAATATATCTTTTAGTGCTAGATGCTTCTAAGCCTTTCTCCACCCAACTAACCAACATTCACTTACTGATTTACTTATTTCTTTAACAAACACACTCCATTTCATAGCCACATTCTTTCAAAGCTGACAGGTTGAGATATATCTAAAACACAAAATCTCCAACATACATTTTCTTCTTCAATGTTGTGAGATGTATTTTTCTAAAACACTGTTCTGCACATACTACCATTCCAATATTAAAAACAAGTTAGTTATCCACTGCCTTTTTTGTACAAATGAAATTCATAAATTTTAATTTGGTTACAAAAAAATTTTTCATCAAAATTTTTGCTTATTTGTTTATATAAAAATGGAGACAGGGTCTCACTATGTTGCCCAGGCTGGCCTCAAACTCCTAAGCTCAAGTGATCTTCCCACCTTGACCTCCCAAAGTGATAGGATTACAGGCATGCGATACCAAGCCTGGTATAATTTAAATTTTTAATTAAAAATTGTTAATTTGTCTACAAAATAAATATATACTCATCATCAAAAACTTTCAAAGAAGAAGATTAAAATCACCATAATTCCAACACCCAGACACAATCACAATCACTTCTGTAAGTTAGGATATACTGACAGCCTATGTGACAGGGAAAAAACTAAGTTGTAAGAATTTTTTAAAAACCTCCTATTCCCCATTACAGTAGATTTTATTACTCAAAATATTTGCTGCCCCACCCTGGGGAAGATAATACTTCCCCACTTCATTGCATCAGCCTTAGAGATGTGGTTTGAGGTGTCCCTTCTTGTGGGAGGATTACATATTCTCATCTCCTTGACCTCAAGAGTGGCCATGAGACTTGCTTTGACCAATGCAATGATAACAGAAGTGATGTGTGCCACTTCGAAGCAGAAGCTCTGATTCATCATATGGTTCTACTATGTTCGTTCTCTCTTCCATGAAACCAGCAATATCCCAAATACAGACTGCTGGTCCCAGGATGGAAAACTTAGAGCAAAGCTACCGGTAGCCCACAATGTGAGCAAGAACTGAACTTTAGTCATTGTAAGCCACTGAGGGTTTTGGAGTTGCTTGTTACCACAGCATAACTTAGCCGACACTGACTGATACCACCTACCTCCAAAATGTCATCTGAGTTTTCTTTATGTCTGAAGAGAGCCTTTATGCATTGAAATAAATACTCCCTTTAATTTCAACTTATATTTTATATATTTAAATTATATGTTTTAAAACTTAATTTTGAAGACTTTAAACTTGTGTTAATTTATAAATCAGTTTTGTTAATATTTTATTATCTACTTTTATTTGGTTTTGATGAATGCCCAACTGGCTTGTAAATTTGATAAGGTACTCCCAAATATTTATCAAACTTTCAGAATTAAGTTTTAGACATTTCAAACTACAATCTAATTTTAATTGATTTCTCAAGGAAAAAAACAACAAAGCAGACTCACATTTCTATAGGCAAAATCTTAATAAACACTGAAAACATACTGAACTTAAAAAGTTTAACCTTACAAATTTAATAAATTATAAATTTAAAGATTTAACAATTTAAACATTTGAACATTATTTCAAACTTAGTTATCAACATCTTATAAATTTTTACTAATATTTTGAGTCTAATGAATCAGTCTCTTTACTTACCTTAAAAAGCAGAAAAATATACACAAAATACTATAATGGTTACAAAACTTATTTCTAGATAAAATTTATGACTAGACATAACTTAGCTTGTCTTCCAAGGGTCTTTGAAAGTATGTTTGTTTTCTGGCAATAAGAAGATATTTCCAGACTCATCTTGATATTTCCTGCCGTAAAACATGCAATGAATTTTTCTCCAGGGAGCCCAGTGCCCTCAGGGTCTTCTGGCTGGAATGCAGATTAGATGGATTGGCAAAGCAGCTGCTGGGGCCACAAGGGGAAACCAGAAATCCACAGTAATCTTTGACCTGACGTCCTTGAGCTGCTGAACCAACATCCCAGGTTTTTAAGTCCCTGTGGTCCATTTGTCAAATGCAATTCCTTACTGATATAATGGTTATACAAATAAAGAAGCCCAGAGAAAGCACTGCATATGGAAAGGAAAGATTGACCTAAAGGGGAAGATCTTGTGGGGAGGGGAGGCAGTGAAGAAAAGAGGAGGCAGGAAAGGGAACTGGGGAGAGAGGGGAGATCTGGCAGTTTCTGTGAAAGCAAATTAGTAAGGATTTTAAGAAAAGTTTGCCTTTATTCCATTGCCATAATGGGGATTAGAACAGTAACATCCATAGGATCATTGTGAGAATTATGCCAAGCACACATTAAGTGTTCAATAAACATTGGCTATCATTATTATTTTATTATGCTGGGCCTCCAGAATGGATTAGAGTTGCAGACTGGAACATTATAAGGAAATCCAGGAAGTCCATTCATTCTTACTCTTTCCCTCCCTCTCCTCTCTTCCACAATTGCTCCTCTGCACAGCTGTTTTAATCCTATATCTTTCTGCAGATTGGCTTTCTTTCTATGTCTGTGATGCTTAAAACAGTCACTAACAACATCTTTCAAGTTTCCAAACTCCTTGGTTCAAGACAGCAGCCATTTCGAAGAAATTTCCAGAAAGACACTGATTGTCCAGCTTAGATGGAAAGTCCACTCTTGGATCAATTAACTGAAGCTATGACAGGAGAGTTGTATGGAAAACACATGGCTGCTCCTACTAGAAAACTTCCCAAAATATGAAGGAGGGAAAAGCAGGGAGGAGGTGCCGCTGTGAAGACGTAATGGTAGGTAAACATTTGGGTACATTTCCTTTGGGTCCATGTGCACACGAGTACGTTTATGCATGTGTGCATAACTTGGATAGCACTGTATATAGGTTTTGTTTGTTTGTTTGATTGTTTTAGAGACAGGGTCTCCCTCTGTCACTGAGGCTGGAGTGCAGTGATGCAATCATAGCTCACTGCAGCCTGGAACTCATCTGCTGCACTCAAGGGATCTTCCCACCTCAGCCTTAAGAGCAGCTGGGATTACAGGTGTGCATCACCATGCCTGGATAAGTTTTAAAACAATTTTTTTGTAGAGACAGGGTCTCATTATGTTGCTCAGGCTGGTCTTGAACTCCTGGCCTCACGTGATCCTCCCACCCCAGCCTCCCAAGTAGCTGGAATTATAGGCATGAGCCACTGTGCCTGGCAACAGCTGTCTAAATTATTTTTTACAAGGCATTCAGAACACATTCAATAAGATATTTTTCTACAGCACTGTATTTATTAGCTAGGTTAACATTTCCATATATAGATGTTCTAAGTGAATTTAAATTATTTCTATTATTTTGCTTTTATGAACTCTATTTGAGTGATATTCTTGTAACTGAATAGTTGAAACTATTATTAACTCCTTAGGGAAATTCCTTAAATTGGAATTGCGAGGTCAGAAGGTGTGTCATTTTTTAACAGTTTTGATACATTTTGCTAAATGTGCCAGGCAATTTAAGCCACACTCCCACCACAACATACAAAATGCAGTCTTCCTCAATATCGTCTTCAGTGCTTAGTTGAAAATTAATCACCATTTGATAAGTGAAACAAAATTTCCTTAATTACTAGTAAGATTGAAGGATAGTTTCATGTTTTTTTGACCAACTGTTTTTCTATTATATTCTTATTGGTTTATAAGAGCATTTTAGCCGGACTTGGTGGCTCATGCCTATAATCCCAGCACTTTGGGAGGCCAAGGTGGGTGGATCACTTGAGGTCAGGAGTTCAAGACCAGCCTGGCCAACATGATGAAACCCCAACTCTACTAAAAATACAAAAACTAGCCGGGCCTGGTGGCAGGCACCTGTAATCCCAGCTACTCGGGAGGCTGAGGCAGGAGAATCACTTGAACCCAGGAGGCAGAGGTTGCAGTGAGCCAAGATCGCGCCACTGCACTCCAACCTGGGCAACAAAGCGAGATTCCATCTCAAAAAAAAAAAAGAAGGCATTTTAATTACTAAATATATTGCTGGTTGTGGTGGCTTGTGTCTGTAGTCCCAGCTACTTGGTTGAGGCCAAGAGTTTGAGCCTGGGCAATACAACAGGGCCCTATCTGTAATTACATCTTCCCGGTTTGTCGTAACCTTGATATAATTTGTTTTAAGTTCAGATACTCAAATCTCTTCTTTCCAGCACCTATCTTTATCTTTCCATATGCCTAGAAGGATATCATCCACTATCTACCTAAGTATCACCCTTTCCTATGTCCCATTCCCTAAATAGAGTTTAGACATTTCAATTGGCATTTAAAAGTCCTTCACAAGGCACTACGATGTCTTGTTTTTCACTACTGCCATCCACAAATCTTTCTTTTATCCATCCATTTGTTCATTTATTCATTTGTCACCTATTTACTAAGCACCTATTATGTACCAGGCATCATTCTAGACACTGGGGATACAGGAGTGAACACATCCCTACCCCTAAGGGAGCTTGAATTTTAGTGCCACTGAAGACAAACTGAAAAGGTAAGAAAATGTATATAGTTGGCTGGATGGTGATAAGTACTATAGAAAACAATAAAGCAGTAAAGTAGGGTAGGAAATTCAGGGAGAGAGTGAAATCTTACATAGAATAGTCAGGGAGAACTTCACTGAAAATGTAATACATATTTGAGGAAGAGTGTGAGGATGGTGACTGATATGGTTTGGCTGTGTCCCTACCCAAATCTCATCTTGAACTGTAGCTCCCATAATTCCCATGTGTCATGGGGGGGACCTGGTGAGAGGTAACTGAATCATGGGACTGGGTCTTTCCCATGCTGTTCTCATAGTGGTAAATAAGTCTCACGAGATCTGATGGTTTTATAAATGGTAGACCCTACACACTCTCTTGCCTGCCACCATGTAAGACATGACTTTGCTCCTCATTCGCCTTCAGCTATGATTCTGAGGCCTCCCCAGCCATGTGGAGCTGTGAATCAATTAAACCTTTTTCATTTATAAATTACCCAGTCTTGGGTATGTCTTTATTAGCAGCGTGAGAACAGACTGATACAGTGACAGAATGGGCCAAGTGCTATCCAAGGGAGAAGCATTCCAGTATGGGAAAGAGTGTGTGCAGAGAGCCTGCGGGGGAGAGGGGGAAGGAGGAGCATACCTCCTGGATTTGAACACCAGCAAGGAAGCCAGTAATGCTGGAACAGAGTGGGCAAAGAGGGTAGTTGAGGCAGGGATAGGGAATGGGTCATGCAGGGTTTTGTAGACCACTGTAGAGTCTTTGGCTTTTACTTCAAAGGAAACGGGAAGCCATTTTGAGGGTGTGGTAAATTGTGTTTCCAAAGATGGCAGCAGAAATATCTCACACCTCACATAGTCTTTTGCAATGTGATCTTGTCACTGTCCTAAGAAGAGATGGGGTCTCTTTCCTTTTTCCTTGAATTTGGGCTGAGCCTAAACCAATCCTGACGAACAGAATCTAGTTCTGTAACTAGATTCTGTAATACTGTAAATTCCAGACTGGGCCTTAGGAACTGTTTTAGAAGCCTTCCTTTCACCGCTTGAAATGCTCCTTCTTGGAACCCAGAAGGCATATGGAGAAAGATACGTAGAAGAGAACCAAGGCCCAGCCATTTCGGCCTAGTTGAGCATTTCTGCCAGCCCCTAGCTTTCAAGCCAGCCAGTTGAAGCCGCGGACACCAGATAACAGAGATGAGCCATGTTCAACATGCTCTGCACAAATTTTTCACCCCCAAACCATGAGCAAATAATAGCAATTGTTGTTTTAAACCATTAAGTTTTAGTGTGATTTGTTACTGATGACAAAAGAGACAAATAGAGATGAACTAAATAGCACGGGCCACAGGGGAGTAGGCACGAGACCCCACAGTTACTTTCCTGAAATTCCTAGACCCCCTCCTGCTTCTGTAAGGAACTCCAGGTCTGGGTTAATCACAAACTGATGACTATTCCAAGAAGCACTGTACTCCTTAGCTAATCATCTGTTAGCTTATTTCTGTTAACTAATGGTATTTCTATATGAACATGCTGAGACCACCTTGTTGTATCTCCTCATGTTGTTCCTTAAAATCTGCTTGTAACCACCCCAACCTGGAGCACCTCCTGGACTTGGTATATAAGTGCTTCCCAGGTTGCAATCCTCAAATTTGGCCCAAATAAACTCTTTACCTATATGCATTTGCCTTAGTTCTTTTTTTTTTTATTTCCACCATGCCTGGCTAATTTTTAAATTTTTTGTAGAGTCAAGATCTCATTATGTTGCTCAGGCTGGTCTCAAACTCTGGGGATCAAGTGATCCTCCTACCTCGGCCTCCCAATGTGCTGGGATTACAGGTGTGAGCCACCGTGCCTGGCCCTTAGTTCTTTCTTTCAGATTGACATTACACAGCAATAGGGGACTGGAATAAAAATTGGCACCAGAACATGAAATACTACTGGAATGAAAACCTAAAGCCAATTGCTACATGTTTGGGACCAAGTAACACATAGAAGACTGAAGAGCAGTGAGAAGGCTGTTGGTGTCTTCACATGGTTTGATATTTGTCCCTCCCAAATCTCATGTTGAAATGTAATCCTCAGCGTTGGAGGTGGGGCCTGGTGGGAGGTGTCATGGTTGCAGATCCCTCATGGCTTGGTGCTGTCTTCGCAATAGTAAGTTCTCATGAGATCTGGTTGTGTGTGGCACCTCTCCCTACCTGCTCCTCTTCTTGCCATGTGACGTGCCTGCTCGCACTTCACCTTCCACAGTGAGTAAAAGCTCACTGAGGCCTCTCCAGAAGCCGAGCAGATGCCAGTACCAATGCTTATACTGCCTGCAGAACTATGAGCCAAATAAACCCCTTTTCTCTATAAATTACCCAGTCTTGGGTATTCCTTTAGAGCAATGCAAGAAAGGCCTAACACTAGCCTAAAACAGGGAGGAAAAACTTGCTCTTGCTCTTGTGGGCTAGAGAAAAGGGGGCCTGAGTTACATACTGGCAGCTCAATTACACTGTCACTTGTAGCAATGTGGAAGATGGTACATGTGTTCATGAACTGGCTAAGGACATTTTCATGCAGAGTGCTGAAAATGCCAAGTGGCTTGTAATAGTTGATAACGTACAGAAAGAGATAAACTAAAGAGGGAAATGTTCACCTTTCAAGCAAATTTTAGAAGAATATAGAGGGCCCAAGACTGTCTGAGTCAGTTAGCAGCGTGTTCTAAAATCAAAATAAAACTTGGAGGCAAAGAACAAATCTAAGATGCTGTAACCGCCCAACGAATTTTCCTTGCCCACTGCCTAGGCAGACTCAATTTAAGACAGGGGAATTACAATAAAGAGTTTAATCCACACACAGTCATCTGTACGGGAGACTGGAGTTGTATTATTACGCAAATCAGTCTCCCTAAAGACTTGGGATGGGGTTTTTAAGGATAATTTGGTGGGCAGGGGGTCAGAAAGTGGGGACTACTGATTGGTTAGGTCAGAGATGAAATCACAGGGAGTTGAAGCTGTCCTCTGGTGCTGAGTCAGTTCCTGGGTGGGGGCCACAAGACCAGATGAACCAATTTATCAATCTGGTTAGGGACAGCTGATCCATCGAGTGCAGGGTCTCCAAAATACCTGTTATCTGGAGGAGCAATTTGGAGGGGTTTAGAATCTTGCCACCTCCAGCTGCATGACTCCTAAACCACAATTTCTAATCTTGTAGCTAATTTGTTAGTCCTGCAAAGGCAGTTTATAGTTCCCAGGCTAAAAGGGTGTTTGTTCAGGGAAAGGGCTGGTACCATCTTTGTTTCAAAGTTAAACTATAGGCCGGGCGTGGTGGCTCACACCTGTAATCCCAGCACGTTGGAAGGCCGAGGCAGGCAGATCATTTGAGATCAGGAGTTCGAGACCAGCCTGGCCAACATGGTGAAACCCTGTCTCTACTAAAAATACAAAAATTAGTCTGGCGTGGTGGCGTGCACCTGTAGTCCCAGCTACTCAGGAGGCTGACGCAGGAGAATCGTTTGAACCCAGGAGGTGGAGATTGCAGTGAGCCAAGATGGGGCCACTGCACTCCAGCCTGGGTGATAGAGTGAGACTCTGTCTCAAAACAAAACAAAACAAAATAAACAACAACAACAAAAAACAAAGTTAAACTGTAAGTTAAGTTCCTTCCAAAATTAGTTCAGCCTACACCCAGGAATGAACAAGGACAGCTTGGAGGTTAGGAACAAATCAGTAAGTTAGGTCACATCTCTTTCATTGTCATAATCCTCTCAGTTATAATTTATGCAAAGGTGGTTTCGATGCCACAAGTAAAACGTGGCCTCTGGTCAACATGAGGCCCTTTGTTAAAATCCCAGAAAGATGTAAGGAATTGCTTCTCAAACCCTCATGGTTAGTTAGACAAACAGGCTTCTGAAAGAACAAGTGTGTTCTCACACAGCACCCTGACATGCACCCCAGAGAGGGAGCGTATCTTAAAAAGATTGGTGGAGATGGTTTTTATCTAACACAGTGAATCCCAGTAAAATCCACAGAAAACTCACAATGTTTTTAAGAGAACTGAACTAACACAAGCACCACTAGCTTGGACTAAAATGGACAAAGACTGTTCAAAACAAAGCCACTGGGCTCCTAACCATTTACTGGCAGGAAATAGGCTGAGGAAACTATTTGGCTGCAAATCAGGGTTTTTGTTGTTGAGATAGGGTCTCCTCCGTTGCCCAGGCTGGAGCACAATGGCACAATCACAACTCACTATAACCTCTGCCTCCCTGGAGTAGCTAGGACTATAGGCACATGCCACCAAGCCCGCCTAATTTTTGTATTTTTTGTAGAGACGGGGTTTCACCATATTGCCCAGGCTGGTCTTGAACTCCCAGCCTCAAGTGATCCTCCCGCGTCAGCCTCCCAAAATGTTGGGATTACAGGCATGAGCCACCACGCCAGGCCCAATCACGCTTTTTCAAATAGTAAAGGAAGGCCGACCCAGAAGGTGGAGTTAGGAAGTAAATCAGGTCCAGCTGTGTGTGGATAAGGCTCCACAGGGATGGCTCTGTGGGTGCAGGGACCCAAGAACTAAAAAGACAAGTTATCTGCCTCCCACATTCCTTGTACAATGTGAGGAGGAAAAAGATAACTACAATAGAGAATCCCTTTCAAAAAGTAAGGATGAGTGTATGAAATCTGAATAAGGTTTGCAGTGCAGTTTAAACAGTTCATAGTGTCCAGTGCTTCTGATAGGTCAAGTAAAGTAAGGACGATGGACGTGGCAACATGGAAGTCACCCATGACTTCGAAAAGCAGTTTTCAATTTAAGTGTGTGAAAGCTTTATTGTGGCGAGTTCAAGTGTGAATGGAAGAGATGGGGGCAATGATAGAAGCATAGTTTTTGGATCTTCCTGAATTGCTACATAAAAATAGCAACTAGATAGCACAATCAAAAATCAAAAGCTGGGAGAGCTGAAGACTATCAGTATCTATGTGGGAAGAAGCAGAGGGAAGAAAAAAAAAAAAGCAAATGATGAATTCAGAGTCAGAAAGTAGGATGACGGTTGCCACAGGAGAGGGGAAGTGGGGAACAGGGAGTTCCTTAATGAGTTGTTTTGCAAATTGAAGAGTTCTGGAGATTGGCTGCCAAATAATGTGAATGTTCTATGCACTTCCTACTACTGAACTGTACACCTAAAAATGGTTAAGTGCCCGGTGTGGTGGCTCACACCTGTAATCCCAGCACTTTGGGAGGCCAAGAGAGAAGGCTCACTTGAGAGCAGGAGTTGTAGGCCCAAGCCCTCGGGAGGCTGGGGTGGAACAATCACTTGAGCTCAGGAGTTGGAGGCTGCAGTGAGCTACGATCACACCACTACACTCCAGCCTAGGCAAGAGACCTCGTCTCAAAAAAACAAAAAAAAATGCTTTACTCTAATTCTCATATATCAGGACAGGGTGTCACCAGCATAAGGGCAGGAAAAAGGAAGTGCGGTCCACAGCTTTCAGAGGAAGAAGACAAGCTCGGGGTTTCATATTTATATTCTCAACAATTAGCACAACAATGGGAGAAGGAATGTCTTTTTAATAAATGGTGCTGGGAAAACTGGATAGCCACATGTTGAAGAACGGAATTAGACTTTTATTTCATACCATATTAAAAAATCAACTTACAATGAATTAAAGACTTAGCTGTTAAAACCCGAAACTAAAGCTAGGCAACAAAAATGTAGACAAGATTACATCAAACTGAAAAGCTTCTGCACAGCAAAGGAAACCACAAAGTTAGGAGACAACCTACAGCATCAGAGAAAATGCTCGCAAACAACATCTGATAAGGGGTTAATATTCAAGATATATAAGAAACTCAAAACTGCTCAATAGCAAGAAAACAACCCACTTAAAAAGTTGACAAAGCACCTGAATAGGTATTTCTCAAAAGACATACAAATGGCCAACAGATACATGAAAAAGTGCTCAAGTCAGGCTGGGTGCAGTGGCTCGCGCCTGTAATCCCAGCATTTTGGGAGGCCGAGGCAGGCAGATCACTTGAGGTCAGGAGTTCCAGACGAGCCTGGCCAACATGGCGAAACCATCTCTACCCCCAAAAATACAAAAATTAGCCAGGCATTGTGACATGCGCCTGTAACCCCAGCTACTCATGAGGCTGAGGTGGGAGAATCACCTGAACCTGGAGGCTGACAGAGGTTGCAGTGAGCTGACATCGTGCCACTGCACTCCAGCTGGGGTGGCAGACTGAGACCCTGTCTCAAAAAAAAAAAAAAAAAAAAAAAACAAAAAAAACACCTAAAAACCTGAAAGTAGAAATACCATATGATCCAGCAATCCCACTAATGGGTATATACCCAAAGGGAATGACATCAGTATGTCAAAGAGATATCCATACCCCTATGTTCACTGTAGCATTATTCATAATGGCCAAGATATAGAATCAGCCCGAGTGTCCACAAATGAATATAAAGAATATGTGGCCAGGCACAGTGGCTCACACCTGTAATCCCAGCACTTTGGGAGGCCAAGACAGGCGGATCATGAGGTCAGGAGTTCGAGACCAGCCTGGCCAACATGGTGAAACCCCGTCTCTACTAAAAATACAAAAATTAGCCAGGTGTGGTGGCGGCCACCTGTAGTCCCAGCTGCTACTCGGGAGGCTGAGGCAGGAAAATTGCCTTGAACCTGGGAGGCAGAGGTTGCAGTGAGCCGAGATCATGCCACTGCACTCCAGCTTGGGCGACCAAGCAAGACTCTAACTCAAAAAAAAAAAAAAGTGAGCTGGGCGCAGTGGCTCACGTCTGTAATCCCAGCACTTTGGGAGGCTGAGGCAGGATGATTGCTTGAGGTCGGGAGTTTAAGACCAACCCGTGCAACATAGTGAGACCCTATCTGTATAAAAAATACAAAAATTAGCCAGGCTTGGTGTTGTAGCCTGTGGTCCCAGCTGCTCGGGAGGCTGAGGCAGGAGGATTGCTTGAGTCCAAGAAGTCAAGGCCAAAATAAGCCATGATGTCACTGTACTCCAGCCTGGGTGACAGAGTGAGACTCTGTCTCAAAAAAAGGAAAAGTGGTATATATACACAATAAAAAATTCAGCCTCAAAAAGAAGGAACTCCTGCAATATGCAACAATTTGGAGGAACCTAGAAGACACGGTTAAGTAAAATAAGCCAGGCACAAAAAGACAAATGCTTCATGATCTTACTGATCCATGAAATCTTAAAAAGTCAAACTTCCTAAGTTTGACTTAAGAGATGCAGAGTGTAAAGGTGGTTACTAGGGGCTGGAGGTGGGGGACTGGGCGAGGGGGGAGTTCAGGGTGATGTTGGTCAAAGAACACAAAATATCAGCCAGAAGTTCAGGAGATCTACTGTGTAACACGGTGACTAGAGTTAGGAACCTGGCACTGTACCTTAAAAATTCTGAGAGTAGGCCGGGCACGGTGGCTCACGTCTGTAATCCCAGCACTTTGGGAGGCTGAGGTGGGCAGATCACCTGTAGTCAGGAGTTCAAGACCAGCCTGGCCAACATGGCAAAACCCCATCTCTACTAAAAATACAAAAATTACCTGGGCATGATAGCACATGCCTGTAATCCCAGCTACTCGGGAGGTTGAGGCAAGAGAATCGCTTGAGCCTGGGAGGCGGTGGTTGCAGTGAGCCGAGATCGCGCCACTGTACCCCAGCCTGGGTGACAGAGCAAGACTCTGTCTCCAAAAAAACAGAAAAAAAAAATTACTGTGAGTAGATTTTAAATGTTCTCAGCACAAAAACATGAGGTAATGCATATGCTAATTAGCATGATTTGGCTATTCCTGAATATATACATATTTCAAAACATCATGTTGCACACCACAGATATATATCTTTTATTTGTCAATTAAAGGATCAGCATAGACTCCATGAAACTTGAGAGACCTGATTAACATCTGAAGGCAACATCTCTGCAAAACAACTAACTTGAGTACTTTAATTATATATGTATCTAGCAGAAGAGAAAAAAACAACACAGTTTTAATTTTAAATTTTATTAAAGTACAGAGTTAACAAGTTTTGAGTTTTTTATATAGGAAAAGCCTAGTCAATTCAGATGCTTTCTAGAAAAATTAACATTAAAAAACAAATAGAAATCCATGACTAAAGGGGGAAAATAACTTTCAAAAGTTACCAAAATTCGAATCATATCAGAGACCATTATAAATTTCAAACAGTAGATTTACCACACATATTGCATTTTCAAATTCTAATGTAGCAAAACGTAACCACATAATTTGGCTACAGCTAATCGTTTCAG
This sequence comes from Homo sapiens, assembly GCF_000001405.40. Classification (NCBI taxonomy): domain Eukaryota; kingdom Metazoa; phylum Chordata; class Mammalia; order Primates; family Hominidae; genus Homo; species Homo sapiens. The sequence goes on from NC_000005.10 coordinate 80,139,176, forward strand.
AAAAGTTTAAAAAATTAGCAAAGTTATATCTATAAAACTTTTGTAGTTTTCTTTTTGCAAAGTAAAAAGGCTTAAATCTTTAATAAAGGAAAACAAAACAATCCTCTTAAATTTCTTATAAATAGCTCTCCAGACATATATTACAAATCTGCTGTAAGCTTTCTTTACCTGAGAGAACTTCCCAGGATCCTTTATCCCAAAGGATTACCTTAAAGAGTTCTTCCATCATTTTACTCATGTGAATATGATTAAACTCCTATAGAAGTGGATTGGGACATATGCATTCTTAATCTGCCCTTCCCCATTTGTTTCTTTCTGAAAGGATTTTGCTTAAGGAAAAAAAAAGCTCTTTGGTAAAGGCCAAATATTTCAACCTTTCAAAATGACTGCCTCTGTGAAAGAGTTGTTGAGAAAGAAGAAAAGAGAGAGAGAGAGAAAGGTCTAAACATCTGTGTGAACAGCTCTCCAGTACTGTGAAGTCAAAGGCCCAACATTACAGAGCGCACCTCTGCCTGAAATACAAAACTAAGTTAACTAGCAAGTTACAGGAAATAGCCTTCAGTAAATTCCACAAGCCAAGTGGCTACTGCATTGTCCCTGAAGAAGGAGGGCCCAGTGTTCTTTCTGGGTGTGTAAGGTCTTACTTAGTTCAAGGTTTGTCCCTTCTTAGTTGTAGGTTGGGCCCTCTTTCGTTTCCAAGAGGTATAGGACACTAGAGTACACCAAATGAGATACTATTTGGAAAGGCAATAAAGGGAGTGTAAAAGCCTAGGTAGCTTAAATACAGGCTCTGGAATTTCCTTCGCAGGAAGGTGAAGCACCAATGATGGCAAAAATTAAATAAATACATCATCTTAAAAAGGCAGAGGGTAGGCTGCGTGCAGTGGTTTACGCCTATAATCCCAGCACTTTGGGAAGCCAAGGCGGGCACATTGCTTGAGCTCAGGAGTTTGAGACCAGCCTGGACAACCCCATCTCTACAAAAAAATAAAAATCGGCCAGGTGTGATGGGGCAAACCTGTGGTCTCAGCTACTTGGGAGGTGGTCCTTGAGCCCAGGAGGTCAAGCCTGCCATGAGTCAAGATCATGTCACTGCACTCCAGCGTGGCTGACAGAGTGAGCCCGTCTCCAAAAAAAAAAAAAAAAAAAAAAAAAAAGGCTTAGGGTGACAATTTTGACATGGGGACAGGAAATTAACATTACACTGAGGTTATTCATAATAAAGGATCTTCTGAGGAATCGGAAATAAACAATGTTGTATGGAAACAGAACCCCAAAACCCCAATAACTCCACCCTCCCCACAACCCACCCCCACTCTATCTCCCCTTCAAAGAGGCTCCAAATACCTCTGGCAAATAATTTCTTTTTCAGACAAAATGAAGAACCTTTTTGCCCAAGAAACTGTGGGCAAAAATAAAACTAACCAATCAGTATTTAAAAAGCTAGACACAGTAAAGACGTGGTTGGGTTTCTGAAGGCTTATAATGGAAATAGTCTCTAGTCTCCAGTCAGGTAACATGCCGCGGTATGACACTCCCATAAGAACCCCCACCCCCCTGCCACCCACTTAGTGTTTTTACTCATAAAAATGAGGGGAAAACTTTTCTACATCAGACAAATCACACAGAGGAAATATTCACATGCAGCTTTAAAAAAGTCCTCTTCAACTGTCATCCCTAAATGTGTCTGACCAGCAGCTTCTGGGAATATACTCTTTAGGTCATGTACAAAAAGGTGTAGGAAGCAAATGTCTATTATTTTTAAAAGATATCAGTGAGTTAATCAAATTAACACCGTTGTTATAGGAACTCAAAGCCATTGGCACAATGTTTCCAGTTTCTCAAATCACAATTGCACAAAACTGTAGATTCTTTAAATCCAGGAATGTTGACTCCTCACCTGAGTATTGTATATCACAATTAATAACCATTAACATTAACTCTGCATTGATAGTCCCTCAATCCTCAGATACATCCACATCTGTTTTGTTCATCCAGATACACGTGCTAACATTTTCAGCTGAGAATAAAATTCAGAGCAACTGTAACTCTTCCTCTTGCATCAGACCAACCGGCAGAAGGGAACGGGATGTCACAAACCAGACTCACGCATCTGGAAAACGTTGTGTGGCTGGGCTGGCTCCAGAAGGAAGCGACGAGGGCCTTCTACCGGCCACACTCCCTTGCTTGGGCTTCCCTAAGCTGCTTTCTGCAGAGGAAAGGGCCAATCACGGCCAGCCAAGGAATACAAGGCCTTGTCAGCTGGACCTTGACTGCGCGTAAGGTCAGTTTCTCAAATCACACCAGCTGGCAGCCAGACCCAGCCGAGAGGACAAAGCAAGGGCTCTGCTAGACCTCAGCAGGAGGAAAACAATGAAACTAGTCACAATACTGCCCAGGCTCTTTACCTGCTTCCCCTCAGGGTGTTTCCTAAAGACAACCCCCAAGGCCCTAGGCCACTGCAACACAGCTACTGTGTGTGACACGCAGCCCCACTCCCTGAGCCCATTCCTGGCCCACGGAACTCCTGTCCCCTAACTGATTCCTCAGGTTAGAACACGGCTTTTCATTTTGCGACTCCAGATGAATCTTTTAACTGCTGAGTACAGAGCTCCTGCCCTAAAAAAGGAAATTTAATGGAATTTACAAAACAAGGCTCTCTAAACCACACACACAGATGGAGTGCCTTTTGAAACTGAATCTCAAACACTCTAAGTAGGGAAAGTTCTAAAGGAATTCATCCCCTGTAATTTGTTTCCCCATGGGTTTTCTTGGGAGAAGGGCAAAGGAATGAATAGAAAGAATTTCACTAATTTCACCCACCAGCATTTTGGCACACAGAAGCCCAGCTTAGGTGGCACTCAATTCTGCCCAACTCATACAGTAGGGCACAGAAAAAAATGACTAGGCTGAGCCTTTTATTCTTAGATCCTCACTTACAGAGAGCTCGAGAAGATTCTTTCCACCCCGAATGAAATTCTAACAGGAGTTTCCACCAAGTAAACCTTTTCCCTGCCTGAATACATCAACACTGAAAATAGGCATCATCTTGGGTAGCTGCCGAAAGTCACGTTTCTGTATTACTTTGCAAGTACGTATTTTGGAAATTCCTGTGCAGCGTGATCTCGGCTCACTGCAACCTCCGCCTCCCGGGTTCAAGTGATTCTCATGCCTCAGCCTTCGAGTAGCTGGCATTACAGGCACACGCTACCATGCCCGGCTAATTTTTCTATTTTTAATAGAGACAGGGTTTCACCATGTTAGCCAGGCTGGTCTTGCAACTCCTGACCTCAAGTGATCCGCCTGCCTCTGCGCACCTCTTTTTAAGTATATTCGGCCACTTCCACACATTGCCTAACAAGCTTCTTCTGGTCAGTGTGTCTGAGATCCTCACCTCAGAAATTCTCACATTAGCAAACCTACTCCAAGGATGCCAGCATGAACCTGAACGGTATGGTCACGTTACAGATCCAGAACACAAAACGACTTCCGCTTTTACAGTTTCAAAGGCCTCAAGGTGGAGAAAAAACTGAGGGGCTGACCTCAACAACTGAAAGAGCAGTGCATGCAGCAGGCTTCAACACGAAGCAGCTTTTCAGTTAAGGTCCTAAAAGTATTATCATTATCAACAGCACAAACAAGTAAGAATGATAGCCCTCCATTGCTTAGGCAGAGAAAACATGAATCTTGTTCTATAATCATGTGAATAACACCATAAATAAGCGCCGTACTTATTGCAGTAACTCGGATCAGGTAGTGATAATAAGGTGGGGAACCACCTGGGGGGTGATCAGACAAATTGTGCTTTTTCACATTATTACAAAGATGTGGGACCCAGAAAAGATGAGACCTCGGGGAAGGGTGCAGGCAGAGAGTGAAGTCTGTGATTCCCAGCATCACAACCTCAAAGGGAAACGTTTAGGGGCCGTGAAGAGGCAGCACTGAGGGTGCAGTTGAAAAGCAGGTGCCTCCTCTTGGACCCTATAAATACCAGGGGCCCTGCAGGCTGAGTCCTGTCCTCAAAGCCCCCTGGGGACAAGGCTCTAAGAGGCGGAAGTGAGTGAGAGGGGTCTGGATTCTGTTAGGCGCTGGGGACTCAAGATTTTGGCATGTTTTTCTATTCCGAGGATGAGAATGACTGGCCCCACAAGATATTTTTATCCCTGTGAAAAGATGCTGTGCCCCAAATTCTGTTTTGGCAAAAACATGCAGAAGGAAGTCAACATAACTGGTATCCAGTTCCTAGGGGTAAGATATTTCAACCATGATCAGTTTGGTTGAAAATTTCAATTCCTTTGGGACAAACTGGTAGTTTCTTTTTGAATTTCAAAAGTAAAAAGCTAATCAGGAGATTTTTTTTTTTCTCTCTCAAAGCTTTTTCAGACCCACTCAGGCACAGGGCGCCAGTCCCTGCCCCGGGGACACTGTTCAAAAGATGGCACTTTCCAGGCTGTAGGCCCACAAAGCCCAGGGGACCGCCGATATCATCACACAGAGAACTCCCGGGTGGGGCAGCAGAGGGGAGCGACCAGCGTACACAGGTACAACAGCACGCATATCCAGCAGGAGGCCATCTTGACCCAGAAGATGGACCAGCTCCCGCTGAAGAAGCTCTCGATGTTGGCACTTTCGTAGCTGTGGAAACAAGACACCTAGCCGCGGTCAAAGCAGGAATATATTGAGATACAATTCACTAATTCACATCCATTTATAATGTATAATTCAACGGCTTTCAATGTATTCATACACAGACTTGTGCTACCATCAACACTACCCATTTCCAAACATTCTCATCACCCCCAAAAGAAATCATGCACCCCTTAGGTGCTCTCCCCTTCCCCATGGCCCCCTCAGCCCACCCCCCGCATTCACCAATCTACTTTCTGCCTCTATGAATTTGCCTATTCTGGACAGTTGATATAAAAGGAATCACATGGTCTCTTGTGTGTGGCTTTTTTGCCTGGCATACAATTTCCAAGGCTCAGCCACGCGGCAGCATGTGTCAGTCCTTCATTCCTTTTTACTGCTAAATAGTATCTTATTGTATGGATAGAGCACATTTTGTTTAGGCAGTCACCAGCTGATGGTCATTTGGGATGTTTCCCCTTTTTGATTATCACCAATGATGCTTGTATGAACACCGCTGTGTAAGTTTTGTGGACCTAGTTTTCTTTTTGTCTTAGGTATACGCTCAGGAGTAGTGGAAGAGCTGGATTACATTGTAACTCAATGTTTAATTGTTTAAGGAGATGCCAAACTCTTTTCCAAAGCAGATTTCACATTCAAACCAGCAATGTAAGAGGGTTCCAATTTCTCCACTTCCTCGACATTTGTTATTATCTGCCTTTTTAATTATAGCCTTCTCCATCTTTTCTTAAGCTTTCCAAGCCAAAAATTCCCAGGAGTTCCCAAAGCATCACTGGGAAGCATTAAAGCTCCCTTCTCCTCTCCTCCTTCAGGAAGAATCTCTCCAATCACTGTGCTTGAAACCACCACTCCCACCACCCCTACCCCAATTCCCTCTCCTAATTTTATTTTTCTCCCCAATACTCATCACCATCTAACACACCATATTTGACTTGCGTCATAGTCTGTCTCTCCTGCTGGACTATAAATCCTGCCTCATAGAACCGTGTGGCACATAGGAGCCACTTGCACATCTGTTGAATGAATGATAAAAGGAAGCACAATGAGCCTACATGTCTAAGCTTAACTTAGTGGTCAAAAAAATTATGATACAACCAAAGCTGTGGACCTGTAGAAAAAGTATGAACCTCTGTGTAGTGCCAGGGAAGGCCAGGTCAATCATGTACTGCCAAGTTAAAAAAAAAAAAGCCTCCAGGGGAAAACATGTATAATGACATTTATGTTAAAAAAAAAATTAGCTGGACATGGTGGATCATGCCTATAATCTCAGCACTTTGGGAGGCTGAGGCAGGTGGATCACAAGGTCAGGAGTTCGAGACCAGCCTAGCCAATATGGTGAAACTCCGTCTCTACTAAAAATAATAAAAAAAAAAATTAGCCAGTGTGGTGGCAGCACCTGTAATCCCAGCTACTCAAAAGGCTGAGGCAGGAGAATCACTTGAACCCAGGGGCGGAGGTTGCAGTGAGCCGAGATTGCGCCACTGCACTCCAGCCTGGGTGACAAAGCAAGACTCCAACTAAAAACAAAAAAAAACTACAGAGGTTTATAAATGCACAGAAAAGGAGAAGGATACACATCCTAGCAGTGGTTATCTGTGTGGGGGAAGTAGAGGCGGGGGGGTACCACATTGTTACTTTTCATAATTCCACATTTAGTTTGTATTTTAAAAAAAGATGTTTCCAATTTTTGTAATGAAAATGAAGAAAAATGGGGAAAAAGATACACAAAATTTGAAGTAGAAAAAAAAGGGATATTTTCTCTTTCTGAAAGGCAGATGAATGCTTAGGAGTTCCTATTTTTCCTTCATTACCATGTTTTCCAGACTGTCCATATAGAGCTAACTTTCCATTTTCTTAAAGTTGCCATAAGCATCACCAGTTTCCAGGGTTAAAACATACCCATCCACTGTTAAAACTCAGAACTCGCTTGTAATCCCAGCACTTTGAGAGGCCAAGGCAGGTGGATCACTTGAGGTCAGGAGTTCAAGACCAGCCTGGCCAACATGGCAAAACCCCGTCTCAACTAAAAATATAAAAATTAGCTAGGCATGGTGGTACATGCATGTAATCCCAGCTACTCGGGAGGCTGAGGCACAAGAATCGCTTGAACCTGGGAAGCAGAGGTTGCAGTGAGCCAGGATCGTGCCACTGCACTCCAGCCTGGGCAACAGAGTGAGACTCCTTCTCAAACAAACAAACACGAACAGTACTTAACTCTTAACTTTAAGGCTTTGCTTCAAAAATACCTAAGCAAATGGGCCACTCACTTGAACCAGTTGGTGACGGTCATCATCACATACAGGGAAGCTAGGAAGAACACGAAGTGGAAGTAGGAGTAGATGTAGACGGTGCCTTTCTTCTCGTCATAAATGACCCGTGGTCCCTCCTTCCCCGGCTGCTGCTCTTCAGTGTCTGTGAAGCACAGAGGGAGCCCAGGCTCAATGAGTGAATGTGTGTGTTTACCATTCAGCAAAGTCACGCTCGCTAATTCTACAGGGCTGTCAGTAGAAAAGATGCCAGAAAGCCATCTGTACCCTCTGGCAACTTCAATCTGTGCCCTAAGCACAAAACCCCCACTCCACCCTAGCAACTTCCGTAACAGGAAGAGTTACCTAATGCCACATTTATTTTTATTTATTTATTTTTTGAGATGGAGTTTCACTCTTTTTGCCCCGGCTGGAGTACAGTGGCATGATCTTGGGTCACTGCAACCTCCACCTCCCAGGTTCAAGCGATTCTCCTGCCTCAGCCTCCCAAGTAGCTGGGATTACAGGCACACGCCACCACGCCCGGCTAATTTTGTATTGTTTTTTAGTAGAGACAGGGTTTTGCCATGTTGGCCAGGCTGGTCTCGAACTCCTGACCTCAGGTGATCCACCCACCTCAGCCTCCCGAAGTGCTGGGATTACAGGCATAAGCCACCGTGCCTGCCCTGCCACATTTATTTTAACAGAAAGAGAACCCTTAAAAACCCTTAAAGACGTAAAACTTACTATAAGCTCAGCAGAAAGTGAGAGTAAAACAAGAGTTAGTTCTCAAGCCCTTGGAATCCTCCAATCCACCTTGGAAAGTAAGGTGAAGGAATGAAATGGCCCCAAAATAAGGTGTCAGGACCTCTTGGTATTTTCCAAATCACTCCTTTTTAAAAAATGTGCTCTCTGATTCTCTAAATCTCACTGTATAATTTAACTTACATTTAAACCAAAATTTGGACTGATTCTCTCTACCAGAATACCAACACAAACAAAACTCAGCTATCCTTCAGGAAGAATGTGAAAAGTGTATAAGTAGTAAGTCAGCTTTAGAATAAAACTTTCTCCTTACTATTCAAGTTATTTGTGTCTGAATCCCAAATGACTACAGATTAGAGTTATAGGTCTGCAGTGCCACACAGGTGCAAAGAATAAAAGCGCTCTGCTTACCCTCTCCACCAGGACTGAAGCAAAAACAACAGCGAGCTATCTGTGAAAGCAAAAGCAACAGTCAGGCGGCTTGTGTTCTATTTCTAGTCCACCTCAGCAAGACAACAGTAACCCTTATTTGAACCACCTCCCAGGCCCTTCAAAAGATGTGGACTGTTCTTTCCCAGGTGTGCTGGGTGTTGGTGACAGGAAACCCCATGGAGGGAGATGTGCCACAGAGATCCTCATCCGTGGACTTGGTGCTCGCTCCTGCTACCATGAATGCTGAGAGCAGAGCCTCGAGACAGGAGCTCCTTTACCCTTCCTGGGTAACTGCCATGGAATGGCTGATCATGGCAGGGGTAAAGGCCGTGCCTTTATGGCTCCTAGGGTTAGGGAGGCTTTGTCCAGCTGCACTGTCCTTCAACTTCACCCTCTGCCCAATTTTGCCTCCCCTTCCCCTTCTCCCTCCCACATGTGCTGACTTTTAATAAATATCCCACGCAACAAACTGCCTCAGCCTCTGCTTCTGGAGAACTCAATGTGAAACCCAATGAACGTGACAAGAGCCCCACTCTCCTGGTGCTCCCTTCTCGTGCTTTGCTTTCAATGTTATTTCATTAAACCCTCTTTGACCTTTGCATTGGGCTTATTATTATCCTGTGTACAGCTGAGGAAACTGAGGTCAGGCAGGTTAACTGGCCAAAGTCACCAAACTAGCTTAGTGACAGAGCTGGAACAGACGAATGCAGGATGGGGACACCAAGATCCATGATTCACAATAGGTAACACGTGGTATCTAGGAGCTTGGCGAAGCTGGTAGGATCTGAAATAGTAAAGTGAAGGAATCTGGAAGCAGCCTACCCATGTTTCCTATCAAAATCAAGCTGTTGCACGGGCCGTGGGCAGGGATGGAGGGAATGCTTGCCTTTGAAGCATCTCTGGTACCTTGCGTATTTTTTATTCTTTTTTTTTTTTTTTTTTGAGATGGAGATTTGCTCTTATTGCCCAGGCTGGAGTGCAATGGCACGATCTCGGCTCACTGCAACCTCTGCCTCCTGGGTTCAAGCAATTATCCTGCCTCAGCCTCCCAAGTAGCTGGGATTACAGGCATGTGCCACCATGCCTGGCTAATTTTGTATTTTTAGTAGAGACGGGGTTTTTCCATGTTGGTCAGGCTGGTCTCGAACTCCAGGCCTCAGGTGATCCACCCACCTCGGCCTCCCAAAGTGCTGGGATTACAGCCGTGAGCCACTGCACCCGGCCATTATTTCTTACCTACTCAAAACAATAAACTTAATTTTAAAAAATCAGGTTATGTATAGTCCCAGCTATTTGGGAGACTGAGGGAGGAAGACTGCTTAAGCCCATGAGTTTGATGCTGCAGTAAGCTGTGATCCCACCACTGCACTCCAGCCTGGGTGACAGAGTGAGGCCCTGTCTCAAAAAAAAAAAAGCAAAGAAAAAAAGTATGTGATTTCAGAAGGACTCTGGTAAACAGAGTACTAAGACAGCCTGGGAAGTGCAGGGCCCTTAGCACTTTGTGGCTGAAGATATTTCAACTACAAAGAACAGAGAGCCAAGGATAAGAATATGAGAGCTTGAGCCTTCATCTCATTTGTGTATCAAGGCCAAGCCCTTGTTTCCCTGCTTGGCAAGGAAACCTTTAACGGAGGTATTAGCCTTAACAGGAGCTTGGATTAAGTGCCATGGTCTAAAAACCACTAATTCATTCAGTGGGCCCAAGACACGGTATGCTGAGGTCTTAGTTATTTTGAAGTTCAAGTTACCATAAGAAACTATGAACTCTCACTTTCAAAGTTGTATCCTGTGAAATGTGACGCAGGAGAGCAAACCAACTTCCATCCCGCATGCTCTCCAGTTCAGAAGGAAACACTCGGACATTTTCCCTTGGACTGAGAAGAAAAACATCCTCTCTTAAATCTAACTTGGAGACTTGCTGTTCTTTGAGCTTGAACTCTGTACACAATAGGGACATTGAAACCATAACCATGCAACCTCAGCAGGTGGTCACCTAGTCAATGGTGAGAATAAACACCCCTTCTACAGACCATTCTCTTCTCTATAATAGGCAGTAACCTATTCAAACTCAGCACAATTTTCTCCTTTAGGCAACAGAAAGAGTTGGTGAATGATGTTGGCAGATGACAGCCCTTCATAATGGCTCACTATATCCAGGTCAGGTGCAAGAGAGACCAACCCCAGACACCCAGCTGCAGAGTAAAATGCCCATATCTAGACAGACACCAGGGCTTTTCCATCCACGGAAAGCTATTAAAACGCAGGCAGTGGCCAGAAACCAGCTGCCCGCAGTCAGCAGCAAGGACCAGGGTTCAGCAGCTCAGCTCCTGGGCAGCAGTGGTCAAGAACACAGATCCTGGGGCCAGAGTACACGGTTTATATTCTGGCAAATCAAAACCTGTGAGGCTTAAATGACTTAACTCTTCTGGTTTTCCCCTCTGTAAAATGGAGGTAATAGCACGTCACTGGGTTTTTATGAGGATTAAGTGAAATCACATAGGAAGAACTTAGAACAGTGCCTGGGACATAGCAAGTGCTGTAAGTCTTAGCCATCTTTGGAACCCCTGGTTCTTTTCGTTCTTGGGTCACAGCTGAGTCCTTCCCTGGCTGCCTCCATCTGATTAGACCTTGCTGTTGTTGGTAGATGAGAGCCCCAGAAAGACTCTTGCACAATTAAGAAAATAACAGACATTTTGTTGACTGATAGGCATCTGCTGAACACCTTGAGGCTTTGGATGTGCAGGCAACCAATGTATGTATTGTCCATAACACTCTACCTGACAAAACGCCCACCTGATGGAACTGACAAATGAGTTAATGTATCTACAACGTTCAACAGCGTCAGGCAGAGCAGATATGGTTCCTTCCCTTTCCTCTCTCCTTTCTTCCAAACAGCTATTACATAATCTCACAGCCACGCTGTGTATGGAGGGCACAGACAAGTATGAAACAGGTGGGTGGATCAGAAGTTAAAATAAAACCCACCAAGACTCCACTACGGCAAGGGAAGAGCGCAGGGTGCAGCCTGACAAGGTTACCTGAGCCTCTGGTTGGGGGTGAGCGGCAGGATGCCACCCAAGAGGCCAGCTTTCTTACAGAAAATCAAGAATGGACTGATTCATTTTAATCCCATAGCATACAAAGGAAAGCAGGAAAGCATTTATTTTTCTTTTTTATTTTATTTTTTTGAGTCAAAGTGTCACTCTATTGCCCAGGCTGGAGTGCAGTGGTATGACCTTGGCTCACTGCAACCTCTGCCACCAGGGTTCAAGTGATTCTCGCGTCTCAGCCTCCCAAGTAGCTGGGACTACAGGTGTGAGCAACCATGCCTGGCTAATTTTTGTATTTTTAGTAGAGATGGGGTTTCACCATGTTGGCCAGGCTGGTCTTGAACTCCTGACCTCAGGTGATCCACCCGCCTCGGACTCCCAAAGTGCTGGGATTACAGGCGTGAGCCACCACACCCGGCCAGCATTTATTTTTCTATACAAAAATCTTTCCTCAGCAGAAAAACAGGATCACGGAATGCAGACTGATAAAGACACAAACACAAAAGGCCCTCCTGAGAAATGGATCTTCTGAGATGAAGCAGGACAGGAAAAGGAAATGAACTTACCTCCAATTCAGGAGCTGCGTATCGCCCCTGCAGAGCGTCAGAACTCGATCTTGTTGTTGATGTCAAACTAAGAAACAGACAAAAACGTCAGCTGGGCATATTAACACATTACAACACATGGAATGAAGGGGAAAGCCGGCTGGCCAGTGCTCCGACGAGAGCCTCAATGTAACCTACCGTTCAGGAGACTTAAATCAAAGCAATCTATTTTAATACCTCTCCTTATTCCAAAATTGGCTGGCTTATTCTATAGTTGATATCATTTTACATGGATTGCATTAGATCATTTTATGCAAAGAAGGTTGTAGGTAGAGAAGTAAGATATCTTGGTTTTCAGTATTGCTTTTTGCCTCTCCTCCCTCAAATGCTACAATAGTTTTCTAATTTCAGTTTATCTTTCCCTCCCTTTGACTAGTCTTGCTTAGAGGGAATCAAAAGCAACGAGCCCAGAGATGGCAACAGAAAGCAAGGGCATGAAAGCAAAAGTCGCAGTTATTTACTGTGATAGCCTATAGTAGAACAAGGCTTGCTGTTTGGAAGAGTAGCAGTCGAGGTAATAAAAAATTCTGCCACTTCCCTGAGACCTAGAAAGGTAAAATGTTAGACAAATTGCCTTGCATGGGGCAAAATAATTTATTTTTCCTGAAAACAAAAACAGGCCAGAAGTGGTGGCTCATGCCTGTAATACTCTGAGAGGAAGGGGTGGAAGGATCACTTGAGGCCAGGAGTTTGAGAAGAGCCTGAGCAACATAGCAAGACCTCATCTCTACAAAACAAAAACACAGAACATTTTAAGCAAATATATACAATACTTAGGGTTCCAGCTAACTTTACAGATTGATTTAGCAAATATTTACTGAAGGCCACTATGTGTCAGGCCCGATTCTAAGCACTGGGGACTCAGTGACACAGGCAACAATCCTGCCGTCATGTAGCTTCTGTGCTGGCCTGACATGGGCGGGCGTGTTGGTGCTCAAGAAGCTGGTCTGCTCATGGAAAGGTGGGGACACACACTCATCTCAATCCAGCGAACCCCATGAGGCAACACTGCGCAGTCTCATCCTCTTTCCCAAGGAGAGAGATCAATGAGACAGAGATAAACAATAAAAAGCTTTCTCATACAGAAGCCCACTGAGATCCAAGTTCACTGTTTCTTTTGTGGTCCACTCAAGTACAACAGCATCACTTTCATTTCTGCTTTGAACTGATGCATGCTAATCCAGGCCCATGCCACTCCACCTCCTGACTGTGTGCCTGGTCAGAGGAAGACAGAAACATCTCCCAATGACTGCGCACCCAAGGAACACAACACCTAATCCGACATTTAAGAGTGGCCCGGCTGGGTGTGGTGGCTCACACCTGTAATCTCAGCACTTTGGGAGGCTGTGGCAGGTAGATCGCTTGAGCCCAGGAGTTCGAGACCAGCTTGGACAACTTGGCAAAACCCTGTCGCTACAAAAAATACAAAAATTAGCCAGGTGTGGTGGCACATGTCTGCAGTCCCAGCTACTGGGGAGGCTGAAGCAGGAGAATAAATTGAGCCTGGGAGGTTGTAGTGAGCATGATCACACCAGTGCACTTCAGCCTGAGTGACAGAAGGACCCTGTCTCAAAAAAAAAAAAAAAAGAGTGGCACATATCCTGTGCATACAAGTTTTGATTTAGTACAGTGTATAGTTTTCACAGGGGAAAAGATAAGTTTTTAATTTTAAGAAGAGATCACTATCTGAAATTTTCATTTGAAAGGTTAACATTCATTATTTATGAGGCTCAGAATAGGCCAGGTGCAGTGGTTCACGCCTGTAATCCCAGCACTTTGGGAGGCCAAGGCGGGTGGATCCCTTGAGGTCAGGAGTTCCAGACCAGCCTGGCCAACATGGCAAAACCCCATCTATAGTAAAAATACAAAAATTAGCCAGGTGTGGTGGCCGGCAGCTGTAATCCCAGCTGCTCAGGGGGCTGAGGCAGGAAAATTGCTTGACACTCAGGAGGCAGAGGTTGCAGTGAGCTGAGATCACGCTACTGTACTCTAGCCTGGGCGAGAAAGTGAGACTCTGTCTCAAAAAGAAAAACAAAGCCTCAGAGTAAATATTCTACTCTATAAATTCTTTGGGTTAACGTAATTTCCGGAAAACAAAGCTCTTGATTTGGGCTCCTTTGCCACTTCACCATCAAAGAGGCCTAACATGGGGAAGCTTTTGATTTTACTTTTAAAAAGAACTACATTCAGAGCATCATTAATGCCATGTGACTTCTACAGGTAGATGTTACCCTACATTAAGATCTTTATTCAGTTGCCGGGCGTGGTGGCTCACATCTGTAATCCCAACACTTTGGGAGGCTGAAGCGGGCAGATCACCTGAGGTCAGGAATTCGAGACCAGCCTAGCCAACATGGTGAGACCCTGTCTCTACTAAAAATATAAAAATTAGCCGGGCATGGTGGGGGGCGCCTGTAATCCCAGCTACTCGGGAGACTGAGGCAAGAGAATTGCTTGAACCCGGGAGGCAGATGTTGCAGGAAAAAAAAAAAGATCTTTATTCAGTTGTAGCCTTTCTCCATACAACACTCTTCTTGGAATTATCAAGAAAAGGTTTTTTTTTTATAAGCTCTTAAAGCCTAGGAAATTCTTATTATCTGCATTCAGGCTATTACAAAGACCACTGTTTGGTGAGCACAGCACAAATTGCTATAAAACAATTCCTGGGTTACCTATAAGCCTTACCTCTTCCTGTGCTAAGATAGGTGTGACTTTAACCCAGTATTTCCCGTGGGGATAGGAGGAGACTTACAGCATTGGGTTAAGACAATGCTTTATTGTACGGAGAATGCCTAACACACCACAGCGTGTTTACTGTCTCTGCCTGCTGCCACCCCACCCCAACCCAGCCAAAATGCCAGCAGTGCTCTGCAGTCATGGTGACAGCCAAAAAAAAAAAAAAGAAAAGCCGTGTCCTGTTTCCCTGCAGAACCACTACAGTGCCCAGAACCCCTTCACACTGGCAGAAGAATGCACAATGCAGGTGCCCCTCAACACTGGCACTGCAGATGCTTTTGAAGCTGGCCAAAGTCCACTAGACCACAGAAAATCTCTAAATAACACGTCCAAACTTTCCTGGAGATCACACATTCCGCCTCCCTGACAAACGTACAGGGTAGGCCCTTGACAGATCCCGTGACTATTCCCAGCCTTTGTGCAATGATGAAGATCAGTCATGCTCCCCTGTGCTATAGAACCCAAAGGAGACCTGAGCTCTCTGTGAACCTGGGGCATGGGGTGGAAGATTTCTTTTTCTTTCTTTCCTTTTTTTTTCTGGAGATGGAGTTTCACTCTTTTTGCCCAGGCTGTAGTGCAATGGCTCGATGTCGGCTCACCACAACCTCTGTCTTCTGGGTTCAAACGATTCTCCTGTCTCAGCCTCCCGAGTAGCTGGGGTTACAGGCATGCACCACCATGCCCGGCTAATTTTGTATTTTTAGTACAGATGGGGTTTCTCCATTTTGGTCAGGCTGGTCTTGAACTCCTGACCTCAGACGATCCACCCGCCTTGCCCTCCCAAGGTGCTGGGATTACAGGCGTGAGCCATCACGCCTGGCCACGGGGTGGAAGATTTCTAACTTGGAGATTTCTAGCTGGCAGGCAGGCCAGAGCAGAATTCCCAAAATGAAGACACAAATCTCCCCCTCTCCTGGTGGGGAAGATACAAATTTCCCCACCCCCCCATAAAGGCCCAGAATGTACCAAAAAAATAAATATTCTTCCTTGATTTCCCAACTTTTTTTAATGTAGAACAATCCCCTCGGCAATGCTATCACACCAACCTGCGAACCTCCCCACTTCAAACTAGGAAGTTGTTTGACATTGAATAAAGATTCTTACTTTTTCCAGTTTTATATTTAAAAGGATATTTTCAAAGATGGTTCAATATTAAGAATTATTTTTTCTCTTAAACACAGATAAAAGTGGAATGGTCAGGAAACTTTATAGTGCAAATGCCTTGTAATAATATAATTACGCAAGTCATCCAGTTTATCTTTCTCCCTCAGGGGACATTACACCAAGCCATCTGAAGAAAAAGAGCCGGGGAGAGACTATCCACCAGTGTCCCTAAATACTCCCGAAAAGGAGCCTCAAGGAAAGGTTGCCCGAAGTTGGGAGTAGAGAGCTACAGGTATAGGCTCCATGCTTCCTTACATGTACAATGAGGAGACTGACCTGATCAACTCTGGGATCCTGTCCAGGCTGACAGTCTGAAGTTGAAGGCAACAGAATAACAATTTCAATCAAAATCCAGAGACCAAGGGAAGAATTAAGAAATAGTTCGTGGAGGCCAGGATTTGTCACAGCAAAGCTCCAGACTAAAGGGGTGTGGAGGGATGCGCCTATAGAAAGAGCCATCAGGGCTGGCCATGGCGGCTCACGCCTGTAATCCCAGCACTTTGGGAGGCCAAGGCGGGCGGATCACCTGAGGTTGGGAGTTCGAGACCAGCCTGACCAACATGGTGAAACCCCGTCTCTACTAAAAATACAAAAATTAGCCGGGCATGGTGGCGTGGTGGCACGCGCCTATAATCCCAGCTCCTCAGGAGGCTGAGGCAGGAGAATCGCTTGAACCTGGGAGGCGGAGGTTGCAGTGAGCTGAGATCCTGCCATTGCACTCCAGCCTGGGTGAAAGAGCAAAACTCCGTCTCAAAAAAAAAAAGGAAGAAAGAAGGAGAGAGAGAGAGAGAAAACCATCAGAATGCCAGGTGTCATGGTTATGCCTGTAGTCCCAGCTACTTGGGAGGCTGAGGCAGGAGGATCCCTTAAGGACAGTTTACCCAGCCTGGGTAACATAGTGAGAACTTGCCTTAAAACATTTTTTTTTATCTAAAAAAATAAAAAGAGCTATCAGAGAACTCCCACAAGTGGACCAAGGTTAGGGCTTACATGGGGTCCAAGCTATGATGTTCTTTCACAGCAATGATTCCTGGGTGCAATGGAAGGAGGCTCTGGAGAGAAGGCAGCCCCAGGCAGAAAGGCAGGGAGTAGGTTTGGGTTGAGCCCTTCTTCTGAGCTGAGGCTACAAACATTAAAACATACTCCTAGAGAGTACCCCAGCTGCAAGAGTCAGGATGGAGATACCCCAAAGGAAACAAGTATTTGGGGGTGGGGCTTGGGGGCTCTGGAGGGCGAAGGGAAAGAGAGGAGCTAGGGAGATTTCCAGTCTTCTACAACTTTACAAGAGTGGACCCCAGGCAATCTTGGCCTTCTTCTCCTTTTAACTTACATACTATCTATAGTCTCTGGCTTCCTGCAATTTCTATCAAGAATCCTAGATATTCCTGCAATTATGTTCAAATGACAGTTCCCACACGGACGATGTGGCCTTTTTGTAACATCCTCCAACCTTTCATTCCTCTGAGTCAGGAAGGAAAACAAACTCTTCAGAAGTCCAGATCTGAAAAAACCCTAGTTGGGCTAACTCCCACCCCTACAGCATTCCTTTTATTCCCAGGCCCTACAAAGCCTGAATTTAGTGTTCTTAAAGCTGACCCCTCGAAGAGCTGCAGTGAGTAATTACAGCAAACATCAATCACATGGACCCCGGGGGAACTAACTCCTAGGGGGCCCAGCCCACAGAGTGTGCTCTTGCCTACAGATTACAGAAGTACGCTACAGAGCAGAGTGGTCATCCTCATCTCCACTTTGTAGGGGCTGCAGTTTTATATGTTCTCATCCCACCATACACTGCAGTTTTGTGGTTTACGAATTCAATAACAATGTTTGTTGCTGGTATTTAGACAGATTTTTTTTTTAGTAGCTATCAACTTTGAAAATTGACATCTTTTGGGAATATCAGACCAGCCCTTACCAATCTCCACTATGGTACCTCAGTCCTGTAAGAAACAACATTTTATTTATCATCTCTCACTCAAGGGCCAACTCAGAAGAATTCTTTACACCTGCTAGAAATAGTGAGAAAATATGATAGGGTGAAAATTCCATGTTGTGAAATGCCCTATGTGTGGTAACCATTATGCAGCAGGCTAAGAAGAATTTTTGCCATCTTTTCCATTGAAGGGTTTATGGCAAATCCAAACTCTACTTTATTTAAAGGGTTTTTTTTTTCTTTTTTTTTTTTTTTTTTGAAATACAGTTTCTCTCGTTACCCAGGCTGGAGTGCAATGGCGTGATCTCAGCTCACTGCAACCTCCCCCTCCTGGGTTCAAGCAATTCTCCAGCCTCAGCCTCCGGAGTAGGTGGGATTACAGGTGCATACCACCACACCCCGCTAATTTTTGTATTTTTAGTAGATATGGGGTTTCACCATGTTGGCCAGGCTGGTCTCAAACTCCTAACCTCAGGTGATCCACCCACCTTTGCCTCCCAAAGTGCTGGGATTACAAGCGTGAGCCACCGCGCCTGGCCAAGGGCAAATATTTTTTTTCATTGGGTACCCAGTAACCCACAAAAACATGATTTTATTCTATCAAATATCTTCATGGTTGGTTTTTCAAAAGACAGGGTCTCACTCGGTTGCTTAGGCTGGAGTGGAGACACCCCTAGCTCACTGCAGCCTTAGACACCTGGGTTCAAGTGATCCTCCCATCTCAGCCTCCCAAGTAGCTGGGACCACAGGCACGTGCCATCACGCCTGATTTTTTTTTTTTTTCGTAGAAACAGGGTCTGCTATGTTGTCTAGGCTGGTCTCAAATTCCTGGGTTCAAGTGATCCTCCTGCCTCAGCCTCCCAAAGTGCTGGGATTATAGGCGTGAGCCACTGCACCACGCAGCCTGCTTCCTATATTGTAGGTACTCTGCGAACAACTTAGGAATTAATAAAATTGAAAGGCCAGAAAGAAGTTACCACAGTCCATTCTGCAACAACAAGGAGACTCTGTCACTATGTCACACAGGCCAAGAATGAATGTATGTCACCATCATCTTAACACCTACCTGTAAAACAACAAGCATTTTATTGCTTGATGTGTGACCCTGAGCAAATAGACTCTAAAAGGTCTGTGTCCCCGTTGGTCCCTTTCTAATAGTAGAAGTTGTTAAAGGAGGTAAGAGAAAATGCCAACATGCTCAGAAAGACATTATATTTATACAAGCTATCACCACCAGGAGTATTTCGTTTCAGCAAAAAGGAAGTTTACAATGTGCCTATGGCTGAATTCAATGGAATTGAATTTTTATACTGAACATTAACAAAATGTAAACACAGAAGTAAAGGCTAAATGTGAAAAGGTTACTGTTAAAGGGAAGCTTAGTTATCAGCGAAATATATATCCAGATTAACTAGCCATTTCTATCCTTGACTTTTCTCCCTCTAGCAACCTTTTAAACCTTTTAAAGGTGGAATAACCCCCACCACAAGCATCTGAAACACAGCCCACTCATATATCACATCTACTTTTGGAGGAGCTGCTTTGCCGAGTGAACAACAGCATTGTGGGTTTAGCAGAAAAGAGAATGAACATTTCTTGTCTGCACAGAATGACCACGCACACAGCACTCTGTACTCTTTCCATCAACAGCAGAAGAAAGCTATTTCCTTTGGATCAGAAAGCTGCCAGGACATGCTGGCACATTCTATCTCTTCTTCACTTTGTGCTCCCCTGCCCTCCAGTAAAGGTATAGCAAACTACTATTCGACCATCTTTTAAAGGGGGTTAGGCAACGGTGCTGCAACATGCCATATATTTGCTTTATTTACCCCAAATAAAAACAAGTAAGGTAAACGAAGTTCAAATATTTACATACCATATATTTGCTTTATTTACCCCAAATAAAAACAAGTAAGGTGAACGAAGTTCAAATATGAGTTCACGCTCTTCGCCTTTTTACTTGTGGTTATTTTCCCCCCTCCTCAAATGGTTGCAGCCTCACAGCTACTGAAAGTTATTTCAATTCTTTTCCTGTAATTTTAAAGTCTGCAAAAGTGACCTTGAGTAACTCCCAAGACTTACCATGAATACAAGATACATCCGATTAAGAGGCTGGTCCCCAGTATAGTCACCAAGTTTTCATCTCTGTACAGGTCTTGACCAAAGTCAGGCACACAGATTGTAACATTTTTCCCATGTTCATCTAGAACTTGAAAAGAAAAAACAAAGTCATCACAGTCAAGTACAAAGGCCAGTTGTAACGCACAGAAGCACTCATTTTGGGAAAATTCAGGTAGCTGTGGTGTACCTCCTTAGAACAGTGAACACTTATCACTGGAAACTTCTACTCTACAGGCTGTTTCCATGCAGACTGGATTTCTGCTCTTTCAAAGAACATTCTCCCACATCATCACATCCTTGGAACAAGACCCTCAGATTCCAGCTCAGTGCCATGGGGCTCAAACAGATCCAGAACCTAAGGAAAGAGTCTTGCTCGAAGTCAGGTGCATTTTTCAGTTGACAAGGCAGCCTCTAAAGAGAGGTAGGGTGCAGATACCAAGCAGTGCTGAGGTGAATCAACAGCCAACAATAGCTCCTAAACTAGTTGAGAAGTCATTTTGCTGTAAGTGATATGATAATCGTGGTATCTTTCTGTCTGTAACTTGGAAACTCCTGAGGTGTGTTTTTTTTTTAATGTGAGTGGCTACATGTGATATTGTGAAATATATATTTGGTCTTCATTCGCATTTACTTGCATGCAACTCCTAAAATCTTTGAAATCTCCAAAATGGTGTCTTTTTATATGTTAATGACTGACTAATGGCTGGCAGCCCCTAGGTAGCCTCAGGATGGGGGCTGGTCACCAGAAAGACCAAGGTAGGATTAGAGGGCTGGGACTTTCAGACCCACTCTCCAAACTCCAGGAATGGGAGGAATGGTAGTTGATCACCAAGGGCCAATGGTTTAATCATTTAATCAATCATGCCTGTGTAATGAAGTCTCCATAAAAGGCCCAAAAGGACATGGTTCAGAAAGCTTCCTGAGAGCTGGAGGCTTACAGGAAGGTGAACACCACCTCATCCACATGTTAGGAACCCAGCCACACCAACTGCATGGAGACAGCTCAGGACCCTTTGAGACCTTGCCTTATATATATTTTTACCTGCCTGTTTATTCATATTCTTTAAAATATCCTTTGTAATAAATCAGTAAAGATAAGTATTTCCTGAGATCTGTGAGCCACTCTATCAAATTAATCCATCCCAAAGAAGGGGTAACTGTGGGAGCCCTAACAGTTGGTCAGAAGTTCTGGAGGGCCGGACTTGTGACCAGTGGGAATGGTAGGGCTGTTTTGTGGAATTGAGCCTTCGACCTGTGGGATCTGACCTTATCTCCAGGTAGAGCATCCGAATTGGATTGGAGGACACCCAACTGATGTCCACTGCCTGCTTGCTGGTGGGGAGAAATCTCCACTTATTTTAGTGTCACAGAAACCTTCTGTGTTGACTGTTGTAGTGTGAAACAGTAAGAAAAACTGAGTTATTCTAAACACTACGTAACAAAGATTCCTATAATATAACCATCAGTGGTAATTTACCTTTTACCTAACATGGAGTCTTCCATTTGGAACACCCAACCTAGGTCTGACTGCCAACTTTGCCACCAAAGCAAGTAACATAAAGTAACACTCTAGAAACCACTTTACAAACGTGCATATTTCAAGTGTCTGAAGTGAGACTAAAATTATGACTAGTATTTGCACTTGAAACAGTAAACGTAACTATGTATGCTGTGGTTTAAGGAATCTTTTATTATTTGTATAAATTTATGGGGTACAAGTGTAACTTTTTTACATGTAGTGGTGAAGTCTTGGCTTTTAGTGTATCTATCACCAAATAATGTGTATTCTACCCATTAAGTAATTTCTCACCATCCATCCCCTCCCTCCTTCCTATGTTTGAGTCTTCACTATCATTCCACACTCATGTCCATGTGTACACATTATTTAGCTCCCACTTAAAAGTGAGAACATGCAGTATTTGTCTGTGTCTGCTTGTTTCACTTAAGATAATGGCTTCCAGTTCCATCCATGTTGCTACAAAAGACAGGATTTCATTCTTTTTTATGGCTGAATAGTATTCCATTGTGTGGAGATAGATATATATATGTGTGTGTGTGTGTATATATATGTGTATATATATATGTGTGTGTATATATATGTATATATGTGTGTATATGTATATATATACGTGTATATATACGTGTATATATATACACACGTGTATATATATATATGTATGTATGTATATATATAAAAATCACATTTTCTTTATCCAATCATCTGTTGATGGACACTTAAAGGTGATTCCTTATCTTTGCTATTGTGAACAGTGCTGCGATAAACACAGAGGTGCAGTTATCTTTTTGATATAATGATTTATTTTCCTTTTTGTAGCTACCCAGTAGTGGGATTGCTGAATCAAATGGTAGCTCTATTTTTAGTTCTCTGAGAAATCTCCCACTGTTTCCCATAGAAGCTATGCTAATTTACATTCCCATCAACAGTATAAGTGTTTCCGTTTCTCCACATCCTTACCAACATCTGTTACTTTTTGTCTTTTTAATAATAGCCACTCTGACTGGTGTGAAATGACATCTAGTTATGGTTTTAATTTGCATTTCTCTGATGATTAGCAATGTTGAGCATTTTTTTCAAATGCCTGTTGGCCATTTATATGTCTTCTTTAGAAAAAAAATGAAATGTCTATTCATGTTCTTTGACTACTTTTTAATGGGATTATTTGGTGTTTTTTGTTGTTGAATTGTGTTCCTTGTAAATTCTGCATATTGCTCCCCTATAAGACACAGTTTGCAAATATTTTCTCTGATTCTGCAGGTTGTCTCTTCACTCTGTTGATTATTTCTTTTGCTGTACAGAAGCTAATTAGATTAACATAGTTCCATTTGTCTGGTTTTGTTTTTGTTGTCTGTGCTTTTGAGGTCTTAGTCATGAATTATTTCCCTTGAGCAATATCCAGAAGAGTTTTCCTAGGTTTTCTTCTAGCATTTTTACAGTTTCAGGTCTTACATGTAAGTCTTTAATCCACCTTTTGTTGATTTTTGTTGATTTTTGTATGTGGTGAGAGACAGGGGTTCGGTAGGGGTTCAGCATATGGAAATCCAAATTTTCCAGGACCACTTATTGAAAAGGGTATCCTTTCCCCAGTGTGTGTTCTTGTCAACTTTGTCAAAGACCAGATGGCTATAAATATGTGGCTTTACTTCTGGGTTCTCTATGTGGTTCCATGGATCTATTCTTATACAAATATCATGCTGTTTTGCTTACTGTAGCTTTGTAGCATAATTTGAAGAAGGGACTCCTCCAGCTTTGAAGTGTGATTCCTCCAAGTTTTGTTCTTTTTGCTTAGGATTGCTTTAGCTATTCTGGCTCTGTTGTTTCTATACAAATTTTAGGATGTTTTTCTGTGAAAAATGTCATTGGTATTTTGATAGGGATAGCGCTAAATCTGTAAGACTGCTTTAGGCAATATGGTCATTTTAACAATATTTATTCTCCTGATCCATGAGCATGGGATGTCTTTCCATTCGCTTGCATCCTTTTTATTTTTATTTTTTTGAGACGTGGTCTTGCTCTTTCACCCAGTCTGGAGTACAGTGGCCTGATCATAGCTCACCATAACCTCAAGCTCCTGGGCTCAGGTGATCCTCCAACCTCGGACCCATGAGTAGCTAGAACTACAGGTGCATGCCACCACACTCAGCTAATTTGTAAATTTTTTGTAGAGATGGGATTTCCCTATGTTGCTCAGGCCGGCCTCAAATTCCTGGCCTCAAGCCATCCTCCCACCTTGGCCTCCCAAAGTGCTGGGATCACAGGGATGTGAAACTACACATGGCCCCTCCTTTTAAGTTTTTCATCAATGTTTAGTAGTTTTCATTGTAAAGATCTTTCACGTCCTTCGTTAAATTTATTCCTAGTTATTTTATTTTTTGTAGCCATTGTAAATGGGACTGGCTTCTTGATTTGGTTCTCTGCTAGATGATTACTGGTGTATAGAAACACTACTGACTTTTTTTTTTTGAGGCGGAGTTTCACTCTGTTGTCCAGGCTGGGGTGCAGGGGTGCTGTAGTGCGATCTTGGCTAGTGAGCCAAGATCCCTCCCCCTCCCAGGTTCAAGTGATTCTCCTGTCTCAGCCTCCCAAGTAGTTGGGATTACAGATGTGCACACCACTATGACTGGCTAATTTTTGTATTTTTAGTAGACACGAGGTCTCACCATGTTGGCCAAGCTGGTCTCAAGCTCCCGACCTCAAATGATCCACCCACCCTGCCCTCCCAAAGTGCTGGGATTACAGATGTGAGCCAATGCACCCAGCCAAAACACTACTAATTTTTGTATGTTGACTTTGTATACTGCAATATTACTGAATTCATTACTCAAATCTAACAGTGTTTTGGTGGAGCCTTTTGGGTTTTCTAGATATAGAATCACATCATCAACAAACACGACAATTTGACTTCCTCTCTTCCAATTTGGATACCTTTTATTTCTTCCTCTTGCCTGAGTGTCCTGGCTAGGACTTCCAGTACTATGGTGAATAGGCATGGTGAAGGCAGGCACCCTTATCTTGGTTCAGTTCTCAAAAGTAATGCTTCCCATTTTTCCCCACTCAGTATGATACTGGCTGCGGGCTTATCATATATGACCTTTATTATTTTAAGTTGTATTCCTTCTATTATTTTAAGTTATGTTCCTACTTTATTGAGGGTTTTTTTTTTTACCATGAAAAGATGCTGAATTTTAACAAATGCTTTTTCTGCATCTATTGAAATGATCATATGGTTTTTATCTTTAATTCTGTTTATGTAATATGTAATGTATGATGTATCATATTTATTAATTTGCATATGTTGAACCATTCTTGCATCCATGGTATAATACCCACTTGATCATGGTATATTATCTTCTGATGTACTATTACATCGTGTTTGCTAGTATTTTGTTGAAGATTTTTCCATCTATGTTCATCAGGGGTATTGGTCTGTAATTTTTTTTTGTTGTGTCCTTGTCTGGTTTTGGTTTTCAGGGTGATATATCTGGCCTTGTATAATGAGTCAGGGAGAGTTCTCTCCTCCTCCATTTTTTGGCACAATTTCAGGAGGATTGGTATTAGTTCTCCCTTATATGTTTGGTAGGATTTGGCTATGACTCCATTCGGTCCTGGCTTTTTCTTATTGGAAGATTTTTTAAATCACTGATTCAATATCACTACTCATTATTGGCCTGTTTAGGATTTCTATTCCTTCTTGCTTTCCAGAAATGTATCCATTTCCTCTAGCTTTTCTAGTTTGTAAGTATATGGAAGTTCATAATAGTCTGTAATGATCTTTTGTACTTTTGTGGTTATTATTGTGATTTTTCCTTTTTCATTTCTAATTTTGTTGATTTGGTCTTCTCTCTTCTTGGTTAGTCCAGGGGCTTATCAATTTTGTTTATCTTTTCAACAAACCACCTTTTTTTTGTTTTGTTGATCCTCTGTATTGTTCTCATGGGTTTTTTTGGGGGGGAGGGGGGTCTTTATTTTATTTAGTTCCTTATTTTATTTTATTTTTTTGAGACAAAGTCCCTGTCTATTGCCCTGGGTAGAGTGCAGTGGTGCAATAAGAGCTCACAGCTCACTGCAGCCTCAACCTCTGGGGCTCCAGTGATCCTCCCACCTCAGCCTCCAGAGTAGCTGGGACTACAGACATGTGCCACCATGCCTGGCTAATTTTTTGTATTTTTTTGTAGGGACAGGGTTTCACCATGTTGCCCAGGCTGGTCTCAAACTCCTGGGCTCCTGCAATCTGCCTGCCTCAACCTCCCAAAGTGCTAGGATTACAAGCATGAGCCAACTCACACAGCCCTGATCTTTGTTATTTCTTTTGTTCTGCTAACTTTGGGTTTGATTTCTTCTTGATTTTCTAGTTCCAGGTGCAATGTTAGGTTGTTAATTTGTAATCTTTCTGCTTTTTTCATATAGGCATTTAATGCTATAAACTTCCCTGTGTATGCTGTGGTTTCAAGAATCTTTATTCTTAGGCTAATTAAAAAAATGTAGAGCACTTGAAATTTAAAATAACTTTTTTTCTGTTTTTTTTTTTTTTTTTTTTTTGTAGAGATGCTATGTTGCCAAGGCTGGTCTCAGCTCCTGGCTGCAAGCAATCTTCCTGCCTCAGCCTCCCAAGGTGCTTAGATTACAGGCATGTGCCACCACGCTCAGCCTTTTTTTTCTGTTTTAAAGGGATACCTGCCATTTAAAAAATATTGTAAATAAAAATCCCAGTAAGTTAAAGCCAGAAATTAATACATAAACAGTCATAAAAGAAAGTCTTAAAGAGACTAAATTTATGTAAACTTACAGAGTCAAGATAGAGTATTTAAAAAAAAAACTTAAATCCAGGTTAGGCAATAGTTACTTAAGACCTCCACTTACATTACTTTCCACTATAAACAGCAACAAGGACAAACCCATAAATACTATGTGTATATGCTAAAACTTTCAAAATTATCACTGCACCAGCTTTCCAAATTTAAAAGAGGAAACAACTTCAATTCTCTTAGACACTACATTTATTTGACTTATATAAGCTCAAATATACTCAAACATACATTTATATATGCTTATGTGTATGTATGTATATATGTATGTATGTCTGTGTATATTTACATTTATACATCACATAAGTAATAGAGAGGATAAGTAAGTTTCTGCAAGTTACTTAAGTAGCAGGATCAGTCTATAAACCAGGCAGTCCGACTTCAAAGCTCATGCTCTAATCACTATGTTCTGTTGTCTCTGTAAATAAATGTCATTTAAGACGAGTGGTTTGAGGTCACATAGCCAGTAAATCATGGATCTGTGCTCAGATCCTGCTCCCTGCTCCCCACTCCCCCACATTCTTTCCACTCTTTATTCCACTGCTATAGTCAGAAAAGAAAAGAAATACAACTAAAGAGGTTATTTAGGCCTAAAAGCAAACTCCACAGCCAAACCTTTCCTCCTGTCTGTCCTACACACCAGGAAGAATCGAAAAAGGGAATTTTCCTTTACATAGCTCAAGTTAAAGACTTTTTCATGAAAAAGTCTAGATCATCTCTCTACTGTGATTTGGTACATTTCTAACGTTTATTTTTATTTTTTAACTTAATTTTTGTGGATACATAGTAGGCGTACATATTTCTGTGGTACATGAGATGTTTTAATACAGGTGTGAAACATGTAACAATCACGTCATCTAAAATGGGGTACCCATCCCCTCATGCACTGATCTTTTGTGTTATACAAGCAATCCAATTATACTCTTTTAGTTATTTTTAAATGTACAATTAAATTTGACTATAGTCACCCTGTTGTGCTATCAAATACTAGGTCTTATTCATTCTTCCTATTTATTTTGTACCCATTAATCATCCTAACCTCCTCCCAAACCCTTCCCAGCCTCTGGTAACCATCTTTCTGCTCTCTATCTCCAAGGCCTCTCCAATATTTAAACAATAGCTCATTCCTCCATGAATGAAAATATTCACACCGCAAACACAAGCCCACTAACAGGCTGGCTTACCTACTTCTGCAGGTTTGCTGGACAGAGCTGAGAAGGTGAGGTAGGTGACATAGCAGCTTATGACCCCTGATTGTAAGAGCCCCGAGTGTGGCTGTCCTGAAAAGTGACAAGAGACAGACAACAGGTTTTAATTTGAAGAAAAAGAAAGCACATGCCTAAAAAACCTGATAGTCCCCATGACAGTCCTCAAACTTGAGCATCCACCTTTAAAGGAAAGAAAAGAGAAAAAAATGTAGTATGTTTCTCAGATAAAACTAAAAAGATATTAAGGGGGAGAGAGTTACACGCTGAACTGAACATTGCTACTTCAAAGACATCAGGTTCTGCCAAGTTATCTACCAATACTTTATCAAGCCTATGGCTACACTTAAAACACACTAACTAGTCTCCCTGAGGTTTGTAACATTAGTTCTTAAATCACAAGATCAGAAAAAAAATTACCATAGTTGTTGATAAAACCACATAGCTTAATTGGGGAGGGGAGTAAGTGGTAAACCAGATTTCATAGGGGATGTATTCTGGATTCTACAAGGTCATCACATACTACAGTCTATGACAGGGCAAAAAGCTCTTACCTGCCAATGATCAAAAAGCTTTTGGGGACAGAATACAAGAACTGCTCTTGGCTAAAGAGGAAGGCTATGGGGCTCAGCATTCACTGGGAGAATGGCTTTAAGGTTATTTATTTATTTATTCATTTATTTTTAACTTTTATTTTAGGTTTAGGGGTGTATGTGCAGGTTTGTTGTAAGGGGAAAATTGCCACAGGGGTTTGTCATATAGATTATTTCGTCACCCAGGTATTAAGCCTAGTACCCATTAGTTATCTTTCCTGATCCTCTCCTTCCTCCCACCTCCACCCTCTGATAGGCCCCAGTGTGTGTTGTTCCCCTCTATGTGTCCACATGTTCTCATCATTTAGCTCCCACTTTTAAGCAAGAACATGTGGTATTTGGTTTTCTGTTCCTGTGTTAGTTTGCTAAGGATAATGTCCTCCAGCCCCATCCACGTTCCTGCAAAGGACATGATCTCTTTCCTTTTTATGGCTACACCGTATTCCATAGATTCCATAGTGTATATGTACCACATTTTCTTTATTCAATCTACCATTGACGGGCATGTCGGTGATTCCATATCTTTGCTATTGTGAATGCCTGTGTCTTTATGTGAGAACCATTTATATTCTTTTGGGTATATACCCAGTAATGAGATTGCTGGACCTAATGATAGTTTTGTTTTTAGGTCTTTGAGGAATTGCCACCCTGCTTTCCACTATGGTTGAACTAATTTACATTCCCACCAACAGTGTATAAGTGTTCATTTTTCTCTGAAACTTCACAAGCCATCTGTTATTTTTTGAAAGTTATAATATTTCAAGGAAACTAAGGGTTCAGATCCTTCAGAGTAACCAGGATGTGATAAGGGATCTCTCTTTCTTTCCTGCGAAATTTTCGACCACTTGCCGACATAAAAGGATGCAGTTTTTACTCAGTCTTCCCTTTGGTCAAATTTGTTTCCAAAATTATCATTATTAAATTGTAATTACCAATAAAGACATAAAATAGACCCTGTTATAATGTTGCTCTTTGGCAAGGGAATAAGATTTTCCTTAGCACCTAATGGTATTAAACCAAGTATTTCAAAACATTATCCCTATTTCAAAAGGTAGGACTTAACCCAAAGATTTTAATCGGAATATCAAGTTGTTCTAGGAACTCTTAACTGATCAATTAAAGGGATTAGGAGAATAATACTCTCAATTTCAATAATGGTCTTAAAATTTTTAATAGAAGAAAACAAATTATTTGTGACTAGTTGCCTTTTTTTTTTTCGACACAGAGTCTCACTGTCACCCAGGCTGGAGTGCAGTGGTGGGATCTTGGCTCACTGCAAGCCCCGCCTCCCGGGTTCAAGCAATTCTCCTGCCTCTCAGCCTCCCGGGTAGCTGGGAATACAGGCGTGTCCCACCATGGCTGGCTAATTTTCTGGGTATTTTTTTGTAGAGACGGGGTTTCCCGAAGTTGGCCAGGCTAGTCTTGAACTCCTGACCTCAGACGATCTGCCTGCCTCAGCCTCCCAAAGTGCTGGGATTACAGGCATGAACAACTGCGCCCGACCACTAGTTGCCTTTTTAAACCACTATTTTAGAAATGATTCAAGGGGGCTGTACATTTATTGCCTGTATTTTCCTACCTAGAACCTGAATGTCATGTGCATTTTCATCACCTATAGGGTCCGACACCCACAAAAAAAATCAGACCAGGGACATCTCACTGTAAGCCCAAAGACACTATACCCTGGCTTAAGAAACCAAGAGTAGTTTATAAATGGCAATTCACATTTATACTTCCTAAAGCACTTTCAGATCCCACTGTCTCTTCCTTCCGGCTTTGAAACAACAATGAGCAAGGTCAGGCTCACATGTTTCCACTGAGTTTACTGAGGAAGAACCTGGGTCTAAGGAAGGTTAGCACATGGGCCAGCTGCTGGCTGAGCTGGGATGGGATGTCCTGCTTCCTGACTCCCAGACCACACTGTCCACAGCCTTGAGTGAAAGATGACCCCAGAACCAACCCCTTCTGCGGCCCTTTCATTCAACTTTTACACAGAGATTGTAGGCAAGCTCATAAACACCTGATCTTGATATACACGGAAGGCATTTCCCATTTAAAGGCTCTTTGTGGTACATTATTTAGCAAAGGCAGTATCTTCCTATTCATTGACTTCGTTACGTTCAGGTCTTTCTCGACATGAGAAATGCTTGGCTATCACAGCTCGAGCATGAGATATGAAGAGACTGGAGCCCCACCTTGCCTACTGCTGACACATCCACAGTAAGTTAAGGAATACACTAGTTCCAAACAAACAAAACAAAACAAAAAAAGCCATTGGGTTTGCTCAAAGACACTTAGGAAAATATAAGTAACGAAGAATGGAAAAAAACATGCTTACGATTTTGGACCCAGGGTGAGATGGCTACCAATGATATAAGCAGGCACAGGCCTCCATTTACTCCCAGCAGAATTTTGTTTTCCATGCAGCTGTCTTTCTGTGTATAAAACACTGCCATCAAAACCAAGCCTCCAGTGGCAATGGAATACATGATGAGCGTCACCAGGGCCAGGGAGGCGTACCACAGCTTGTTACTGGCTGTGCCTGCTGTCCTGTTTCTCCGGGAAGTGGGTAAGAGGGAGAGGAGAGAAGACAAGTCAACGAAGCCCACCATTCTGCGGTAACAGTCACCATCCCTCAGGCAGTAACTAATGCTACAGGCCACAGGCACTGGTACCCAGCTGCTCAGAAGACACATTATTTTAGCAGTGATTATGCTCATCAAAGCTAGAAGGTTCTGGTAAATATGGAAACTTCTTGACTCAAGCTGAGAATTTTCTCTCAACAATGAGAGAATTCCACTTTCTGCGACAAATGTATTCATTCATTAAAATGAATAATGTCAACCCAAATGAGAGACTGAGGCAACAGTCTCAATCAGCCGAGGTGTACTGAGCCAGAGGTCTGAGGGTGCACCTAAAAGCACACAAGTCACAGAATCTTCTGTGGCTGGTGCTCCCAAAGAGGTTGCAGAAGGCTCAGTATTTACCCATTTCTTTAAAGGGGAGAAGGCACGCAGGAAAAGGGGGCAGGTGGTGAGGCAAACGTGACATTCCCCTGAGATTTTAACTAGTGCCCAGTAAACCCTGCTATACAAGAGATATGATCAACATTCAAAAAGGGAGTAAAGGAAGAGTTAATTATGTAGTCTCAGGGTAAGCAGAGAAATGACTGCTGTCCTGTCTTTGTTCTGCACCTGGGAAGATAAGCTTGTAATGGACATTGTCAGTGTGAAATGTAACAGACTGCAATTCCATGGACAGGGAGCTAGACTTAGGTCGCAGACCTAAAGTTACAGCTGACATGTCCTTTTTTATGGGAAGATACACATCTTGAAAGGTTTAGGGACAAGCAGAGAATTTACTTATGAGCAATTTGAGGGCAGCCATCCGGGTTGCATGGGGCCTTTTGCCTTCTGTAGAGATCTAGCTAATGTGTAGTCCTTTGACACAAGGTTGGGAAGTCACAGCTATCTATGGGCAGGTGGGGGGAGACAGCAGTGTCACATGACTGTGTCTCCAGGCTTAACTCTCCATTTGGTGTAATGAGTTTGAGCAGTCCTGAGACTCTTTATTTCCTTTAGCTACCTACAGACTTTATTCTAGCTTCTCCATTCTGACTATGAACCACCGTGGGTCAGT
Organism: Homo sapiens; assembly: GCF_000001405.40. Lineage (NCBI taxonomy): Eukaryota > Metazoa > Chordata > Mammalia > Primates > Hominidae > Homo > Homo sapiens. The sequence continues at coordinate 80,170,636 of NC_000005.10, forward strand.
TTTTGGCAGGATGAAAAAAGTGGCTCTTCACTGGGCTTCCCCAAGTTTTCTCCATAAACACAGAGCCCCGAAGCGCCATAGTCTCTACTCCAAAGTGCTGCCAGGAGAGGTGGCTCACACCTGTAATCCCAGCACTTTGAGAGGCCGAGGCAGGTGAATCACTTGAAGCTAGGAGCTCAAGACCAGCCTGGGCAACAAGGCAAAACCTTGTCTCTACAAAAATTAGCAGCATGTTGTGGTGCAAACTTGTAGTCCCAGCTGCTTGGGAGACTGAGGTAGGAGGATCACCTGAGCTCGGGTGGATGAAGGCTGCTATGAGCCATGACTGTACTACTGCACTCCAGTTTGGGCAAGAGTAAGACCCTGTCTAAATTTTTTATTTTATTTTTTTTTGAGACAGAGTCTTGCTCTGTCGCCCAGGCTGGAGTGCTGTGGTGTGATCTTGGCTCATTGCAACCCCCGCCTCCCAGGTTCAAGTAATTCTCTGCCTCAGCCTCCTTAGTAGCTGGGATTACAGGTATCCACCACCATGCCGGGCTAATTTTGTATTTTTAGTAAAGACGGGGTTTCACCATCTTGGCCAGGCTGGTCTTGAACTCCTGACCTCGTGATCCACCCACCTCTGCCTCCCAAAGTGCTAGGATTACAGGCATGAGCCACTGTGCCTGGCCCTAAATGTTTGATAATAATAATAAATAAACTTTTAAAAACAGAAACAAAGTGTTGCCAGCAGCTCTGATGCCATCTTCTTAGGGAGGAAAGAGAATTACCTTTACTAAGAGCCATACTGGCTGACCTTAGCTCTTTATTCCCTGTACTGAAGAGAAGGACCTGTAACTGTGCTGCTTCTTTATCTAAAATAGTATCAGGGAATAGTAAAGGAAAATTTGACATTAAAAAAAGTTAAATAGATAGGAATAAATTCTGGTGATCAACTGTATGGTAGGGTGATGATGGCTAGCAGTAAGGTATTGTATATTACAAAACAGCTAGAGGAGAGGCTTTTGAAGATTCTCAACACAAAGAAATGATACAGCCTGGCCAACAGAGCAAGACCCCATCTACAAAAACCAAAAACCAAACCAAAACAAAAAACAAACAAAAAAATTAGCTGGACATGCTAATTAGCCAGCTTCTTGGGAGGCAGAGGCAGGAGGATTTCTTGAGCCTAGGAGTTCAAGGCTGCAGTGAGCTATGACTGCGCCACGGCACTCCAGCCTGGGTGACAGAGTGAGACCCTGTCTCTTTAAAAAAAAAGACAAAAAAAGAAAGGAAAGAAAGAAAAAGATGATAAATCCATGAGGTAATGAATAGCCAACTACCTTGATTTGATTACTATATAACATATATGTATCAAAACGTCAAAATGAACCCGATAAATATGTACAATTACAATATGTCAATTAAAAAATAAATTAGGGCATGGTGGCTCATGCCTGTAATCCCAGCACTTTGGGAGGCCAAGGCGGACAGATCACGAGGTCAGGAATTCGAGACCAGCCTGACCAACATGGCGAAACCCCATCTCTACCAAAAATACAAAAATTATCCGGGCGTGGTGGTGCATGCCTGTAATCCCAGCTACTTGAGTGGCTGAATCGCTTGGACACCAGAGGCAGAGGCTGCGGTGAGCCCAGATCATGCCACTGCACTCTAGCCTGGGCAACAGAGCAAGACCCTGTCTCACACAAAAAGGGAAATTGTTCAGAACAAAAAAAAGTATCTATAAATGCTAAATGAAGAGGACAGAACAGGGAGAATGAATTGAATGAATCATTGTCATCTGCCTTATGATTAAATTGCTCTTTGTAACCACATTCTCCCAAACCTCACAGAAAAAGCAACTTGCTTTATGCCCTCACAAAACTGGAAAGTGTTCAAGCAACCCAGCTAAAATGTTTTAATGATGAAAAAGTTCCTGCAACCAGAAACAAAGAAAATAGGGAGGAAAGGCCAAAATGATAATGACCGTCATATTCCTGAAACTGTGCCAGACACTCCAATGACCTTGGAATTATTCTAACATAAAAGGCATACAAAGGAAATGAGAGAAAAATGGGATTTTAAGAAGGAAAAAAATATCTAAGAGCAAATAATAATGGATGATGGGGAGACAGCATGAATTATACAGAAAAAGGTAAACACTGCTGACTGGTTTGTGCGTGGGAGACGACCAACGCTTCTATTCACTAGTCTTTTTGGTTATGTTATTAGAATATGAAGGACTTTCTTTCAGTTAATTTATGTTTACAGTCCATCCCAAAGTTAAATCTTCAACCCTAACCTTTCCCCTGAATGTCACTTATATTATCCCCTTGTTCATTTAACAATTGGAGACCCACTTGAAGGTCTAACTGGTATCTCAAACTTGGCACATCCAGGCTAAGGCTAACTTCCTGATATTGACACCCCCATTCCTCCATCCCCCAAACCTGCTATTGTGCAATTATCCCAACCTCAGAAAACAGCAACTCCAACTTCCCATTGTTAGGGGAAGAGGGAAAGAAAGAAAGAGGAAAGGAAAGAAAGGAAAGCAAAGAAAGAGGAAAGGAAAAGGAAAAGGAAAGGAAGAGGAAAGGCAGGAAGGAAAGAAGGAAGGAAGGAAGGAAGGAAGGAAGGAAGGAAGGAAGGAAGGAAGGAAGGAAGAAAATGAAATGAAATGAAATGAAAAGAAAAGAAGCCGGGTGCAGTGGCTCACGCCTGTAATCCCAGCACTTTGGGAGGCCGAGGTGGGCGGATCACCAGGTCAGGAGATCGAGACCATCCTGGCTAACACGGTGAAACCCCGTCTCTACTAAAAAATACAAAAAATTAGCCGGGCATGGTGGCAGGCGACTGTAGTCCCAGCTACTTGAGAGGCTGAGGCAGGAAAATGGCACGAACCCGGGAGGCGGAGCTTGCAGTGAGCCGAGATTGTGCCACTGCACTCCAGCCTGGGCGACAGAACGAGACTCTGTCTCAAAAGAAAAGAAAAGAAAAGAAAAGAACAAAAGAACTGTGGTCACTCTGGAAGCTTCTTGCTGCTCTCCCCTCCCCCACCCACCTCCACCCAGAGCTGGCTTTGGAACATAGGAGGATCCAGCTCCTTGCTACCACTTAGTTCCAGACTACTCCTCCCTCACCTGGATTGACTCCCCCTGACCTCCTTACTTGCACCCCTGACACCTTTTCACCTTTCTGCACTTAAAACAGATTATATTCCTCCCTTTTTAAGGCCCTCTGGTGCTCTCCCATCCCACTAAAAATCCAAAAAAAGTCTTTACACTCGACACCTAAAGCCCTTTGTTTCAATTCTAATAGAGAATTGACACTGTAAACCACAAAATTTGAGCTAGAAAGGAAAAAAAAAGAACACACCAGTTAGTCCAAACACATTATTTAAGTGTGAAAATGGAGGTCAGAGGGGCCGACTGATGAGCTCTACAGTGAGAACAAGCATTAAAAGGGGCACTGAAGCCGAACACAATGTCATCCCAGTACTTTGGGAGGCCAAGGCAGAAGGATCTCTTTAACCCAGGAATTCAAGATCAGCCTGGGCGACGTGGCGAAATCCCATCTCTACCAAGCAAACAAAAAAAGAAATTAGCCAAGTGTGGTGCCACATGCCTGTAGTCCCAGCTTCTCAGGGGGCTGAGGTGGGAGAATCACTGAAGCCTGGGAAATCGAAGCTGCAGTGAGCCATGATCACACAACTGCACTCCGGCCTGAATGACAAAGTGGGATCCCATCTCAAAAATAATAATAATAATAATAATAATAATAATAATAAAAGAAAAAGAAAACAAAAGGGTACTGAAATCTGCATCTCCTGGTTGCCAGGCCCATGACCTTTCTATCCTACTGTTTTTAGGATCATCTCCTTCTCAAGATATTTACAAAGAGATAAATGAAAAAGGGAAGAAAAGGTACTTTAGTTGTTCTATTAAGAGCAATGAGCACATTTTCTAGATTCTTATAAGCAAGAGTCTGTTAAAAAAACACAGCAAGGCCAGGTGCGGTGGCTCGAGCCTGTAATCCCAGCACTTTGGGAGGCCGAGGTGGGCGGATCACGAGGTCAGGAGATCGAGACCCGTACGAGCAGGGGATTGAGTGTGGCTAATTCACACCACTGGTTGACTCAGAGCCCAAGCAAGGGAGTAGGGGCAGGGGGTCAAAAAGTGAGAAGTGAATGAAGGAGAGGAGTAAATGAAGAGGTACAAAAAAGCAGGTATAAAGGGAAACAAAACTGCAAATCCCTAGCAATGCAGTTGAGTACAGCCTTGGTCAAAACTGGGCAGTTTCTGTGAGTCAATGGGAAGCTTTCCATAAAGGCACACACCAGTTCTTGTTCCACTTATGTGCAAACTCCACGAGCAGGAGGAGCTGGATGCCAATGAAGAGGAAGCCTCCGACGGCTCCCACATAGCGCCAGGCTGCAAAAGACCATGAAGAACACAATGAGGCAACCTTTCGTTGTATTTTGCTCAAAAGAGAATAACCACAGCTAATTTTTACTAGATGATCAGTGTACCTAACATATTTGTCACACAACCATATAAGATATGTATTACTATTATAAATGTCACTCACTTTACAGAAGAGAAAAATTGAGAATCTATGTAGGTTGACAACATCTCAGTCAATAAATGGTATAGTTGGGATCTGAACACAGGCAGTCTGACCCTGAAATATCCAAGCTTATCCTCCACACTACATCTGCCAGGTACCCTAATAGATGCCCTAATTCATAAAATCCATAATGACCCACAACTTAAAAGCAAACACATATTGCCAGGAAAATCAAAGGTTCAAATTTTATTGGGTAAAAAGTCAACAATGACCAGTAAAGAAACAAGGTTCAGACAGGGGACAAGGACTCGGTTCGACTTCTGGCTCTGCCACAAAGACGCTATAACCTTGAATAAGTCACATCACATGGGTTCCAATTTGTCTATAAAAATCACTGAGCTGGGGCTGGGCACAGTGGCTCATGCCTGCAATCCTAGCACTTTGGGAGGCTGAGGCAGGGGGATCACTTGAGGTCAGGAGTCGGAAACCAGCCTGGCCTACATGGTGAAACCCTGACTCTACTTAAAAAAAAACTCCAGGCATAGTGGCGGGTGCCTGTAATCCCATCTACTCAGGAGGCTGAGGCAGGAGAATCACTTGAACCTGTGAGGTGGAGGTCACAGTGAGCTGAGATTGCACCACTGCACTCCAGCCTGGGTGACAGAGCGAGACTTGGTCTCAAAAAAAAAAAAAAAAAAAAAAGGACTGAGCTTGGCCGGCCGCAGTGGCTCACACCTGTAAATCCCAGCACTTTGGGAGGCCAAGAGGGGGCGGATCACAAGGTCAGGAGTTTGAGACCAGACTGGCCAATATGGTGAAACCCCGTCTCTACTAAAAATACAAAAATTAGCCAGGCGTGGTGGTGCGTGCCTATAGTCCCAGCTACTCGGGAGGCTGAGGCAGAAGAATTGCTTGAACCCGTGAGGCAGAGGCTGCAGTGAGGCGAGATCGTGCCACTGCACTCTAACCTGGGCAACAGAGCGAGACTCTGACTCTGTCTCGAAAAACAAAAAAAAGACTGAGCTGGACCAGAGGGTTTCTAGGTCTCTTCTCCCTCCAAATATACATTCTAATACATAAAAGGATCTCTGTAGAGAATTTTAAAACTTTTAACAGTATTTTAGGTAACAGCAAGACTTAGGGAGTACATGAAAAACAAGTATGACCTTAAACAACTAGCTAGGCCCTGATACATAACTATATGAAGGATTATGGCTGTTCCTTATAAACTGACACAATCTAAATGTTTAGTTTAGTTTTGTTTTTGAGACAAAGTCTCACTCTGTCGCCCAGGCTGGAGTACAGTGGTGCAATCTCGGCTCACTGCAACCTCTGCCTCCCAGGTTCAAGCAATTCTCATGTCTCAGCCTCCTGAGTAGCTGGGATTACAGGCACACACCACCATGCCTGGCTAATTTTTATATTTTTTAGTAGAGATGAGGTTTCGCCATGTTGGCCAGGCTGGTCTCAGACGAACTCCTGGCCTCAAGTGATCCACCCACCTCAGCCTCCCAAAGTGCTAGGATTACAGGTGTGAGCTACCACGCCTGGCCTAAATGTTTTTAATACCTTACTTAGGAAAGTGAATCCATTTGGGTTGAACAAAATGCTCTGAACCACTGAAATTCAGGTTTTTCCCTCAGCTCATATGAAAAAGGGCGCCCTGTTTCAGCTATGATTAAAGGCTTCATATTAATGAATTAAAGCAGGTTCTAACAATAAAGAATATAATTCAATGCTACAGAGCTTCACATACGGTAAGTTTAATAACAGACTGAAAGATGCTTTTCCTGTCCCACTATCGCTGCAGCAGACATTTAGCTGCTGACAGCCCTGCGCTCCCTGTTGCTGGGTTTTCTGTGCAGTGCTTGGAAAGAACAAGGTCTCCCAGGCCAGCAGAGTATCAGAGTCCTCTTACACCCTACCTGGAAGTGGGATGCGGTGGTGAGAAGAGGGGAGGTAGATAGGCAATGATGGAAAAAGTATGGGCAGGTAAGTCAGGAATTTCTTTTGAAGCCAAAAGAAAATCAGTAATTCTAACTATCAGAGGTACTTTGGACTGCGCTTCTGAGCAATTTGACAAAATGGGTAAAAACAAAATAAACAGATACCCAAAATACCCCATTAGTACCGTTCAGAAAGGTGTCCTGATCTGGAATGAAGAAAGCTCCTGAGCACATGGCCCCCAACAGCAGAAGTTTAAAGAACCAAAAGCTAGAAGTGGGGGGAAAAAAAAGAGGAAATGTATTTAAATGACATTCAAGAAGGACAAAGGACCTCGTAGAAGGTACAGCATGTCAATCCATGATTCTGCCATTGGCCAATGTTCTCTCCTAATCAAGGGGAAGTAACTAGGTGACTTGAAGAATGCTTTTTCCCATAATTAGGCAGACTCAGTGCAGCCTCCAGTTGTGCAAAACACCATTTCATTGCAGGGGTGGAAATGACCTGGGGGAAGGTCTTGGAACAAGAAATAAACTCTTTGTCTTGAGTAAATTTCGCATCATGGTACCAGGTGTTACAAATAAGATTCTACCTTTGAGGCAACCATGTGGGTAAGTATCAATTCCACCTTCCCCTAAATCAACAATTTCAACTAGAAGAAGGGCAGTCACAGTGTCTGGTGGGCAGATGGGATCCTGGACTACTGTCCTGAACATAAGAAAGGAGAAAGCAATCCCCAAGAAGACTAAAATACTTACCCATTGTGAATATGAGCTCTACAACTTTTGCTGTTGTTGATTTTCAAGGTCAGTAGACAGAAGATAAAGAAGAAACAAGCCATTCCAAAACAGACTCTATACACGGCAGAATATCCCACCAGCTTCTCACAGGTGTCACCAGCTTTAATGCCTTTACACATATCTTCAAAAAAAGGAATCTGAGGAGAAAGTTTAGAAAAGTCATCTGTTACAACTGAGTGAGAGGTGGACTGTCACGGAGTGTTCATGCAGCCAACCACAACATCCACTGTGGAAATGGATCGTGTGCATAAAGAAACAGACTGAGGATCTATCTTCTAAAGAGATATTTTTCTAATTTTCTCTGAATCTTTTTTAAAGATACAGTGATCATAAAGTAACACTCAGCCTTTACTTGCCCCAAATGACTTCTGAAATCCAACATCAGATTTTACAAAAATTACCTTTTTTTTAACCGCCCCCACCCCCACCCCCACCCCACCCCCGACCCCAAGACAAGGTCTCTCTGGCTCTGTTGCCCGGCCTAGAGTTTAGTGGCACAATCACAACTCACTGCAGCCTCGATCTTCCAGGCTCAGGTAATCTTCCTGCCTCAGCCTCCCAATTAGCTGGGACTACAGGCACGCACCACCATGCCCAGCTAATTTTTGTATTTTTTTTTTTTTTTTTTTTTTTGTAGAGATGGGGTTTTGTCATGTTGCCCAGACTGGTCTTGAACTCCTGAGCTCAAGCAATCCACCTGTCTTCGCATCCCAAAGTGCTGGGATCATCATAGGTATGAACCACTGCACCTGGCCTAAAATCCCATTTCAATACATGGATATATTTTTGTTGATATGTATACATATATACAAATAAAAAATCAGAGACTTCTTTTACTATCCACCCAAAATGTCACTCCTCTCCCTCAGAAGAGTAAACAATTGGTGGGTAGAGTATTTGTATTAATTCACATACATAAATGTGTGTGTATACATATATACAACACACTCACATATACATATACATACACAACACACATACATACACTCATATCATACTATGCATATAATAAATATATTAAAACAGCTTTTTAAAATAAAAGATTGTATGTAATGTTCTGCAATATTTTTTCCCAATTAACAATAAGCTGGGCCAGACACGGTGGCTCATGCCTGTAATCCCAGCACTTTGGGAGGCCGAGGTGGGTGGATCACCTGAGGTCGGGAGTTTGAGACCAGCCTGGCCAACATGTGAAACCCTGTCTCTACTAAAAATACAATAATGAGCCCGGTGTGGTGGCTCGTGCCTGTAATCCCAGCTACTAGGGAGGCTGAGGCAGGAGAACTGCTTGAACCTGGGAGGCAGAGGTTGCAGCGAGCCGAGATCGTGACACTGCACTCTAGCCTGGGCAACAGAGTGAGACTCTGTCCCAAAAAAAGAAAACAAAAATAAACAATAAGCCATGAAGAGTCTTTCTCTATTAATACGCAAAATCCCATCACATTCTTTTTCATCACTATCTTATACTGTAAAAAGGCTTGATCAAAATCAATAACCATTCTCACACTGATCTTAATTTTTTGTTGGGGAGGGTTTTTAAATTTTATTTTTTGTACTTGTTTTTTATTATCACAAACACTAATTCAATAAATACTGCTGTTCATGCCTCACTGCACCTGTGCCATTATTTATGTAGGACAGACACCTGAGCTAGAAATGGAATTAGTAGGTCAAGTAGTCAGGTTGAATGTCCCTTATCCAAAATGCTTGGGACCAGAAGTCTTTCAGAATTTGGAATATTTACACTATATTACTGGCTAAGGTTCCCTAATCCAAAAAAATCCAGAATGCTTCAGTGAGCATTGCCTTTGAGTATCATGTTGGCACTTTAAAAGTTTCAAATTTTAGAGTATTTCACATTTCAGATGTTTGGATTAGGAATATTCAACCAGTATCTACATTTTTAAACTTCAAGATGAGTTAAATCATACTTTCAAAGGCTGTACCAATTTACATCCTACCAGTAATATCTGAGATTGCACATTTCCCAACTTGGACATCTAATTTAAAGGCAAAAACCCAATATCCTGTTTTAAGGTACATCTTCCTTATTACTAGTGAGATTCAGCATCTTTTCTCAAGTTTATGGCCATCTGTTTTTTTTCTCTGAATTGGCTGTTAATTGGGTATTTTCTTGATCCACTGGAGCTCTTTATTAGTGGGTCTTAATCTTCTGATAAATGTTGACAATAGCTTATTCTAGCCAAATTAGAAGACTTCCACATGAAATAATCAGTTTCATTATCAGAATAATTAAAATCTTACACAATGAGAACAAGCAGCACATTCCTAGTAATGTCATAAAATAAGGATTTGGTCAGTCATAAAAACTTGCTTCTTATCAACATCAAAGTTGAACACTCTTCTGAACAGAAAATAAATCACATTATAACTATTATTCATAAGAAAAATAAAGTATCACAGAGAAAAAATAGCACAAAACTGAAGGTAAAAGGAAAGTGTGATAAAGAAGATAATTTACAGTTTCTTCTCCAGAAAAAGATACTGAAGAAACAATAATATCTGTGGCTATCACGATTTCCATAAACAAATGTCAACCCAAATGAGAGACTGAGGCAAGAGTCTCAATGGGGAATAATTAAGCCAGAGCTTGAGGGGCTGCTGAGAAACACACAAATCACAGAATCCTCTGTGGCTGGCGCTCCCAAAGAGGTTGCTCGGTATTTACCCATTTCTTTAAAGGGGAGAAGGCATGCAGGAAAAGGGGGCAGGTGGTGAGGCAAATGCAACATTCTCCTGAGATTTTAACTAGTGCCCAGTAAACTCCGCTATAAAAGAGATATGATAAACATTCAAAAAGGGAGTAAAGGAAGAGTTAATTATGTAGTCTCAGGGTAGGCAGAGAAATGACTGCTGTCCTGTCTTTGTTCTGCACCTGGGAAGATAAGCTTGTAATGGGCATTGTCAGTGTGAAATGTAACAGACTGCAATTCCGTGGACAGGGAGCTAGACTTAGATTGCAGACCTAAAGTTACAGCTGACATGTCCTTTTTTATGGGAAGATACACATCTTGAAAGGTTTAGGGACCAGCAGAGAATTTACTTATGAGCAATTTGAGGGCAGTCATCCGGGATGCACGAGGCCTTCTGCCTTCTCCAGGGGTGTGGCTAATGCATAGCGCTTTGACACAAGGTTGGGAAGTCGCAGCTATCTACTGGGCAGGGGGGCAAGGTGCGAGGGGACAGCAGCAGTGTCACGTGACTGTCTCTCCAGTCTTAAGTTTCCATTTGGCATAAAGAGTTTGGGCAGTCCTGAGAGGGTTTATTTTCCTTTACACAAACAAACAAAGAGTTCCATTTTCTCCCCACTCCTTTTTGAGACAGGGTCTCACTCTGTACCCAGGCTGGAGTGCAGTGGCGCAATCTTGGCTCACTGCAACCGTCGCCTCCAGGGCTCAAGCCATCCTCCTACCTCAGCTTCCTGAGTAGCTAGGACTACAGGCATGCACCACCAAGCTCAGCTAATTTTGTGTGTGTGTGTGTGTGTGTGTGTGTGTACAGTTGGTGTTTCACCATGTTGACCAAACTGGTCTCGAACTCCTAGACTCAAGCAATCCACCTGCCTCAGCCTCCCAAAGTGCTGGGATTACAGGTGTCAGCCACTGTACCTGGCCAGCTCCATTTTCATGAAGACATGTGAAAGACTTCATGAGGAAATAGCCAACATTTTGTTTTCAGCAAATTCCTAAAACTGTACATTTTTTATGACTTTTTTTTTACACCATTTTGTCACAACAGAGACAAGATGTTTTGCTTGATAAAGACTGCATCCAACCAGATAAGTAGATAAACAAGCACAGTCTTCAACTATCAGTCCTCACTGGAGGACTCTGTGGCCATAAAAAGGGTAGGTACGGTTCTAACTCGTGACAAGCACCTGGCATCTGCCCCGAAGGCTCTGCCCACATCAAAGACTGTTTCTTGCACAACCAACCAGATTAACCAGCCCAGACCAGGAAATTCTTTTTTTCTTTATTGCTCTCCCTGGACTACTTCATTAACCCTTTTCCTATTCCCTTTCTCTTAATGTTAAATGTTATTTTGTTTGTTGCACAATGTTTAATCAGTAACATTTATATATTGACAGAGTATACGATTGTGTACGGTTTGCAATACTGACTGGCTGGTGCAGAGGCTGGAACCTGTGTGCCTGCAGATCTAATGAGTGGATGAGAAGTACTAAGAAGAATTGGCTCCCTGGGAACTCCACATAGCTGGTGGCTTTTGTAACTGAAATAGCATCAGTTAAGTCCAACATTATGGAAAGACACAAATGTTCGTGGACCTGGTTACCTCTGACCTTGGCGTCACTCACAAAAACCAAGATATGCCACCCTAAAACATTCTTCTTTGCGTATTTCAAGCTCGTTATTCTGAGAAGCTGAAGACACAGGAGTAGCTCTGCAAAGCTGCTGTTTTATACAAAAAATTTACATCTGTAGAGGAAATCTACATTAGTAAAGTGTATCAGACGTTTATTCACCATACATTTCTTCCCCTCACTCTCCCATTACGTGTTGCCAGCAACTCCCAGAGGCCCCAAGCCCCTATTCCTCTCTGTAGCTCAACATGCCATAAGCTTCTATCATCTGACCGCCCCCCCCCCCTCCGCTTTTTTTTAATTGAGACCTCTGTTGCCCAGGCTGGAGTGCAGTGGCGCAATCTCGCCTCACTGCAACCTCTGCCTCCCAGGTTCAAGTGATTCTCCTGCCTCAGCCTCCAGAGTAGCTGGGATTACAGGCGCCTGCCACCACGCCTGGCTAATTTTTGTATTTTTAGTAGAGATGGGGTTTCACCATGTTGGCCAGGCTGGTCTTGAACTCCTGGCCTCAAATGATCCGCCCACTTCAGCCTCCCAAAGTTCTGGGATTACAGGCGTGAACCACCATGCCCAGCCTATCTGACCCTTTTTAAAATTGCTTTTTCTCCTGTAATTGGTCTTATGTCAATTTAATTTGCTTCCAGAGAAAGAACCTAGAAGAGTGGAAGGAAGCCATTTTTCCCTTCTCTACAAAGGCAAGGTCTTGCTGGGAAGGGCCAGGTGCATGCCAGACTTAGCAGTCAGGCCCCCATCCTGTAAGCAAGGGGAAAAGCACTACTGAAGCTAGAACACCTTTGGCTACAAAGTGGAAGACGTGGTGAAAGGGTACAGACTTGAGGCAAGGGGACAAGTTTGAAGGCCACTGGGAACAGGTGAAGAAGGTAACCCCAGGCAGAGAAACCAGAGATTCTGCAGGTAGAGCTCACAATTGGCAGGAGAGCACAGATGACAAGAATGAAGCACAAGAATGAGACAAAGCTGTTTTGTTTTCTTCTTTTTTTATGGCATTGCCGTTTGGGGTGGAGGGAGGGTGGAGGGCAGAGGACAGACAGCAGAAGTGAAGAACAAAGCAGGAGTTTGCTCTTTAACACCTTAGGGCATCACCAAGGGGTATCCCAGCGAGAACAGTCTGGTCTGGAAATTGCTTTAGAACAGCAATTGGGGCTGGATACAGGAAGTGTCAGGCCTCTGAGCCTAAGCCAAGCCATCTCATCCCCTGTGACTTGCACGTATCCCCTGTGACTTGCACGTATACGCCCAGATGGCCTGAAGTAACTGAAGAATCACAAAAGAAGTGAAAAGGCCCTGCTCTGCCTTAACTGATGACATTCCACCATTGTGATTTGTTCCTGCCCCACCTTAACTGAGTGATTAACCCTGTGAATTTCCTTCTCCTGGCTCAGAAGCTCCCCCACTGAGCACCTTGTGACCCCCGCCCCTGCCCACCAGAGAACAACCCCCTTTGACTGTAATTTTCCATTACCTTCCTAAATCCTATAAAACGGCCCCACCCCTATCTCCCTTCGCTGACTCTCTTTTCGGACTCAGCCCGCCTGCACCCAGGTGAAATAAACAGCCATGTTGCTCACACAAAGCCTGTTTGGTGGTCTCTTCACACCGACGCGCATGAAAGGAAGCACCCGCAGGCGGGTAATGAGAAGTCAGTCACACAGGTGCTTTCTGGAGGAACCTCAATTTTTAGCTGTGTTTAAACATGAGTGATGAAACAGCATGGTTAAAATTTTCAGGTGCTGAAATATGGTAGGGGACACACACAAAAATGAATGTTTCAGAGAGTCTAACCCAAAACAAAAGTTACACCTGTATGAGTAGTGCCAGTAACGAGGAGGTAATATTGCTTTGAATCTCTAAAAGCTACATTCATGGAGAAGCCATACCACTTCATTCATTAGGCTGTTTCATTTACACAGGATTTATTGCTCTAAAACATTCCCTAAATTATTTTCTTCCCCACCTTCTCTCTTCTACTCCATCAGCAACTCTAATTCCTGAACCACATCTTCCCCATAACACATGCACATTAGCACCTCTTTCATCTATACCAGCCCATCTTTCACCTTTAGACCTTCTCTGCCTCCCTACCTCTTTTTTCTTCCTCCAAAATCCATTTCAAGGAGAATGCTAACAGCAGCAGGCTGAGCCACCATCCCCAACAAATCCCCTCCCTTGTTTGCTTACTCCAGAATCTGGAATGCGGCCAGGGCCCTTTAAGGCTCATCACAGGGTGAGTACATTGACACTGTATATTCATCAAAAACAGGTAAACAACCCCCCTGCTCCAAATCCTAATCAAGACCTCCTTTATACTCTGTGGGTGACTTAGCACATTTAGTTTTCAGTATGTGGTAAGTATTTTTGGGCAAAGAACCTCCAAGGTGAACAAGCTAGCAGGATTCTGGCAAGGGGAATTTGCTCCGATTAAATATTTGCTGTTCCAAAGTCCACCCCATTTTTGGAAAAAGAAAAAATACATCACATACAAATTCCACACCACAGGGTGAAAGGAATGTGCCTGCTAAGGGTGTTACCTCTTAAGTCTGGCTCTGGGCACCCAAGGACAGGGCACTTAAGCCAGGCTCACACACTGTATGTTGTTTCTTTTTTTTGATGCAGTCTTGCTCTGTTGCCCAGGCTGGAGTGCAGTGGCGCAATCTCGGTTCACTGCAACCTCTGCCTCCCAGGTTCAAGCGATTCTCCTGTCTCAGCCTCCCAAGTAGCTGGGATTACAGGCATACACCACTATGCCCAGCTAATTTTTGTATTTTTAGTAGATGGGGTTTTGTCATGTTGGCCAGGCTGGTTTCAAACTCCTAACCTCAGGTGATCTGCCTGCCTCGGCCTCCCAAAGTGCAGGGATTACATGCGTGAGCCACCGCATGCAGGCTGTATGTTGTTTCTATACAGACCCCTGAGAACAAGGCGTTTCCCTCCAACCCTCAAAGCAACCAAACTCAAAGCCACAAACTATCAAGTAAGAATAAACAGCTCATAAGACTTCCATTCCTAACTCCACTGCTAACTTGAGCTAGCTACACACATACACACCCTGAGCCTCAGTTGTGCCATCTGTAAAATGAAACAATACCGACACCCATTTCATGGAGTTGCCTGAGAATTACATCAGATAACACCTGTGAAGTGCTTACCACGGTTCCTAACCCATAGTAGTCATTAAGTTAACTTCTTTAATTCTAAAGCACTATTATGTTATATTTCATGCGCGTCCGTGTGAAGGGACCACCAAACAGGCTTGTGTGAGCAATAAAAGCTTTTAATCACCTGGGTGCAGGCGGGCTGAGTCCGAAAAGAGAGTCAGCAAAGGGAGATAAGGGTGGGGCCGTTTTATAAGATTTGGGCAGGTAAAGGAAAATTACAGTCAAAGGGGGTTCGTTCTCTGGTGGGCAGGAATGGGAGTCGCAAGGTGCTCAGTGGGGGAGCTTTTTGACCCCGGATGAGTCAGGAAAAGGACTTTCACAAGGTAATGTCATCACTTAAGGCAAGGACCGGCCATTTACACTTCTTTTGTGGTGGAATGTCATCAGTTAAGGCGGGGCAGGGCACATTCACTTCTTTTGTGATTCTTCAGTTACTTCAGGCCATCTGGGCATATACCTGCAAGTCACAGGGGATGCGATAGCTTGGCTTGGGCTCAGAGGCCTGACATTATATAAAAATAATTTCGGGGAAGAGACTCAGGTACATTACATGATCCACAAACTAATGCATTCCGATTTAAACATGGTGGGAAACTGAACATCTTAGAATTAGTAGATGCTCTATTCACTTTACCAAAGGATCTACTACCTTTGGATTGAAAGATTAACTTTCTTGTTTTGAAAAAAAAAAAAAAAAAAAAAAAAAAAAAGACAGAGTTTCACTCTTGTCGCCCAGGCTGGAGTACAGTGGTGCGATTTCAGCTCACTGCAACCTCTGCCTCCCAGGTTCAAGTGATTCTCCTGCCTCAGCCTCCCGAGTAGCTGGGATTACAGGTGCCTGCCACCATGCCTGGCTAACTTTTTGTATTTTTAGTAGATATGGGGTTTCACTATGTTGGCCAGGCTGGTCTCGAACTCCTGACCTCAGGTGATCCACCCGCCTCGGCCCCCTAAAGTGTTGGGATTACAGGCGTGAGCCACCGCGCCCGACCTGTCAGTAAGGTGAATCTTTCCTTGGTACATTTATATTAGAACTGAGGTCCAAAAAATAGCACTCACTACTTGTCCTTCAGAGACCTAGCCACCATCCAGAAGAAAGCATTCTGAACTCACAAATTAGGAAAAACATTTCCAAAACATGAAAACAAGTAATAAACTCAACAAGATGCAAGGGAGAAGAAAATTCACGTAATTTTGTTTACACAGGAGAGATGCTAGCTATGTCCCTAAAACAACTTCAATCCCAGGCAAATAAACAACAAAAAAGCTACAGGAAGACCTACAGGTCTAATTGGCCAGGGGCCCAGATGCTACAAACATAGAAAACATGTATAAGTTTTGGGAGTGGCTTCTTAAGAAATGGAGAGGAAGTAGGTGAAAGTTGTAGTTGTGTAATCGTGTTACTTGAGATTAGAAAATGCAATATTAGGCCAGGCGCGGTGGCTCACGTATGTAATCCCAGCATTTGGGGAGGCCAAGGCGGGCGGACTGCCTGAGGTCAGGAGTTCGAGACCAGCCTGGCTAACATGGTGAAACTCCATCTCTACCAAAAATACCTAAAAATACAAAAATTAGCCAGGCGTGGTGGCACACGTCTGTAGTCCCAAGTACTCAGGAGGCTGAGGCAGGAGAATAGCTTGAACCCAGGAAGAAGAGGTTGCAGTGAGCTGAGATCACGCCACTGCACTCCAGCTTGGGTGACAAAGCAAAACTCCATCTCAAAAAAAAGAAAAAAGAAAATGCAATATTAGCAAAGCTAATTATTCTTACATTTCATTATATTAATATCAAATTTCAAAGAAAGCTTTGGGCAGCTCCACATGAGGGATAAATTAGGTTCACAAAAACTAGAAGAACTAGATTTGCAAGTTCTGTTTAATATCCCTCACTTGAAAATGCATTTCAGAACCTAGAATGTCTCCCAGTCTGCCTTTCCCTTTTCTGATATTCCACTCATCTTCAAACTTTCCAGGATAGTTTGTTTTTCTCCATGAAGTACTTCCAGGGTCCACCACACTGATGACTTCCTGTTATTGGTCAGTGGACAACAGCCATGAAATGGGAAACACTAAAATCAGCTTCCCTCTTTCCTTACACAGCCTCTTGGCAACCAAAGCTCATTTCTCAGTAAGTGATTGCCTTTGAGGCCCTTTGGGGGATCTGGGGCTATTTAATAAACAATAACAACAACCAGTACTGGCTTCTCTTTTCTTTGGGTTATCTGAGCATTTTTAATAGAAAAATCTACATTGTATCATTATTAAAAGCCAAAAGATGAATGAAAATTAATCTCAAAAAGCATGCAAAGACTGAGAATGCGAGTTCACAGCTCCTCCTCCACCATGAATATTTTGTCAGAATCAAACAGTCACAGATAGGATTAAGCAGCCAGAAAGCAACTCTAAGCAAACCGTTATACAATAAGCTCCAAAGGAGACAACTCCCAGAAGACTGACTAATTAATTACTATGGGAAGAAGGGCTCCTCCACAGATGCAGAACAGGATTCAACTCATTTCAATCTCCATTGAGAGAATTAGGTAAAACTGAAGGCAGAAGGCTGGGTGCGGTGGCTCACGCCCATAATCCTAGCACTTTGGGAGGCCGAGGCAGGTGGATCATGAGGTCAGGAGTTCGAGACCAGCCTGGCCAAGATGGTGAAACCCCGTCTCTGCTAAAAAATACAAAAATTAGCCAGGTGCATGGCGGGCACCTGTAATCCCAGCTACTCGGGAGGCTGAGACAGGAGAATCGCTTGAACCCGGGAGGCGGGGTTTGCAGTGCGCTGAGATCCCACCACTGCACTCTAGCCTGGGCGACAGAGCAAGACTCCGTCTCAAAAAAAAAAAAAAAAAAAAAAATCTAACTGCAAAGGATTATTCTCAATTTTATTTGCACTTATATAAGCAAAACAATTATATATTTTACTGCCAAAATGTGTAAATTACAATAAAAATACAAATAACCCAGTGTCCTTGCCCATCAATGCCTCAATTCTAACTTGATTGCTTCCCTAGAGGTGCCACTGTCCCCAGGTGTGAGTGGATCTTTCTAGACCCTTTGCTGTGCCATTATTCTACATTCATTATGTCTTGGAGGTTGCTGTATGTTTAACAGATAAATCTATTTGCATCTTCTTACATACTACATAGAATTCTAGGCTGGGCCCAGTGGCCCACACCTGTAATCTGAGCACTTTGAGAGGCCAAGGCAGGAGGATCACTTGAGCCCCGGAGTTCAAGACCAGCCTGGGCAGCACAGTGAGAGACCCCGTCTCTACAAAAAGTAAAAAAATTGGCCAGGCATAGTGGTGCACGCCTGTAGTCCCAGTTACTCAGGAGGCTGGGGTAGGAGCATCTCTTGAGCCCAAGAGTTTAGGAGACTGAGGTGGGAGGATCACTTCAGCCCAGAAGGTTGAGGCTGCAGTGAGCCATGATCGCGCCACTGCACTGCAGCCTAGCCAACACAGCAAAACCCTGTCTCAGAAAAATAGATAAAAATTTAGAATTCTACAATCTGATTGACTCTAATTTAGTTTGTTATCCTGCTGATAGGCATTTAGTTTTTTTCTGATTTTTTCTCACTATTATAAATAATGTACAATGGATATCATCCTTATTATGTGTATCTCTCTGTTCACATGTAAAGTGTTGAGAAGGACAGAAGCTAAAGTCAGCTTTATGACAGAAGTCATAAAGTTAGTACATTTAAAATTTGAACGGATACTGCCAAACTCTCCATAAGAAGGGTTTTGGAAACTCTGGAATTAGGGGTAATAGAGCAGAAGAGAGGAGGAGTGGAGGTGCCGGCAAGAGAGGCAGAGCTGGGGACACACCATCTCTCAGCCAGGTACTCCTGTGCTGCCCCGGCAAGGTCAACATGTCAATCTTCCAGATTCCTGAGGGCCTTTGTAAGCAATGCCCCTACAACCAAAGCCGGGAAGAGAGTGAATAGGACCCTCTGAGCCAAAGACACAAATCTATTTCTAACTCAAGACAACTTAAAACCACAGCTACGGAGGTCTGAACTTTCGTTTCGGCTAGAAAATACGGCTATGGCCCCACACAGAATACAGGGTCTAACAGAAGACACTGTGCTGCCCTGAGGTGAACACGGCTGATGGAAAGATATCTCTTGAACATAGAAATGTGAAATTTCTATAAAGAGAGGACTAAATGCTGAAACATGCAGGTCTTTCTATTCTAACCATTTAGAGAAAACACATGCTTATAGTCTAAGTGAGCCTCAAATCTGCTAGTTTCTTTTTTTTTCTTTTCTTTTAATAGAGAAGGGGTCTTGCTCTGTCCCTCAGGCTGGAGTGCAGTGGCACAATCATAGCTCACTGCAGCCTCAAACTCCTAGACGCAAGCCATCCTCCCACTTCAGCCTTCCCAGAAGCTGGGACTAGAGGTGCATGCCAACACATCCGCTACTTTTTTACTTTTTGTAGAGACAGGGTTTTAACTATGTTGCACAGGCTGGTCTCAAATTCCTGGCCTCACAAGATCCTCCCACTGCAGCATCCCCACACTGCTGGGATTATAGGTGGGAGCCACCTCACTCAGCCAAAATTAGCTTGCTTTCTTCTTAAATGTGTGGACCTGAACGCAGTGGTAATACATTATTTGCAAGTTCAACTATTTACATAACTGTCTCCCGTACTTTTTTTTTTTTTTTTTTTTTTTGAGACAGGGTCTCACTCAGTCACCCAGGCTAGAGTGCAATGGCACAATCTCGGCTCACTGCAACCTCCACCTCCCTGGCTCAAGCAATCCTCCCATCTCAGCCTCCTGGAGCAGCTAGGACTACAGGTGCACACCATGACACCTGACTAATTTTTGTATTTTTTGTAGAGACGGGGTTTCGTCATGTTGCCCAGGCTGGTCTCGAACTCTTGGCTCAAGTGATCCTCCCATCTTGGTCTGCCAAAGTGCTGGGATTACAGACATGAGCATATAATTTGTAAAAATCCAGTGAATTTAGAGTTTGCATGTATAATCTTCATTCCGTACTATATGTTACATGACATACACATGTATTACAGCCTAGAGTTTGAGCATCCACGCACTCATTCCCAACTACTATGTGCAGGTATTGCTCTAAACTAGGGGGATACGAGCTGTGAATAAAACAGTTTAAAAGTTCATGCTAAAAAGAGCTAACGTTCTACTAGTGAAATGCTGTATGCACAAAACTATGCTCTACTTGATGGATATTTGAAGTATTTTCATGGTTAATTCGGACTAGTCATGATGTTTGCCTTAGGCAGGACATTAGGACCTAATGTTCCCCAAAAGATAGGACTCTACACCAAACCTATAACCTCAAGATTTGAGAGCCCCATTACCTGTTCCCCAGTTCTAGTGATGGGAACCAGTACATGGCAGACATTTAAGTTTCCGGCCCCAGCATCTTTCTTATATCAGACCTGGAATTGAATGATGGTGCCCAGCAGCTGGGGAACTAGGGTGCCCAGACCCTCATTTTCTCCAACCCCACTTCTTCCTGGATCACCAAATGCTTGGTTTGGATTGTTAAAGTTTAGGAGAGGCCATTGTTTTTGACTCCTGCACTAGGCCCCAGCAGACCAGACCGAACCAAAATGAAGCCACTTGTACTAAGTGCCACTGAATTTGGGGGCCAGTTTTCTTTAAAAACAAAAACCAAAAAAAAAAACCACTGAAAGATTCTAGTCAATGTGAGTCTGCCTAATAAGGAAATCCTCTGTTTTAACCTTTTGTTCTGTTTCTGCTTTTTTTCAAGCCTTTTCTGCCTATAAAGACACCCTCCTCTGCTCAGCTAACTGGAACAGTCGTTCTACTTCACATTCTAGAATCACAAATAAAATCCAATTCAACTTTCCAACTAAATTTGTAATTTCGTCCTTTGACAGAATATATAAAAAGATGACTGGCTGGGCACAGTGGCTTACACCTATAATCCCAGCACTTTGGAAGGCTGAGGCAGGAGGATCGTTGCTTTGAGCCTAGGAGTTTGAGACCAGCCTGGGCAACATAGGGAGACTCCATCTCTACAAAAAAAAAAAAAAAAGAAAAAAAAAAAAGAAAAATTAGCCAGGCATCGTGGTGCACATCTATGGTCCCGGTTACTCAGCAGGCTGAAGCAGGGAATCACTTGAGCCCCAGAGGTTAAGCCTGCAGTGAGCCATGATCGTGCCACCACATTCCAGCCTGGGCAACAGGGCAAGGCCCTGTCTCTAAAAAAAAAAAAAGAAAGAAAAAAAAAAAGACTTTTTTTTTTTTAACTTGTAAACAATTTGCCATTTATTCCAAAATGCCATATAGACATAATTACTATTAAACATGTCATACTAATTTATTGCCACATTATTCTTACCTAGTCTACCCACTATGTGGTTCATACAGCCTAGTCAGTTACCTGCAACTTAAGCAAGAACTCTGGTACTCTGAGCACAATGTTCAGGTCACTGACGTTTCCCTTTTGAGAGAGATGGGAGAATAACTGCACATAACGCATATAAGACCATGGAGGGTCTAACACAGGAGTCAGCCAACGACAGCCAGTGGGTCAAATCCAGCTAGCCTCCTAGTTTTATTGGAACATAGCCACACTGGTTGGCTGGCCATGCCATTGGCTGGCATATTGTTTTGGCTGCTTTTGCACTACAAAGGCGAGAGCTGCTACAGAGACCACAGGGCCTCCAGTGTGTACTAGCTGGCTCTTTGTAAGAAAAGTCTGCCCCACCCCTGCGCTACTAGGAAGAATAGATGAGGAGTTGTGGCTAACTGTTAACTGCCTAAGTACAAATGCACATTTCAAAAGCAAGTGACAACTGGTGATAACTTACTCTACAAATCAAGAGCCAAAAGAGCAGCTCCTTTGGGCTGCGGTCCAGCTGTCCCAACCCTCCGCTCCTGCCTTCTCCCATGAGACTCTTCCCTTCCTCAGGGCTGTCCTCAAATGGAACTTGGGCCTTAAGTGAATCAAACTGTGTATCTCCCATATGTCATTTTTTTTTTTTTAGCAGAAAATAAAGTACCTTAATTTATCCACCCACAGAAAGTTTTTCAGATGGGGTGGGAAGGAATGGAGAGAGAATGTGTCTATGAGCTTCCAGCGCTCATCTCTGCGGCTCAGAAGCCATCAATAGCTCGAACAGAAAACGTCCTCACATCTGTCACACAAACACACCCCATGGAACCAAAAATAAACCCCACACTGATGAAAGCCAGCATGTCGAAAGATAATTTTAGATCTATTTGAAGACTGCAGAGACTGTCTCGCTGAAATTTTAAAACCACACCACCAGAATACCCAACCCCTTATGATTATGCTCAGCCCTGATGAGGAGGCAAAAACACTTCATTCCATTTTATAAACCTCCCAGGCACCTCAGCTCTGTCTCTAGAATGGGGAGAGAGCATTCCTGAGTTACCACGTGACTCCGAAGGTCAGCCGAGTCACATCTGAGCCAACACCACTGTCCAATATTCACTAATGGAGTTCACATATTTTTAGCTTTCAGACATACACAGTCTAGCATCACAGGCTCCTTCCAGACACACTTGCCAAACTGCTCTCTTTTCCCCTACCTGAGGGCCAGCTCTATGGGGACAATAACTGTGTGTTACTCAGTGTCTCTGAAATCCCCAGCACCTTTCAGAGTGCTCGCCACTTGCATCTGAAAGAATGACAGCTAGGCAATTTTTTAAACTTTTGAAGAATGAGCTCGGATTACAGTTTAATCAAGTCACAGAATCATCCTATTAAATTTCTATGCAGAGTAAGTATCAAGATTCAGCCATTCACAATATCTATGCATTGTTTCCTGTTCCCATCGCTCTGAGGCTACTTTTTCTTCCATTCTTCGTTGTGCCATTTCTCTGTTCTCTCCAGCCCCATGTTTATGATGGCTGACAATGCTCATTTCCAAAGCTTTTGTCTGTTCTATTTATCTGCAGGCTACTCCGAGGCCCTGTCTGTGGACAGTTGCTTAACAGACGCTTTAGATGACTACAGAAAAAAACGTGTTAGGAAAACTTTCATTCTCACATCTTATCATTCTCTCTCGTCCATAGCCAGACCAATCCTAAAAGAGATCCAGCTGACACCTGGTGCTCCCGCAAACGTGCAGGTAATGGATCCTCACAGACCAAGGACAGTATGTATTGTTTCCAATTTCCTGCCTCCTGGCAAGCTCATTATTACTGGACCAGGATCAAACCTCTTTGTCCTTGGTTCAGGCTCAAAAAAAGACTCTCAGCAGAATATCCATTAGTTCAAATTGCTGCCTCCAGTACAAAACGATTTCCCACCACTACTTCCCGACATCCACTTGTATGGGGAAGGATAAGGCCCAGCAATGACAGCTGAGGCATAGGAGGGTACAGGGACTCCTTGCTTTCTCTCACATGTTATCTCCGGATGAAATTTAGACCAAAAGATAAAACCGTTTGGAAACATATGTCTCCAGAGTCATCCTAACTTGGAGGGGAGGGAACTCAGAGGATTTAAGAGGCAAAACCTCAAAGCCAGCTCCCCAGAGGAAAATTCTAAAAGGTCATGGTGAGAATTTTCCCTCAGTTCTACAATGGGCTTGAGGTTCGATGGTCCCAACCCACTTTTAATCTCAAAAACTTCCTCCTTGATAACTTGACACATAAGGTACAACAGTACCATGAACTCAGTTGCTACGCAGAAAGAGAACTTTTGAAAAGCACTCCATCTCAGCTGGATTTTAAAAAAGCATTCCAGAATCAAAGAACTGGGTCAGCAATATTTTCTTGTTATTGTTAATTTGACACTTGTTCTGACACAAAAGCATATAAGCGGAGAATGGAGAGAGTTCTACTTGAGGCTTCAATGTGCCTATGCCAGCCCCTGATGCAGGTCTCAGGTACAGTGTGCTCTGAACATTCAACCAGTAAATATCAAAGGAAAATCAAGAGCCAGACTCTCCAGCTTCAGCATGAAGACCTGTCATTTTACATTGGGACAAACTGCACAGTATTTTGGATCAAAGCGGAATATTTTTCACTGATGATGTTTGTTTTAAAAAGATGGTTATACCAAACACAACCTGAAAACAAGTTCTATTTTACATGTAAAGCCACTGAATAAATAAATACTAGTTTTGTGGCTACCTCTGTTTTCTACTTCAGAATAACAGTCATCCCTTGAGCTCAGCTTTTGGTCATCACAACAGGAAGCAGGCAGATGGGAAATGTAACTAAGCTAAGATCGCTGCTGAGGGCCCCAGGCAGCGCTATTTCCAAAAGTAATACTTCTTACCACTGGGCCCAGAAGAAAGTCTAGAAAGCGGAGGAAGGATATGCTTGATAAAAGGCATTTAACTGTGACTTCTGTGAATATCTGACCAACAAGCAAACCTAGTTGCACAAACAGGAGATGCACTGGCCAGGCGACCAGCAGCCCTGGGTTCTAATCCCAGATATACCTGGTGTCTCAGTTCTGACAAGCCACTTCACTTCCTGGGCCACAGCTCCTCACCTGTCAAACGACAGGTTTGTTAAGATGACCACTTAGGACTTTTCTGCTTTTAAAAATTCTTAACAATGGGCCAGGTGTGGTGGCTCACACCTGTAATCCCAGCACTTTGGGAGGCGGAGGCAGGTGGATCACCTGAGGTCAGGAGTTCGAGACCAGCCTGACCAACATTGAGAAACCCTTTCTCTACTAAAAATACAAAATTAGCCGAGTGTGATGGTGCATGCCTGTAATCCCAGCTACTCGGGAGGCTGAGGCAGGAGAATCCCTTGAACCTGGGAGGCAGAGGTTGTGGTGAGCCAAGATCATGCCATTGCACTCCAGCCTGGGCAACAAGAGTGAAACTCTGTCGCAAAAAAAAAAAAAAAATTCTAACAATGTATTCAAATTATATCCTAAGCAATATATCAATGTAACAAAATTACACTTGTACCCCCATAAATTTATACAAATTTTAAAAATAAATTATATCCTAAAAAGATCATTGTTTTCTCTGTAGAACACTTAACACCACACGTATTTGCTGTCTCTTCTCAAGGCAGAACACTTGCTATACATACGAGCTGCAGCCTTTTTCCACTCATCTCTTTAACTCGCTCCTTTAAGGGGCCTTGTTTCAGGCATTTTTGGATCCCTGGAACCAGTACAAGAAGGGCTTCCCACAAGGAATATTTAATATTATGGCTTCATATTTATTTTAATTCTTCAGTTTAAAAATAGGAAATAAAGTAGCTCATCTCCCCAGTTTCAGAGTTTCAAACATAACGGATCAAAGAACTCTGTCAACTCCAAGAACCACAGAAGTATTTTAACATGTCACTGTAAACAGACTAAAAGATGTGCTTATGAATAGCCTTTGGAAATCCAAGTTGTTTTTAAGTAAAGTAGCCACTGTATTCACCTACAGTCACTACACTGTGGTGACCCCAGAATTTAGAAATAGGGTATCATCTGGGAGAAATGTAGCAAACAGCACCTTCAGCTCAGCCTAACTAACGGGCTAAGTTATCTGGAGAAAGAAGTCTGAGGGCAGCTGGGAACATCTGGGAACTACTCAAGTTCAAACAAGGTAAGTGTAATATGCAACACCAGGGAGGGTGGCATGGCCAAATCACCGTGACTGACTGGAATGCAGAGTGGAAGCCTGAGACTTTTATGACCTGTCTGGGGAAAAGTATGCACAAGATCTAGAAAAACGGGGATGCAGGAAGAAAGAATCTACCAGTGTCCTCAGCACTGTCCTGAGTGAAGGGTGTTTTTACAAGCAGATGCACATATGGGGATGATCAAAGCCAGAAATGAACAAGCTGCCCCAGGGGAAAGCAAGCGAACGGGAAGGGCAGAGGGCAGTGTTAGAGGCACAGGCAAAGAGGAGATGACCACCTCACACACACTATAGCGACTAAAATAAAAAAAAGATGTACCATTAAGTGTTGGTGAGGGTGTGGAGAAATGTGAACCTTAATACATGACTTCATCCTGAATATCCCACATTACTGGTGGGAATGGAAAATGATGTAGCAACTTTGGAAAATAATATGGCGGTTCCTCAAGAGCTTAAAATTACTACACAATCCAGCAATTCTGCTTCTAGATATAAACCCAAGAGAAATGAAAACATATGTCCATACAAAAATCAGTACACGAATGTTCACAGGAGCATAATTTATAATAGCCAAAAGGTACAAACAATCCAAATGTCCATCAACTGACAAATGGATACATAAAATATGTTACAGGTATATTTACAGTCGCAACACTTTTGGAGGCCAAGGCGGGCAGATCACTTGAGGTCAGGAATTCGAGGCCAGTCTAGCCAACATGGTGAAACCCTGTCTCTACCAAAAATATAAAAAATTAACCGGGCCTGGTAGTGCGCGCCTGTAATCCCAGCTACTCAGGAGGCCGAGGAAGGAGAATCGCTTGAACCTGGGAGGCGGGGGTTGCTGTGAGCCGAGATCACACCACTGCACTCTAGCCTGGGTAACAGAGTGAAACTCCATCTCAAAAGAAATAAATAAATAAAAGTAAAATAAAATGTTATATTCATACAACAGAATATTATCTAGCCACTTAAAGGAATGAAGTACATATGCTACAACCTGAGTGTGAACCTTAAAAACATGCTAAGTGGGCCAGGTGCGGTGGCTCACGCCTGTAATCCCAGCACTTTGGGAGGCCTAGGCAGGCAAATCACCTGAGGTCAGGAGTTCGAGACCAGCCTGGCCAACATGGTGAAACCCTGTCTCTACTAAAATTATAAAAATTAGCCGGGCATGGTGGCAGGCACCTGTAATCCCAGCTACTCGGGAGGCTGAAGCAGAAGATCGTGCCACTGCGTTTCAGCCAGAGAGACAGAGCAAGACTCCATCTGTGAGAGAGAGAGAGAGAGAGAGAGAGAGAGAGAGAGAGAGAGAGAGAGAGAGAGAGAACGGACCAGACACAGAGGGCTATATATTGTATGATTCCATTTATACGAAATGTCTAGAATAGGCAAATCCACAGAGACAAAATAGATTAGTGGCTGCCTAGGGCTGGGGAGCTTGAGGGGAAGATGGGGAGGGAGTGGAGAGTGTAATGTGGAATGAAGGAAACAGATCTAACATGTTTCAGGCTGGGAATATCTATGGCTCTTCCTACATTGGCCTGGCACATTGAGCTCTCAGGGGAGAAAGTGGGGGCTGCACAGGTCACCCATCCTTCCTTCTTCAGTACAGGTTTTAGTGGCCCCTACTCCCTAGGAAATAAAGACTTTCCTTTCTCCTCCCTCCCCAAACACCCATGTGGCTTCCCAGGGTGCCTAAATCTGAATCTTCCTCAAACACAGACGTTACACCTTGACTTAGCGTTTGGGTTGGGAGGCTTTACTTTCTTGCCCACTTTTGTTCCCTTTGCATTCTACATTCTAAAATGGACTTTCTTTTTGAGACAGAGTGTCACTCTGTCGCCAGGCTGGAGTGCAGTGCCGGGATCTCGGCTCACTGCAGCCTCCACCTCCTGGATTCAAGCGATTCTCCTGCCTCAACCTCCTGAGTAGCTGGGACTACAGGTGCACACCACCACACCCAGCTAATTTTTGTATTTTTAGTAGAGATGGGGTTTCACCATGTTGGTTAGGATGGTCTGGATCTCTTGACCTTGTGATCCGCCCGCCTCAGCCTCCCAAAGTGCTGACATTACAGGCATGAGCCACCACACCCGGCCTCTAAAATGGATTTTTAATCCCCCAGGTATCAAATCTCATGAGTGTGTACCTGCTTAAATTATACAGTTAATAACAAGAATGACCTGCAAAATAAATAGCCCTTATGTTTTGAGATGGGGAAATGCTCCAAGAGAAGACAGAATCATGCCTTATTCAACCAGCACAGTCAAGCTTTCTCTGAGCCAAAGTTCTCCTGGGAAAGAGGAGTTTCCCTAAAGAAAAGAAGCAGGACAAAGTCTGGCCCAGCATCCCTTGCAGTCCCCTCTTACTCAAACTTAAACACAGGCCACATTCTGCAACCAAGGCAAAAACTGGAAATAACTGACAAGGGAGCTGCCCTTGCGCTCCTAACCCACATACCAAAGACCCACGCGACTCTGGCAGAACGCTGGGTAGGAGGCACTTACACACTCCCATCCGGGCCGTTACAAGCATGCAGTTCTTTCTCCTCTTCCAGTCACAGTCTCAGGCACTTCCACGGCCAACAAAGAGGGGGTAAGGACTCCAGCAGGAGCCCAGTGTGCGTCCCTACAAGGGGACCTTTCAACACCCGCCCGCAAGCACCCCCTGAGGATGAGGTCAGCCTCTCTTCTGTAGGCCACGAAACAAGCTGACTTTGTGGCCAGATGGCCAGCTCCCTTGTGAGGCCCTAAAGCTGGAAAAGGATTGGTTTCACCCACAGGGATCTCATTCCCTACGCAGGACACCCAGCCAAACCATTTGTAAATAGGTACATTCAGGGGACAGGCATAGAAACATTTACAAGAGCCTCTGTGAGGGACATCAGGGTTGCCTTCCCTCTCTTCCTCCCTCTCTCTGTTCTCTGACTGTAAGTCACCCTGTGCCCACTGCCACCACTACCTCTAGGCTCACCTCCCAAAATATCTCCCTCTGTTTCCATGATATAGCCTCCTGCTCTAGAATCTGTAATGGCTTCCCACTTGCCACAGACCACATTCAAACACTTCACCTTGGCACTACAATTCCTGCAAGATGTGGTCATTTCACCTCGCCTCACCTCTTGGTCCTTCTCCACCTGCCTCTCCCTCCTCTCTAGTCACACAGCCTCGTAGCTAAGAACATATTCAGACCAGATTCAAATCCTAACCCCACCATTTAATAGCTGGAGACCTTGGGTGAGGTACTTAAATGGCTCGATGTTTCAGTTTCCCCATCTGTAGGGCAGGGGTAATGCTAGTACCTACTGTTCAGGTGAGTACAGTGCTGATGAAGTAAGAAAATACAGGGAAAGTGCTCAGAATAAAACCTGACACATGGTATCACTCAATAATTAGCTATTGAAATAGTTATTATTACTCATACAAGTCACTTATTTCACGAAGCCTTTCCTAGCAACACCAGTGGAACATCTTCTGTTTCTCAAATGATCCGTTAACAGTCAGAAAGCATAAATACTGACTGGAATTGCTAGAACTGCTTCATGGGGCAGGTTACTTGGATGGTAATCAGGTGTGAATATTATCATTATGAAATTCACGTCCTAAAACACATACCAATGGCTCCCAAATTATCTCTCCCTCTAACGTCTCAATAAATTCACCACTGTGGGATACTATCTATTTGTTTAGTAATAGATTTTGTTTTTTGGATGCAGGGCTTAATTCTATTAAAGAATAGCAACTTATTAAGAGCAGGGATCACACTACAACCAGTGCACAGCAGAGTTCCCACCACAGTACCACAGTGGATCATCAAGCCACCTTAATGGATTTAGAAATTCAAGCTTGTTGAATTTACAAAGAGTAAATTTAAGTAATTTACTGTATTACTTAAAAAAACACAAGTAGTACATGGGAGATTAAGTGGACGCTCAGAATAAGAGTTAAAATCTACGCTTTCAGATAGAAAAACTAGCCAGCATGGTGGCTCACGCCTGTAGTCCCAACTACTCAGAAGGCTGAGGCAGGAGGATCGATTGAGCCTGGGAGGTCAAGGCTGCAGAGAGCCATGATTGTGCCACTGCACTCTAGCTTGGGCAACAGAGCGAGACTCGTAATTTCTGCCTTGTTTTAGGCCTTAGAAGACTTTATAACTTTGGCTGGGCACAGTGGCTCACGCCTGTAATCCCAGCACTTTGGGAGGCTGAGGCAGGCGGATCACGAGGTCAGGAGATCGAGACCATCCTGGCTAACATGGTGAAACCCCGTCTCTACTAAAAAATACAAAAAAAAAAAAAATTAGCCAGGCGTGGTGGCAGGCGCCTGTAGTCCCAGCTACTCGGGAGGCTGAGGCAGGAGAATGGCGTGAACCCAGGAGGCAGAGCTTGCAGTGAGCCGAGATCGCACCACTGCGCTCCAGCCTGGGCGACAGAGCAAGACTCCATCTCAAAAAAACAAAAGAAAAGAAAAGAAAAAAAAGACTTCATCACTTCTCTTCTGAATTATAAGCTCCATTTCTCGCAAGTGTGAACACCCCACGGCTAGCACTACAGTGTCTTACTGAAGAAAGAGCCAATGTTTCAAGCAGTCAGAGGGGAACCCAAATTTCACTGTAGTATCCACCATATCCAAGACCATACAACCAGAATTATAAAAGCACTATGCAACAGAAAGCTTCAGAAGGCCTATTTTAATGAATAAGAATATACAAAGTGCTGTTAAGAAAATGGTTGTTTTGAAATACTTGAGTGTATTTAAAATAGCCCTAGTTTCAGGCCAGGCATGGTGGCTCACGCATGTAATCCCAGCACTTTGGGAGGCTGAGGCGGGCAGATCACTTGAGGTCAGGAGTTCCAGACCAGCCCAGCCAACATGGTGAAACCCTATCTCTACTAAAGAAAGATACGAAAATTTAGCCAGGCATGGTGGCACGCGCCTGTAATCCCAACTACTCGGGAGGCTGAGGTGGGAGAATTGCTTGAACCTGGGAGGCGGAGGCTGCAGTGGGCTGAGATCGCGCCATTGCACTCCAGCCTGGGCAACAGAGCAAGACTCCATCCACCACCCCCCCACAAAAAAATCATCAATCAATAAAAAAAATAAAATAGCCCTAGTTTCAGCACAGGTTGGGGCAAACGTTTGCTCAGGTGTTGCCCCGGGCAATGTCATCCCTACTGTGGGCAGCTCCATCAGAGCCTGCTCCGGACTTCCCTCCACCTCCTCACTTGTTCAGCTGGGAAGATGCAGTACGGAGTGGTCGGTTTGTAAGGGGAAATGGCATTTGGATAGCAAGGCTTTCTTCTCCCTCTATCTCTAGGATAAGAGCTGCCCCAAGGGAACACGCCTGCTGCTCTCTCTTCCTGGCAAACTGCGCCCTTGCAAAGAAGTCTGCCCTTCCCGGGCACTGATGGTGCCCTGCTGGGTGAGTCTGAGTCATTTGGGGGTTCAGTAAAAGCCTGCTTCCCTGAAGATATGAACCACAGAGCCTCACATCAGTTTTATGAGGAATAAAGGTGATGTTTGGCAACCTGCTGACATCTTAGTCTTTTTTGTCAATTCGCTTAGAACCTAGGAGACAAAGTGTTATTTCTTGGGCTCTCTCAAAATCCCCACCACAGTCCCCTGTGATCCAGGAGGACTACTATGGGGGAAAAAAGGAAATTCAAGAAAAAGAGGTCCCACATGTATCTCCATCAGCATCACACACCAGGCCTACTTCTGTATACGCTGACCAAAGAACGGCCAAAAATCCACCCCTCACCCATGAAGACACCACTCACCCTACAAGTAACCTGTCCAGAAAGGTGGGAAATGCCCCATAGCCCATTCTCCATTATTTGTGAGAATATCAGCTTTATTATACTTCCTATGTAGGCCAAATTAAGTGTTTCAGCTGCTATTTGAAATCCTGGCAGGCGGCCAGGCACAGTGGCTCACGCCTGTAATCCCAGCACTTTTGGGAGGCCAAGGCGGGTAGATCACTTGAGGTCAGGAGTTCAAGACCAGCCTGGCCAACATGGTGAAACCCTGCCTCTACTAAAAATACAAAAATTAGCTGGCCGTGGTGGGGGGCACCTGTAATCCCAGCTACTAGGGAGGCTGAGGCAGAAGAATCGCTTGAACCTGGGAGGTGGAGGTTGCAGTGAGCCGAGATCATGCCATTGCACTCTAGCCTGGGTAACAAGAGCAAAACTCTGTCTCGAAAAAAAAGAAGAAAGAAATCCTGGCAGCCATCCTATGACAAGGGAAAAGGACAGAAGGGTACAAGAAAAGATAGTATATTTCATCAGGAACAGCTATAAACAATGCTAAGATAAAATACACAATCGTCTGACATAAACAGACGATTGTGATGGACAATGATGTGTCCATGATGTGTCCAATGATGGACAATGATAGACAATGGAGACTCAGGGGCTGTGGGGCTGGGAAGGGGGTGGATGATGAGAGGTTGCCTGGTGGGTACAACGTGTGTTATTCCCGGGATGGATGCACCGAAGGCCCTGACTTCACCACAAGGTAATATATCAACATAGCAAAATTGCACTTGTACCCCATTAATCTACACAAATGTTTTAAAATTTAAAAATTAAAACAAGAATTCTCCACCAAAAGCATCAGATAGAATCTACACTACTACTAAAGATCAAGCTGTTGATTGGTTTTCCTGTTTAGCCAGAAGGCATTGGATCCTGGAAAGCATAGAGCAGGCTTCAGGAAGGTTCAAGGAAACCAGGTATACCCCAAAACACATGGGGGTACATGGACCCCATCTTCTAAATCATGTTTTTCCCACACACCCTCATCAAACATCGGAAATAGGACGAGCTGAACACGGACAAACTTACGTGCTCTTTCATCTTGTGAGCCACGGTTGTTGACATCATGATGCAGCAGAGGACGACGACCAGAATGAAGTAGAGGGCGTACATGAAGCGGGTGCTGAGGGACTGCCGAATCCTGGGGCAGCAATCACAGCAGAGAGAGCAGCCTGCAGACCCACAGCAGCAGGCCAGCTAGAAAAGGAACAGAAGGCATCTGCTTAGAGCATGATACTGTGATAGAATAAGAAACATGGCCAGGCACTGTGGTACACATCTGGAGTCCCTGCTACTCGGGGGGCTGGAGGATCACTTGAGACTAGGATCGCTTGAGACCAGAGTTCAAGTTTAGCCTGGTCAACACAGCAAGAACCTGTCTCTAAATAAATATATATACACATATATATATATATGTGTATATATATTTATATATATTGAGACAGTCTATATCTAATGTATATTTTATATATACATATATACATACACACATGCACATATACACACACACACACATATATATATTTTTAATAAGGCCCAGTGCAGTGATTCACACCTTTAATCCCAGAGCTGTGGGAGATCAAGGTAAGAAGATTGCTTGAACCCAGGAGTTTGAGATCAGCCTGGGCAACACAGCAAGACCCCATCTCTTACAAAAAATTTTTTCTTTAATTAGCCAGGCATGGTGGCACAAACCTGTAGTCCCAGCTACTTGGGAGGCTATCTCCATGAAAAACATGACCAGGAAAAAAGAAAACAATCATATTAGGTTGGTGCAAAAGTAATTGTGGTTTTTGCCATTACTCTACATATATATATACAAAAATTTGGTCTGGTGCAAGGGCTTCTAAAACTTCTGGAATTTCCTGAGTGACAGAGGTTAACAGGAGAGTATTTCGTTACTAATGCTCTTTTCAGTCATACCAGAGCTTGTACTAATGAGGCAACTCTTCCTGGGTCCCTAGATAGCTTCAGGATGGAAGGCTGGCTATCAGTGGAACCAACCATGTGGTTTAGAGGGTCGGAACTTTCAGGAGCACACACCTGGGCAGGGACTGAAGACTGAGCTAATTACCAATAGCCCATGATTTAATCAGCCGCATGTACATAATAGTGCCTCCATAAAAACCCTAATCAATGGGATTCAGAGCTTCCAGTTTGGTGAACGCATCCATGTGCCTGGAGGGTGGTGCACCCAAACTCCAAGGGAACGATGCTCTGGCGCTCGGGACCCTTCCGGACAGTGCCCTGTGTACCTCTTCATCTGGCTGTTCATTTGTCTCCTTTATAATAAACTGGTAATCGCCAGTAAAGAGTTTTGGTGAGTTCTGTGATCCATTCTAGCCCATTATTGAACCTAAAGAGGGGATGCTGGGAACCCCTGATTCATAGCTGGTCAGTCAGAAGTATGGAAGGCCTAGATTTGCAATTGGCATCTGAAATGAGAAAAGTCTTGTGGAACCCAGCCCTTAACCTGTGAGGTCTGTGCGAACTCTAGGTAGTTAGTGTCAGAATTGAATTAAATTGTGGGATGCCCAGTTGGTGTCCTGTACTGAGTCACACCACTTTACCAACGTATTCACCCAGGTCTTCTGTAGGTCGACCTTCCAAGCTACAAGATGAACATTCTTCCCAGGTACCTTGACCATAGGACATGCAGGAACAGTTCGGTGTGTGAACAAAGCTTTCATCGGAATTGTTCTGGTGCTATCTTTAATGACAACCATCAATGGTTTGGGAGATGCCCAATTATTACACAGAAAAGGCACAGTTCATCTGAAGTATTATAATCGTGACTCTCAGACAAAAAGATTTCTACAATCAGCTAAGAGCAAGAGAAGAAGCCAAGAACTAGTAAACAAAGTGGGAAGAACATGAAAAACAAAAAGTTGGGCCCAAGAAAGTGAGGGAGAAGAAAAGGAAAAATCAGTTAGGCAGACAGTTAAGGCTAGTCCTCAGAGAAACAGACTGAAAAATCACAGCTACACATACAAATAAGAGTTGCCTGGGGAAAAACAAAACTGCAGCTGCACTGATAAGAAAGCAGGGCCCAGCATAGAAGCCTTTTGTTCTTTGTGTGATTAGCAGGCTCCCAGGGAAAAGTTTCCTCTCCTTCTCAGGCACATACACGGTGGGCTCCGTGGGAACTTGCACAGGGAGTGGGGAGGTGCTGGGGGAGGCTTACCTAAAACACAGTTACACAAATGAGGAGCTGCACTTTGTGTTTACCCAACACATGCCCGTGTCTGCACTGATAAGGAGAGTTACACAGACAGCTGCACAGATAAGGGAACTTAGGCAAACAGCTACAGAGATGAGGGGAGTTTCTCATAAAAGCTTTCAGACTCAACTGTAAAAACAGCGACTCACTCAGGTCCTCCTTTCCATTGCACAGAGCTTTCTTCGTTCACTCCAACTTCACCCTTGTGTTCATATTAATCCTTACTTTTCTTGGTCGTGAGACAACGGACTTGGATAACACCTCGGACAACATGACCATCAACCCTAGACGGTTTCAAAAGGAACCTGTCAAAATCCATGAGCCTAAGGATGAATGTACAAGCACCCAGGGTGCTGGGATGGGAAAGGCCTGCAGCCATACACCCTTGTAGGAAATAATGAGAGTATGTAACTTGAAGCTCAAAAGAAATGGGTGCCTTTTACACTGCATTTCTACCAGAGTTTCATGTCCCAAATGGTAAGCTTTTTGGGTTAATGAGTAGGACGTGGGCCCAGAGGAGCACAGAGCTCCTGCTATACCACTAACAGCATACACATCTTTTCTTTGGGATCTTTAATAAACCATAAGGTAATAGAGGATGGTGATTAAAAGCTCAGGCTCAAAGCTTGGCTGGGTTTGTGGCCTGGCTTTGCCACCTACTAGCTGTGAACTACAAGCAAGTTATTTATCCTTTAAAAACTCAAGACTTGGCCAGGCACGGTGGCTCACACCTGTAATCCCAGCACTTTAGGAGGCCAAGGCAGGCGGATCGTGAGGTCAGGAGATCAAGACCATGACCATCCTGGCCAACATGGTGAAACCTCGTCTCTACTAAATACAAAACAAAACAAAACAAAACAAAACAAAAAACAAAATATTAGCCGGGTGTGGTGGTGCACAAAAAAAAAAAAAAAAAAAACCTCAAGACTTCTCGTTTATAAAGTGGGGGTGGCAGAAGTACTACATGGTGTCTTGGATAACCTAATCAGACACAACTGGCACCAGAAAGGAGTCCCTGTTAAGCCAACAGGGCAATGCTACAAGAAATTACCATAAACTGCAGATTACAATAAAATCTGTATGTATTAACACTATACTCTATATAAACCTAAAGCCCAACAATTCAATCTTTTGATAATGATTTGGAAGGAAGTTTGAGACTCTGCAAGGCTTCAAAACAAGCATCAATTAGAATGCTACACCATAAACATCACTTACAATGAGCTACGATCACAGGTATATGGGTAAGACAACATACCATAATGGTATGACAGATCTTGGAATCACAGTCATTTCCCTAGTTATCTCATCTACTTCATGAGACTGTCATTGTTTGAGCCCTGTGTCATTCTCTACTGTTTCATCACTACAAATTTTTCCTAACCAACTCTCTCCATCTTACGTCCGATTTTCCAAGCCAGCTTCCTCCAGATTCTTCTTGACTCACAAAACTAAGCCACTGCTTTGTAAAAGAAGACATTCTACTCGGGCTGAGATAAGAGAATACACAAGTGGTATCCTAACATTACTGCATGTGTGGGTGTTTTATGGGCCACTTTCCTTTACAATTCCTTCACTGATGTTCTCAATCTCTGATTTTACTGACCTCTTTCCACTCACATGCCCCAATTTTAAACACATACACATACAACTGTCCCCTCCCCACTGCTTTAGCTGGCTTTTCTCTGGGTCCTGCCTCCTGAACCCTTTCCTAACTGCCTCCTTCACTGATTGCTTTTTTTTTTTTTTTTTTTAAGAGACAGAGTTTCATTGTGTTACACAGACTGGCCTCAAACTCCTGGGCTCAAGTAATGCTCCTGCCTCAGCCTTAGCTGGGACTACAAGCACAGGACACCATGATACCATGCCTGGCTGGTTGCTAACTCTCTGTTACCCTGTGGTCTTAGATAACTTCTCACTATATATATATATATATTTTTTAGACGGAGTCTCACTCAGTCGCCCAGGCTGGAGTGCAGTGGCACGATCTTGGCTCACTGCAAGCTCCGCCTCCTGGGTTCACACCATTCTCCTGCCTCAGCCTCCCGAGTAGCTGGGACTACAGGCGCCCGCCACCACGCCTGGCTAATTTTTTGTATTTTTAGTAGAAATGGGGTTTCACTGTGTTAGCCAGGATGGTCTCAATCTCCTGACCTTGTAATCCGCCGTCTCGGCCTCCCATAAAGTGCTGGGATTACAGGTGTAAGCCATGGTGCCCAGCAACCTCTCACTGTATTTCAAGTTCAAATGTGATCAACAAAATACTTATTCTATTTGGGAAAATAAGTATTTTGGAAACAGTTAATGCCTCCCACAATAAAACATTCCCACAGCTGAATCAACATTTAAACTTACTATTATCTCCACAGAGGGAAAAATAAACAGATACAAACATCACTGTGAGCCTAATTGGAACTGATCATCTAAAGGCAGACAAATAGCAACAGAAGGGACATGATTGTGGAAAATGTAAAAAGAAAGCCCTATTGGTTTAACCCTATTCTGTCATTAAAGTCATATGCCATTGTATGGATCTGATTTTCCAAATTTCATTTTCACTCTTACTCTATACAGTGCTATGGTATTACAAATATACATATGTACATATATATGTGTCTATATGTATGTGTACCTATACACACACATTCCAAATATTAGAATGGACTAGCCTTTCTTACTAGCCCAAAAGTGATTTATCAAAGTAAACTATGCTAATAATTAAGGTTCGAGCACATTATCTTAAGCTACACATTGATATATATACCAGGTGGAAATTCAAAACAGCATCCGTAAAAGAAACATTTATGTTAGCATCTAGGGAAATCTCACAGCCCTGCTGACTGAACACGTGTTTCTGGAGGAGCATACCTTTGAATAAAATGGGTTCACATCCAGCCCCTGCCACCTACAGGGTTAAGACACTGAGCATGTCACTCACTTTCAAAACTGGAAAAATCAATTCCTGGCTGGAACTACTGGTGCTTTCACAAGCTTGGAGAGAAGTGCCAGGGTTTCGTTACCCCTGGCTCCAAGAGGGCATAAAGCTTTTACTGAAAAAGTTACAGCATATAAAAAACAAATAAATATAGAATATACAACGCCAAGAGGGAATGCTAATGTAAACCATGGACTTTAGGTGGTAGTGATGTGTCAAGGTAGGTTCATCGATTCTAACAAATGTACCAGTCTGGTGGGAGGAGCTGATAATGGGGGAGGCCGTGCAAGTGGGGAGGGGAGGTATATGGGAACTCTCTGTATCTTCCTCTTAATTGTGCTGTGAACCTAAAACTGCTCTAAAAAAAAAAAAAAACCTAAGCCTATTTTTTAAAAATATAAATAAATAAATGAACAAAACAGTGCCTGCCCCCCCAAACGACTCAGTAAATGGATGTTGGCTGAATAATGTATGGTGAAGTCACAGTGGCAACACTCCTCACGCACAGTGGCTGGCAATCTCCTCCATGGGAACAAGTTCACAATTGCATGCTATACTCAATTTCCCACGCAAGCACTGAATCACAGAGAATACTAAGGGTGTTAATTTGTAGATACTGCATACTCTCCTCCTCCAAGGAAGTAACATTCACACACGCAAAAGGGAGTCCAACAACATCTTCAGAGGGCAATGCTTGCAATCCTTCCAGAAACTCCTCTCACAGATACATTTCCAAAAAGACACAGAGATTTAGGTATGAGGCTGTTCATAACAAACACTAGAAACAGCCTTATTTTCCAGCTACCCAGGGACTAGTAAAATGAATTACGACCTATACAATGAAATATTTGTTAATACGTCAGGTGTGTTGGGCTAAATTGTGTCCCCCAAAATTCATATGTTGAAGTACTAAACCCTAGTACCTCAGAAAGTGACTGTATTTGCAGATAGGGCCTTTAAAAAGGTAATTAAGGTTAGACCAGGCGCGGTGGATCACGCATGTAATCCCAACTCCCAAAGCGAGTAGACTGCTTGAGGCCAGGAGTTCGAGGCCAGCCTGGCCAACCTGGCCAACATGGCAACACCCCGTCTCTACTAAAAATACAAAAATTAGCCAAGCATGGTGGCACATGCCTGCAGTCCCAGCTTCTGAGGAGTCTGAGGCACGAGAATCGCTTGAACCCGGGGGGCAGAGGTTGCAGTGAGCCGAGATCGCGCCACTGCACTCCAGCCTGGGTGACAGAGCCAGACTCTGTCTCAACGAAAAAGGTATTTAAAAGTTAAATACGACCACTGGGGTGGTCCCTAATCCAACAGGACTGCTTCTAAGAAGAGGAGGACACACACACAGGGACAGCACAACAACACGGTGGCCATGTACAAGCCAAGGAGAGAGGCCTCAGAAGAAAGTGACCCTGCACACACCTTGCTCTTGGACTTCTGGCCTTCACAAGTGAGAAGCTGAATTTCTGTTGGGTAAGCCACCCAGTC
The DNA here is from genome assembly GCF_000001405.40 of Homo sapiens. Taxonomy (NCBI): domain Eukaryota; kingdom Metazoa; phylum Chordata; class Mammalia; order Primates; family Hominidae; genus Homo; species Homo sapiens. The sequence goes on from NC_000005.10 coordinate 80,209,503, forward strand.
AGTGTGACTTTGTTATGGTGGCCCTAGCCAACTAACACAGGCAGTACGCCCTGCTATTTCATATCTATGTACATACACATATGTGTAGATACAAGACCACTAACACTGACTACCCGAGGAACAGGCCTAGATGTGGGGAAGAACAGGGGACATCTATGATACTTATTGTTCTGCTCTCCTGGTTGGGTTTTTACCATGTGCATGCATTACTCTTACAGTTAAAAAATGAAGAAAACTGACTACTTGAGAAAAGTAAACGGCGCGTGGTGGCTCATGCCTGTAATCCCAGCACTTTGGGAGGCACCCAGCACTGGGTAGGCGGATCATTTGAGCTCAGGATTTTCAGCCCAGCCGGGGTAACATGGCAAAACCCCATCTCTACAAAACATACAAAAATTAGCCAGGCATGGTGGTGCATGCCGGTGGTCCCAGCTACTTGGGAGGCTGAGGCAGGAGGATTGCCTCCCAAATAGCTGGGACCACGGGTCGAGGCTGCAGTGAGCAGAGATTGCACCATTGCACTCTGGTCTAGGCCACAGAGATCCTATCTCAAAAAAGAAATAAAATAAAAGCAACTAAGTTGAACGATAGTGATATAAAAGCATTTGCAAATGTGGTATTGCTGTATGTTGGGCTTTTCCCTTCTGAAGAAGCTTCCCCTCCCGCAAACATACTGCAAAGGAAAATCTTTCGAAGAGCCTGGCACATCCTCCCTCCAACCGCAGGAATGGCAAAGGCTTTTCTAAATAGGAGGTGCTTTGTCCTTGCCGGGGCAAAGAATCAAAATGAAAGGATAAGCTGACTCTTGCTTATCTTACCTGAAGCTGGGCCTCCCACTTACTGTTATTTTTCTTCTCCAATGAAGGACCAGCCCCGCAACACACACACATTCTACAAAAAATAAATATGTCTCCCTCTCTGTCCTCCGCACCAGCCTTGGGCACAGATGGTCCTTCCAAGGATTGATCTAGGTGTGTGAGGAAATGCTCACAGAAACATGAGCTAGGGCTGGTAGTAACTTCCAAGTACTACTTCTGTTAAATTAAAAAGCACAATACCTTCATTACCTAGAATTTCCAGCTGGCAACAAGAAGGCCAAACATATTACAAAATCGGCATGCACACACACACAACACATGTACCTTAATCATAAAAGGGTCTCTGTCTCCCTCTCTCACGTCTTACTTTCACAGTTCCAAAGGCCTGACTACCAGGTTCTTAAGCCACAGCAACCAAGAGGACAAACTGCTGGGGAGAACCAGAGAACCTGGACTCAACTCTAGCGAAGTGACCTGCCCTTCTGGGTCTTAGTTGTCATCACTTGTAAGTCGAAGAAGCCCAGGTAGATGACGGGTGGTAGATCAACAGGTTTCATCTCACATCCAACGGATGGGCAGCGGCTGCCTGAAACTCTGTGCTGAGGAGGATTCTTAAGGCTGAATGTCTCAGCAGGGAAAGTGCAATGATCACTGAGTACCATCTGCCACAGGCATGGAAAGAGAGCATGGTGGCATCACACCACACTCCTGTCAACCCTGCAAGAGGTAACTGGATATCCTTAGCATCCATAACTTCTTAGATGTTGAAAAACAAACTGCAACAGGCAAGCATGATGAGTTAACCCCAGAGCAAGGAGGAGAGAAAAGCAACCAAAAGGAGAAGCCAGAACTAAAAAGTGGAGCAGCGGTAAGCTCTTCAAGCACACGTGAGACAAAATGGCAAATGTAAGAAGCCACGTTTGCTTTTCTGCTGCCTGCAGAATTTTACAAAATCCCTTACCAGCAGGATTCCACAAAGCCCCTGACTCTGACCGAGTGCAGCCCTCCAGAAGAATGCCCTGAAGATGATCAGCAGCACACAGCACAGGTTCCCGAGTCTCTTGCCTGAATCAGGTTAAGTTCAATGACCCTAACCCTTGCCTCTTTCTGTACATGTCTGACAGGATTAATGACTATGCCTCTATCATCTATAACCACATGAACTCCTGTGCCCAAACCTTGATGAGATCTTGCTCTAATCTAACTTCGAGCACATCTGTTGTAACTTCTGAGCACTGGAAGAGCCGCCATCACCTGTCTATAAACTGCGGGCTGAAACTCTGCCTTGGAGCAGTCTAACAGAAACTCTCTGAAAAGACTAACAGGTTGCAAGCTTCAGCAAGACTTCTGAATAAACTAAGTTGATGTGAAAGCCTGATTTTTCTTTAGCTTACACACAGGTCATGTAAGCATCACTCTATTGCTGCATGGTCTACGTTCTGCATGGTAACAGCTCACACACGGCAGTGTGATCACTCATATTCACGACAATGGCCCAGGCAGCACATATGTTCTGTTACCTTCATTCCACTTAGGAATGAAAGAAGTATCCTAAGCAAATAAGTGCTTAGAACAGTTCTGTCACAAGAATGATCCCAAATGTGGGTCACAGTTTTTAGCTTCAGTGCTTGAGTTTTGGGGAGTATGAACCCCTCGGCCATATGGAAACCAACTATTCTGAAGGACTTGCTCCTCAACGGGGCTGGACAGCCAAGTTGGCTTTCATGTGTCTAAACTAAGTCCAAACCGTAAAAGGAAGTGTGACACCACCCTTCATTCAGTCCCTTTTCCTAATTCTGGAAATACAGGAGACCTACCAAAGCTAAGGAAAGACATCAAGTTTTCTGTGAGCTACAAAAATTATAATACTGTTCCTTAATAAACGGCAGTGGGATGGGGCACAGTGGGGAAGTTCCTCAAATACTGAAGCTGACCAAGCTGTTAGAACTCAGGTGTTCCTGAGCATGCTGGGAGGTTATAGTACCAAGGTAATAGAAGACATCCATTAAAAACATAAAACTGGGTTCAAAGTTTTTTATTCAAGTAAACAACACTGCATCTTTTAACTACAGAGTTCCACACCTTTCAGTAATACATAATACTGCCCATGCCGTGTGAGGGCCTCCTTCCCTTCCTTCTCTTTTGAAGCTTTAGGGTTACCTTTGAGTCAACTGTGGTCTGCAGAAGAAATGAACACTTCTCTACTTTGGAGAGCAACATTCATTGAAATTCTGGACCCAACAACCAACATTGTGTGGCTTAATCTTCCCATCTCAAGCTCAGAAATAGCTTCCACTGAGCTTAGACAGACCTTTCTTCCCACTACAAAAGGGCAGTGGTGGGGTGGGGGGGGGGTGTTGGTAAACCCTCCCTCTTGGCACCACAGTGCCAGGTACTGTCCTTTATTGATAGCTATGCAATGGCATGGTGCAACTTAAAAGCTAGAAGAACGAGCACAAAAATTCCTCTGCTCAATAAAGGAGTGTTTTACTGAACAAACAGTGTAACTGCAGGTAGTTCCTAACTCACAAATGGTTGTATTCTAGAAAACTCAACACATACACATGTGGTTTATCTGGGGCTTACAGTGGCTTTCCCCCATACAAAAGAATACATGGCAACCCATGAAAGCTTACTGAATCAGCCAGGCACAGTGGTTCACACCTGTAATCCCAGCACTTCGGGAGGCTGAGGCAGGTAGACCACTCAAGGTCAGGAGTTTGAGACCAGCCTGGACAACATGGTGAAACCCTGTCTCTACTAAAAATACAAAAAATTAGCTGGATGTGGTGGTGGGTGCTTGTAATCCCAGCTACTCAGGAGGCTGAGGCAGGAGAATCGCTTGAACCCAGGAGGCGGAGGTTGCAGTGAGCAGAGATCGCGCCACTGTACTCCAGCCTGGGCAACAGGGCAAGACTGCATCTCAAAGAAAGAAAAAAGAAAGCTAAAGCTTACTGAATCCATCATAATATTAGTTAGCAATAGTTAACACTTATTAATCTCTTACTTTCTGCAAGGCACAACAATTATTATTACCTGTTACAATCATCCCTATTTTACAGAGACGAGACCAAGGCTCAGAGAGGTTAAACAGCAGCTTAAGGTCACAGAGCCCGCAAGTACTAGACTTAATTTAAATGTGGTAGGCTCTTTGCCATTCTTCTCCACTTACTGCTGGCATAAGCGCATGAACAAGACAGGTAACACTGGCCTGAAACTGGCTTCAAACCTCGGTTTCCTACAGGAGGGAGACAGGCTACACTGGAAAAAGGAAGCAATTTTTCTTCCCTGCCCCTGTGTGTACAGTAAGCATTCAGCAAGTATCTGAAGAGGTCACTTCCCTTTCTGTGCCCCTTCCTGTCTCCCATGCAAACTCTGGCCTCAGTGAACATGGATGGCTTCTTCTAGTGTCTTGCCCCAAGCAGCTCAACCACCGCAATCACCAAGCTCCCTGCCTCACCAAATCCTACCCCATATTAAAAGCCCTATTTCCTAATTCTATGGAAATAACCAGGCCATTCATTCACTCACTAATATATACTATACTCTACACCTGCTATGTGCTTTGTCAATTCCTGGGAATACCGCAGTAAACAAGAGACCTTGATTCTACACTCTCTAAGCAAGAAAACAAAGATATACATAAGATGACTATCTACATGACATCTATTACACATCTAATACATGTGGTTTAAGAGAAGAAACCTAGATGTCCAATAAAAAGATTTAGATTTAAGATCAGTTAAATTACAGAAGGTTCATGTTGTAGAATATAATACACCCACTGAAATGATTATATAGGTTATACAGAAAAATTTATGGCCATGGAAAGACGTCCACACTGTATAAACTGAAAATAGTTAATATTAATAGTGTAGAGTATGATAGCATTTTGGGTAAAAATATAACAAGACATAGATCAGCACTAACAACAACAAAAAACAAACTAGAAGGATATATCAGTACATCAACAGTAGTAAACAGAGTTGTAGAATTATGAGTGACTATGCTCTTCTGTATTTTCTGAACTCTCTGCAACAAGCATACATCTTATAATTAGAAAAACATTACAGGTTTCTATTTTGGAAGAAAACAAAACATTCCTGTTCCACCTCATAGGTGGTAAGCCCTCAAATATTTGTTAAATGCATCAGACAATGAGTAAATCAAACCTACTTCAATGTGATTGGAAGAAAACAGCCAGAGTGAACTATCACCATAATTGAGGCATTAAAAAAACAAAAAAAAAACGAACAAAAAAACACCTCCTGTACTATACACTTGAAAATAGTTGGGTCAGGAGCAGTGGCTCATGCCTGTAATCCCAGCACTTTGGGAGGCCAAGGCAGGCGGATCACTTGAGGCTATGAGTTGGAGACCAGACTGACCAACATGGTGAAACTCTGTCTCTACTAAAAATACAAAAATTAGCCAGGTGTGGTGGCATGTGCCTGTAATCCCAGCTACTTGGGAGGCTGAGGCAGGAGAATTGCTTAAACCCAGGAGGCAGAGGTTGCAGTGAGCCAAGATCATGCCATTGCACTCCAGCCTGGGCAACGAGACTGAAACTCCATCTCAAAACAGTAGTTAAGATGGTAAATTTTATGTATGCATTTTTTACCCCGCAAGAAAAAAAAAATTCCTTAAGCCTTGTAAAACTTTATAGAGTTTAACTGATGTAAATAAACCAATACTTGGTAGAATTTGAAGCAATTAAAAATAAAATAAAAAAATTAAACAGCTATCGATATGGCTAGGATTTGTGTCCCCACCCAAAGCTCATGTTGAATTGTAATCCCTAATGTTGGAGATGGGGCCTGGTGGCAGATGACTGCATCATGGGGGAAGATTTCTGATGAATGGTTTACCACCATCCACTTGGTACTGTTCTCACAACAGGGAGTGTGTTCTCATGAGATCTGGTCATCTGAAGTGTGGGATATCTCCCACTCTCTCTCTCTCTTGCTCCTGCTCCTGCCATGTAAGACACCTGCTCCTCCCTTGTCTTCCGCCATGATTGGAAGCTTCCTGAGGCCTCCCCAAAAGCAGAACCTGCTATGCTTCCTGTACAGCTTGCAGAATGGTGAGCCATTTAAAGGTCTTTTCTTTATAAATTACCTAGTCTCAGGTATTTCTTTATAGTAATGCAAGAACAGATTAATACGGCTACCTAAAAGTTCAAGAAGTTAAACAGAAGCTATATATCTGCCTAGACTAGAAATATGCTCTTATAGTTCCTTTATCTGGGTTTCTTAAATTTTATTTTGAGTTCAGAGAATCCTCTAAAGCGCCAAGGCTTTCATCATCATGCCCATAACTGTGGCAGCAGTATTGTGGGGACTGTGAGAGATGAGTTTCTGGCAAGTGGTTTCTCAAACAAGTTTCAACATACTAGAGCGGTGTTATTTTCCACGTTGAACATTTCCATGAAACAAACAGTCAAGGGTCAACTTAGTATCTCCAGCCACCAGAACCAAGTCTGAAATGGGCAAGAAGAGGCTATGAACGCATACAAAGCCATCAGTCAGCTTTGGGGTTACAGTGGAGTCTGGGACAAAGATGTTCCCCTTTTTTGGAGTCTCTTTCTCAGGAGGTTAGGGCTACTTTCAGCACCAGAAGAATGTTTATCAAGTCCTCTGTTCTCAGACAGCAGTGGGATTATTTGAATCATTCCATCACAGGACCCTCTCTCTACCTTAAAATTAAAAATATCATATCACACTTGATACATTTTAGCAGGTTGGTGAGATCTATAAGGTTTGAGGTTGAGGGTAAACAACATCCCTTCTGACAGCTCAACAGAAAACAAACGTTCCTCAGGGGCAGGTCCTTCAGAGCAGCGTTTCTATCACTCGACACTATTGACTGGGGGCCAGAAAATTCTTTCTTGTCGGGGGCTGACCTGTACACTGGATGCTGATGTTCAGCAGCGCCCCTCCCTGCCTCTACCCGCTAGATGCCAGTCACAACTCCCCCTCTCCCCTGCAAGGCGTGATGATCAGAAATGTCTCCAGACAATGGCTCCCCAGTTAAGAGCCACTGAGTTAGGGGTGAAAAGCAAGAGCCATCTCCACAGTCAGACTGTGGGGTTCACCACCTTCAGTCTGAACACAGGAGAGCATGCTGGCAACTTATGTGTGTGAGAAAACTTGTTGGAAAGCTAAAGCCGTCTTTACACCTTCATTTCCACTGAGGAAAAAACAAGAGCTGTGGGAACATTCACTGGCACCCACTGAGGCAACAAATACCTGTGGCAGAACAGGGCTGAAAAGGTGAGTTAAGTAAGTTCTATTAAGAAAAAGGTATAAGAAAATGAAACCTTGAAACTCAAAACGGAGAAGTGTAGGAGACTGGGAGAAAACAAAAGTACCCATTGGGTTTTAAATATTTTTTTTTAATTAGTTTTAGGGCTGGGCACAGTGGCTCCTGCCTGTAATCCCAGCACTTTGGGAGGCCGAGGTGGGTAGATCGCTTGAGTCCAGGAGTTTGAGACCAGCCTGGGTAACATAGTGAGACACTGTCTCTACAAAAAATACAAAAATTAGCCAGGCATGGTGACACAAGCCTGTAGTCCCGGCTACTTGGAAGGCTGAGGTAGGAGGATGGATTGAGCCCAGAAGATTGAGGTTACATTGAGCTGAGATTGCATCACTGCACTTCAGCCTGGGCAACAGAGTGAGACTCTGTCTCTAAAAAAACAAATAAAATAAAATACAGTAAAAACTCGTTTCATTTATAAAGTAAGTTTGATGTTTACATTTTTATTCTTAATTTTTAATTTTAATTTTTTTATTTTGATATTTTTATTTTACAAATTTTTAATTAAAATAAGTTTATTTAAAAGTTTTATTTTTAATTTATAAAATAGTTAATTTTAAATAGTCTCAGCAAAAAAGAAGGTGGGCAGAAACCCTGCTCGTTCTACTTTATAAATAGTAGCTTATCAACCGGCAGCCAGTGAAACACTAAACCCAAAATTTGCCTCATTGTGTCATGGAGATTATGCTGCAAGGGAGAAACCTGCCAAGCCCTTTCCAAGAGGTGCTATGTGCCAGCCCAATCCCCAAACCCTGCCAAGCCACGGAGTGCTTTCTAGGCTGGTGACAGGCCCCAGTGCCAGCTAGATGCCCGTATGCTCGGGGATGGAAACAGAAAGGAGCTCATTTCACTGCTCTCAGAGAGCTGGAGTGCAGAGGACCTTAGAACTCAAGTGCACCAGAAGCTTCAAGAGTTTAGCGGCGAGTGAGCTCTTCTCCCCACCAAACGAAATTCTATGCACAATATGTAACACATATGGATGCAGTATAATACCAAAAATGCAGTTCTATATTCATACAGTATTTATTAAATGCTTACTAGTGACTGGGTACTGGTTCTAGGAGTTGGTAGTATAGTCCCTGCTCTCAGGAAACTCACATTTTAGTGGATTTTTTAATCAAACTCAGCATCCAGAAAATTCAACCTAAACAGGGCTACATCCCAAAACCTGCACTGGAAGTCCCTGATCTAGTCCAGTCCTCCTATTTTCCTGATGTGAAAACCGAGGCCCAGAAAGGTTAGGTGATTTGGCTCAAGGACAAATCTAGTGACAACCATCAGTGGAGCATCAAAAAACACATCAGTGCAAACAACTCAGCAGTCTGGAAAAGGAAGGAGCTAGTAACTCATCCTCTGGGTTCCACACTTCTGTATCTACTGTGCAATATACTAACAGACACTTGAGACAACTAAAGGAAGTCATCGTTAGTAGCTTTAAAAAACGCTCTGCTCCATCTCAAAAACAAACAAACAAACAAATGCTCTGCTGATCCTAGGAAGAAGGCAGTTTCAAGTGTCTCAGAGTCTAATACATTTTGAAAGGTTTCCCTCATGACAGTTAAAACGAAAAGCCAGCATGTGTCGCATTAACCCTGGGGTGGCCACAAAACCGGTGTTCCTGGCTGGGCGCAGTGGCTCACGCCTGTAATCCCAGCAGTTTGGGAGGCCAAGGTGGGCGGATCACCTGAGGTCGGAAGTTCTAGACGAGCCTGACCAATATGAAGAAACCCCATCTCTACTAAAAATACAAAATTAGCCAGGCATGATGGCACATGCCCGTAATCCCAGCTACATGAGAGGCTGAGGTAGGAGAATCACTTGAACCCGGGAGGCAGAGGTTGCAGTGAGCCAAGATTGCATTATTGCACTCCAGCCTGGGCAACAAGAGTGAAACTCCATGGTGGCACGTGCCTGTAATCCCAGCTACTTGGGAGGCTGAGGCAGGAGAATCACTTGAACCAGGGAGTCGGAGGTTGCAGTGAGCCGAGATCACGCCATTGCACTCCAGCCTGGTGACAGAGCAAGACTCTGTCTCAAAAAAAAAAAAAAAAGTCTGGTGCTCTTGAACAGCTACAGGCTGTGCTATGGTAATGCCCACCCCCGACTACCTCCCTTCCTGCGCTTCTGAGAAGCTGACAGCCCCGACTAAATCACCCCACGTGCAGATTCAACCACTGGCCGCTCTCCCCACAAACCACATCACAGAAAGGGCTCACTGCTCAAAAGAACACCTCTGACCCATTCCACTGCCCAGTAACAATATGTTTCTCTTTCAAGGTGGTTAGTCTAGCAACAAGGGCTCTGAACAAGGAAAAACTTGCACGCTTCACCTACCCTAGATCCCATAAAATCCTGTTCTTTAGGATTCAGTGTCCAATAAAAGATGATTATTTCAAGTCTTTCTAATATTTTTCACATAAATACATAAATTAGAAAACAAAATGTCAGACAACAGGCCTCTGGTTTGGAAAACCACAGCTGTACCTGGATAGTACCAGTGCTCAGAGGCAAGATCAGGGGAAGGGGAAAGGGAGGCATGGGCCCACACTAACCTCTCAAGACGCATGTCCCTCCTACAGGGTCGCCCTCACTCCTCTAGCCCACCCCATGTTCTGGATGCCTGGTAGTGCCATGAAAGTCCTGGTTTAACAGCTTTTTTCTTGGAGTAACAGCTGCACTGTTTTCCTACAGCTGAGAAAACACTTTTTCTCACAGTTAACTTTAGCCTTCATCATCCCTCAAACTTCAGGAAACCTTCTTTCCAGCTCTTCCCTCTTTTCACCCTTGAAATTCATCTTCTTCTTCCACTTCTAGCTTGAAGTGGAAGGAACGAATAGGTGTGTGCCTTTCCCCCAAACAAATAGCCGCTGTTCATTGCCTTTTCAAGCAAGCACTGCCAGATGCCCAGTGGGTTTTATCAGCACCCCTCCACCCACTTCTGGAGCAGGTCCTCATTCCAAGGCAAGCTGGCACAAAGCCCTAGACAGCCTTTGTGAGGATGCCTGCATTCAAGCACCAGCTGCCTCGATGGCACCAACTGGCAGAGAACTGTCATGCAATTACCCCTTCGCCCCCAGCTTGAGAAACTCCTGTTTATGTTCTTAAAATACATTTGCAAAAGGAACCAGGGCCAAATGAAGGTGCTTATACTTATTTCTTCTATCATCAACAGAAATGAAAATAACCTTACATCACCACCCGCCAACCTTTACCTTTTTGTTTTTTTTCATTCAGGGTATTGGCTACACACAACCAAGTACGGGAGTACAGAGATAGAAGCAAGTCACAGGCCAGGCGCGGTGGCTCACGCCTGTAATCCCAGCACTTTGGAGGCCGAGGCAGGTGGATCACCTGAGGTCAGGAGTTCAAGACCAGCCTGGCCAACATGGCCAAACCCCGCCTCTACTAAAAATACAAAAAACTAGCTGGGTATGGTGGCACATGCCTGTAATCCCAGCTACTCAGGAGAGCAAGGCAGGAGAATCGCTTTAACTCAGAGGCGGAGGTTGCAGTGAGCCCAGACAGCGCCACCATACTCCAGCCTGGGCGACAGAGCAAGACTCTGTCTCAATAAATAAAAATAAAAAAAAAAAAGAGAGAGAGAGATAGAAACAAGTAACTTGCTCATATTGGCAGCGGTGTTCCCTCTACTTTTTAAAATTACAAGGCAGAAGTCTTCTATCAGCCCTAGATTGTGAAGACTAGCACTCCGGCAACAAAATCATACACAATGGACCTCAATGCCAGGCTGACTGAATGAATTGTTATTGGGCTGCAAAGTAAACAGGCCAAAGGGGTAGGCTGTTCAGGAAACAGATCTTAATTACTGTTATTTGTTCAGTCAAACCTAGCATTTATTTCTCCAGTCAGCTGGGTGGAGTGGATGTTGGACTGGGCAAAGAAGGCTCCTTTGAAGATTCTGGATCTTTCTCACCCCTCCTTCCTTCCCCTGCAAGGAAATCCAAGGCCTCAACACTCAGGGAGCCCCAAGTGGAGAGCTAGTTTGGGGCCAGGACACACCTGATTGATGCCGCCTCTGAGGTAGGCGCCTCTGAGTCACTGCCCTCCATGGAGAGAAAGGAATCTGAGGGCTCCAGACAGGAAACTGAGGGGTGAAGTGGGGAGGGGGGCAATCAAGTAGTAACTGGAAAAAAAAGGACTCTGATGTGGTGGTGGGAGTGGTGGTGGTAGGAGGGTGGCCTGGGGAGATGGAGGAGCCTGCTGGAGTGACAGGAACAGAGGTTTGGGAGGAGCGTGGATGTATGCATGAGACAGCAGGGAAGAAATGGGGTCTTGAGCAGCGTGGATGAGGGAAAAGAGCCAGGAAGTGGAGGAAGCCCCCCAAGAGTGGAGGAAGCCCCCCAAAACAGGTCAGCCCTGAGCAGAACAAAAGCAGAGACTGCCTCACTGCAAGAGCAGAGAGCACTCGGCCATGCTAGAGGACCTTGGCTCAATGGTACTCCAAAGGGGGCTCATGAACAGCTGCCTGGGCATCACGGGGAGTCTCAGCCTCCATCCCAGATCTGCTGAAGCAGAACTGGAGCCTGCAGGGTAAAAATAAATAAATAAATAAATAAATAAACCTTCCCAGGGGATCATCTGACATCAGCCGACAGCAGGCACATTTAACAATCCTGCGCACCTTTAATAATCCTGTGTTCAAGTGATGACAACACGCCACACACCCAACAGCCAGCTGCCCTCGCTCTTCATTCAGAAGGGTCCTTTGGTGATGGCAAATAACAAAAGCAAGTTTCCCGTGCGATCACACACGACTTCAATATAACAGATAAGGGAATCATGAGAGACTAGCATGCAGTCTCTGAAAAAGGTATCTGTAATTCAACCTGGAAAAAATGCTAATGGACACATCCTTAGGAGAGATGAATACACAAAAATATTAACCAGGATTATGGGATGTTAGATGGCCTTTGTTTACTTTATCTTGTCTATGTTTTCAAGGTTTAACATTAAGCACGAATTTCATAAGTTTTTTAAATGAAGAGAAAACTGCAATATTTTAATAGGTAAAGAATCAAAGAGTAGAAAAAAAGTAAAAAGCCTATTTAATTTGCTACCCACCATATAGGATATGTTTTGTTGTCTGTAAAATGCACTCCATTGGTCTACATTAAAAAGCAAGACAACTTTAGCAAAAAAAAAAAAAATCAATGAACATCAAAAGAAAATAAATACTATAAAATGAGTTTTGAGGATACCTTTAATGGCCAGACACGGTGGTTCACGCCTATAATCCCAGCACTTAGGGAGGCCAAGGTGGGAGGGTCTCTTGAGCCCAGGAGTTCAAGACCACCCTGGGTTGTGGGGAGACATCAGCTCTACAAAAAAATTTTCTTAATTAGCTAGGCGTGGTGGTGCCCATCTGCAGTCCCAGCTACTTGAGAGGCCGAGGCAAGGAGAATCACTTAAACGCAGGAGGTGGAGGTTGCAGTGAGGTGTGATCGCACCACCACACTCCAGCCTGGGTGACAAAGTGAGACTTTGTCTCAAATAATAATAATAATAGCTTTAATAAAAATGGTCCCAAGCTCACTCTCTAGGGTAAGCACTTTCCAGACACTGAGGAACAAACACAGAGGACGCAGGGGAAAATCTGCTACGCTATGCTCCCTGAAGAAGAATCACCCCCACTTTGCAACTGTGGATGGGCCACTGTTTCAAAGCAATTTCTCAGTGGCGGGACAAAGCTTTGCTGAATCATTATCTCCTGTTATTACCTCACATCATCACGGACAAGTTAGGTGTCTACAAGGAGACTCGAGAAATGTGATATGGTGGCCTCTGAAACAGAGATTTACTTCATAATAACAAAACTGGACCACGTGGGAACCAAATCCAAAATTGTGACCTCACCAGATCCAACCCAGAAGTTTTGGTGGGTTTTTTGTGGGTGAGTGTGTGAGTGTGTGAGTGTGTGTGTGTGTGTGTTTGAGACGGAGTTTCGCTCTTGTTGTCCAGGCTGGAGTGCAATGGAGCGATCTCGGCTCACTGCAACCTCTGGCTCCTGGGTTCAAGCAATTCTCCTGCCTCAGCCTCCCAAGTGGCTGGGATTACAGGTGCCTGCCACCACACCTGGCTAATTTTTTGTATTTTTAGTAGAGATGGGATTTCACCATGCTGTCCAGGCTGGTCTCGAACTCCTGGCCTCAGGTGATCCACCCGCCTCGGCCTCCCAAAGTGCTGGGATTACAGGTGTGGGCCACCATACCGGCCAGTTTTTTAGACAGTCTCACTCTGTTGCCCAGGCTGGAGTACAGTGGTACGGTCACAGCTTACTGCAGCCTCGACCTCCTGGGCTCATGTGATCCTTCCATTTTGGCCTCCCAACTGGCTGGAACTACTGTGCCAGAATGCCTGGCTAATTTTTTTTATTTTTTTATAGAGATGAGGTCTCACTATGTTGCCCAGGCTGGTCTTGAACTCCTGGACTCAGGCAATCCACCAGCATCAGCCTTCCCAGGTGCTGGGATTACAGGCATGAGCCGCTGTGCCCAGCCTAGCTTGCCTTTTCATAAACAAATATGCCTGGGATTTTATAAGGCATATAGCTATCCCTCAGTATCTGCGAGGGACTGGTTCCAGGACCCCTCGCGTGAATATCAAAATTCTCATATGCTCAAGTCCCTGATATAAAATGGAATTTGCATATAATCTATGCATATCCTCCTATATACTTTAAATTATCTCTAGATTACTCATAATACCTGATACAATGTAAATGCCATGTAAATTTGTTGTGCTATATTTTTTAATTTGTATTATTTTTATTGTTTTGTTTTTTTCCCCAAATATTTTTGATCCATGGTTTGTTCAATCCAGACACAGAATCCACGGATACAGAGGGCTGACTATATATATCATCATATTCTTTTATAAAATTATAACTGGTTAGTATCACTAACTTTCTCATGGTATACAGTAAGGATAGGCTATTCATGCTTTCTAAAGAATATCCCACCCTGAGAGCAAGTTCGAGGGTCAAAGTTCTAATTAAATTAAAATAAAATGCAATCATACAGACTAAATTCCTAGTACCCTACGCATCCAGAATGATTTGAAAGAATGCATTCCTGAGCTTGGCAGGGTGGGTAGCTCTCACCATAGCCAGGAATAGATGAAAACCTCAAGATTTAATCTGTGATGATACAACTATCTACTCATCAACGAGAAAGTTAGAAAAGTCAAGCCGGGCGCGGTGGCTCACGCCTATAATCCCAGCACTTTGGGAGGCCGAGGCAGGCAGATCACCTGAGGTCATGAGTTCAAGACCAGCCTGGCCAACATGGTGAAACCCCGTCTCAGATAAAAATACAAAAAAAAAAAATTAACTGGGCGTGGTGGCGGGCGCCTGTAATCCTAGCTACTTGGGAGGCTGAGGCAGGAGAATCGCTTGAACCTGGGAGGCAGAGGTTGCAGTGAGTGGAGATCCTGTCATTGCACTCCAGCCTGGGCGACAAGAACAAAACTCCGTCTCAAAAAAAAAAAAAAAAGAAAAAAGAAAAAGAAAAGTCAGAAATGAATCTGGGCACAGTGGCTTATCCCTGTAATCCCAGCACTTTGGGAGGCTGAGGCGAGCAGATGGCTTGAGTCCAGGAGTTTGAGACCACAGGAGTTCAAGACCACCCTGGGCAAAGTGGCAAAACCCCACCCCTACAAAAAATACAAAAATTAGCCAGGCTTGGTGGCACACGACTATAGTCCCAGCTTCTCAGGAGGCTGAAGTGAGAGGATCCCTTGAGCCCAGGAGGTCGAGGCTGCAATGAGCAGATACTGCACCACTGCACTCCAGCCTGGGTGACAGAGCAAGACCCTGTCTCAAAAGAAAAAAAAACAGTCATGTTTGATGAGCCACCATGTTAGCCAACATCCAGTCCTTCCAAAGAAGGGAGAAATTGGGGAAGAAAAGAGAAAATAGGCAGCAGAAACAATAGTAACAGAAGCAACAGCTCTTGAAAAGTGTATAAAAACACAACTTTTTTTTTTAAAGACGGAATTTCCCTCTTGTTGCCCAGGCTGGAATGCGATGGTGTGATCTCGGCTCACTGCAACCTCCATCTCCTGGGTTTAAGTGATTCTCCTGCCTCAGCCTCCCGAGTAGCTGGGATTACAGGAATGCACCACCACGTCTAGCTAATTTTGTATTTTTAGTAGAGACGGGGTTTCACCATGTTGGTCGGGCTGGTCTCAACCTCCTGACCTCGTGATCCACCTGCCTTGGCCTCCCAAAGTGCTGGAATTACAGGCGTGAGCCATCACGCCCAGCGTTTTTTTTTTTGTTTTTTTTTGTTTTTTTTTTTTTTAGACAAGTTTTGCTCTTGTTGCCCAGGCTGGAGTGCAATGGCGTGATCTTGGCTTACTGCAACCTCTGCCTCCCAGGTTCAAGCAATTCTCTTGACTCAGCCTCCCGAGTAGCTGAGATTACAGGGGCACGCCACCACACCCAGCTAACATTTGTATTTTTAGTAGAGACTGGGTTTCACCATGTTGCCCAGTCTGGTCTCAAACTCCTGACTAACCCAAACACAACTTTTTGAGTACCTGTTATGTGCAACATATACTTCACTAGATTCTTTACATAAGTTACAGAATTTAATGTTTATCACAGCCCTATGCTGTTATCATCCACCTCTATTATAATGAGAAAGTGGATCAAATAACACAGACAAACCTATTAAATAGAACTGGAATTTCTGCCTCAGTCAGGTGACTCCTAAGTCCATTTGTTTGCAATACTTTATAATGTTTAATGATTGGTGTAACACCTTGATCACACCTTCACAACCTTCCTCTCATTCTATCTTTATAACCATTCCACAAGGCAGGCAGGGAGAGTAGCATCATTCCCAACATAGAGACAAATGTGAAGCCTGAATAAGTTACCTTATTTTTGGAACTCATTCTCCTTCTTCCTGATAGCACCCTGCTGGATGAGTGCAATGAGCAGCAAAGCCTTGATGGTGCTGACAGAGGAGACCAGCAACACCCGAAAAGACAAAGACAGCAGCTTTGCTACTTCCATACTGCCTTAAAAGAGTAGGGTTATCCCATGCACCTGTGTAATATGCACTCACACATGCACACGAGTGTGTACGCAAGGGCAGAGAACAAAGCCCTAAAGACGGAACAAAGCCCCACAGCCCTAGTTCTATTTCTAAATGTCAAACTTTGCAGCACGTTCAACAATTTAAGGAGGCAGAGAATTATATCCTGTGCTTCCATCGAAACACCAAAATTAAAGATGTGAGTGTCTTTGGTAACCAAGGAGATCCTTCTACCCAGCACTCATTATAAGTAATAGTTACCTATCATTTCTTAAGTACTTCCTATGTATCAAGGTACTACTCTAAGGTGCTTTCAAGACCTTTCATTTAATCTCCCCAAAGGAAAAAAAAAAACCACCCCCCTGCCTTTTGTTTGAGACAGTGTCTCACTCTGTCCCCCCAGGTTGGAGTGCGGTAGCACGATCTCAGCTCACTGCAACCTCCAACTCCCACTTCAAGCGATTCTCGTGCCTCAGACTCCCAAGTAGCTGGAGTACAGGTGCACACTATGATGCCTGGCTAATTTTTTGTATTTTTTAGTAGAGACGGGGTTTTGCCATGTTACAGGCATGAGCCACTGCATCCGGCCAAAAATAACCCTTTGATAGAAGTATCACAATCTCCATTTGACAGATGAGGAAATCTGAGTCTCAGAGGTTAACCGACTTTCCAGAAGCCACTTTGGGATAAACCAAAATCCTGATCTCTGATTCCAGAGCCCAACAGGATTCCAAAACCAGTTTTCCTTCACCAGATCTCAGGATATCTGGAATATACTGTTTTGACCCCTCCTCCACCTACTCCCCTATAGAAACATAAAATCAAGAGAGACCCTAAAACAGGTGCATGCACCTACAGCAGTCAGAAGAGCCCACTGGATGCTGCCCCTTGTGAGGGCTAGTCCTGACCTTGAGATGTGCCATTCCCAATGCTTTCTGCGAGAACACAGCACAGCCTTGGGCATCCCACCACCGTTCCGAAAGCCATTCTTCATTCTTCTTGTAATTTGTGGCAGTGATACTAATAATAATTTTTTTAAATAATAGGAAATTGCATTGTGCATTTTCTAGGTGCCAGGTAGGGTCCTCAGTTCTTAGCATGGATTTACTTCATCCTCACAATAATCCCATGAAGTAAATACTCATATTGCCATTTTTCACAAGTAAGAGGATTATAATTTAAATTTTTGGCATAATATGCCCTACTTTTTTTGAGATGGAGTCTGGCTCTGTTGCCCAGAGCTGGAGTGCAGTGGCATGATCTCAGTTCACTGCAACCTCCACCTCCCGGGTTCAAACAATTCTCCTGTCTCAGCATCCTGAGTAGCTGGGATTATAGGTGCCCCCCACCACGCCCGGCTAATTTTTGTATTTTTTGTAGGGACAAGGTTTCACCATGTTGGCCAGGCTGGTCTTGAACTCCTGACCTAAGGTGATCCACCCACCTCAGCCTCCCAAAGTGCTGGGATTACAGGCATGAGCCACTGCGCCTGGCCTATGCCCTACTTTTATAATCAGAAAAAATTTTATAAGCTATACTGACTGAAAAATGAGGAAAAGACAAAATAAGTAGAGAAAACATAAAGGAAGAAAAGAGAGAAAAAGGAAAAACGAATTCCATTTTTTTCACAAATGAGAAAACTGAGGTCTCTCCTAAGGTCGAGATAGGAACTCAGTCAGCCAGGCCCTAAACTCTTTCCTGTGCTGCTATGGTGCCGTCTCTAGAGCAGAGCTGTCTCTAGAGAGTCACAGCACACCTCATAATAAAACTGTGTTTACAGCCGGGAGCAGCGGCTCACACCTCTAATCCTAGCTCTTTGGGAGACCCAGGCGGGTGGATCACTTGAAGCCAGGAGTTTGAGACCAGCCTGGACAACATGGTGAAACCCCGTCTCTACTAAAAATACAAAAAAAAAAAAAGAATCGCATGTGTAGATGTTTATTTTTAAATTGACTACCTGATTTTTGCAGTCAATCATTTGAAAGTTAAAAATTCAAAAACTAGCCAGGGTGGGGGCGAACACCTGCGGTCCCAGCTACTCAGGAGGCTGAGGCATGAGAATCGCTTGAACCCGGAAAGCAGAGGTTGCAGTGAGCCAAGATAGTGCCACTGCACTCCAACCTGGACGACAGAGTGAGACCCTGACTTACAAAAAAGAAAAAACCTGTGTTTACACAAGGTAAGAAGGTTTAAAAGTTTCTAGCAATTATTCTGGACTTTGGTTAAAAGTACAGACACTTGGCCTGCATGGTGGCTCACATCTGTAATCCCAGCACTTTGAGAGGCCAAGGTGGGTGGATCACTTGAGCCCAAGAATTCGAGACCAGCCTGGGCAACATGGCAAAACCCCATCTCTACAAATAATATGAAAAAAAAAAAAAATTAGCCAGGCATGGTAGCATGCACCTGTAGTCTCAGCTGCCCAGGAGACTGAGATGGGAGGATCACCAGAGCCTGTGAGGTCAAGAAGGCTACAGTGAGCTATGATTTCGGCACTACACTCCAGCCTGGGCAGCAGAGTGAGTGAGGGAGGGAGGGAGGGAGGGAAAGGAGGGAGGGAAGGAAAGGAGGGAGGGAGGGAGGGAGGGAAAGGAGGGAGGGAGGGAGGGGGAGAGGAGGAAGGAAGGAAGGAAAGAAAAAATGTATAGACACTCAGCATAAAACAGAGTGAAAACTGAGTTTGGCACTTGTAGTATGTATAAAATTTGAATCACAATCCAAATCTTTCATCATTGCCTTTCTCTTTCAACTATTAAGAATTTTTTTTTTGTTTAAGAAAGGGTCTCATTCTGTTGCCCACACTGGAGCGCAGTGGTCCAACCATAGCTCTTTGGAGCCTTGAACTCCTTGCCTCAAATGATCCTCCTGCCTCAGCCTCGCAAGTACTTAGGACTACAGGCACATGCCACCATGCCCTGCTAGTTTTTTTATTTTATTTTTTGTTTGCTATACTCCCCAGGCTGGTCTTAAACTCCCAGCCTCAATCCCAAAGCACTAGGATTACAGACATGAACCACCATGCCCAGCCAGGACAAAAATTTTAAGTTGCCTAAATTCTCATTCACTATCATTCTGCACAAAATGTCCTTGTCTAAAATTTCCCACATAATTCATGGTTTTTTCTTGTTGATAGCATTAGAATACCTCACACTCTAATATAAATAAAAAGATCATTCCAAACTCTTCAAAGTTAACTATGACAAGAAACAAGAACAAAAGAAAAAGGTGGAAAACAAAAACTATACTTAGGCTTACAACAAATTTAGTGATAAATTCAGAGAATTTCTTTTTTCTCAAAATACCACCAATGTTTTACATACCTTTTTTTTTTTTTTTTTTTTTTTTTTTTTGGGGATGGAGTTGCCTAGGCTGGAGTGCAGTGGTGCGATCTCGGCTCACTGTAACCTCCACCTCCTGAGTTCAAGCGATTCTTGTGCCTCAGCCTCCCCAGTAGCTAGGATTACAGGCGCATGCCACCACGCCCGGCTAATTTTTGTATTTTTAGTAGAGATGGGGTTTCACCATGTTGGCCAGGCTGGTCTCTAACTGCTGACCTCAAGTGATCCACCTGCCTTGGTCTCCCAAAGTGCTGGGATCACAGGGGTGAGCCACCATTCCTGGCATTTTACATACTTACACAATTTTTTTTTTTTTTTTTTTTGCTAATTTAACATCTCAGAATCCTCTTTTCAGAGACTGCAAAAAACAAAATAGTTTTGCAACCAACCTTTAAAGTTATTGAGTAACTAAAAGTGATCAATATAAACAAACTAGAATTTGAACTCACCTACATTGAACATTCATTGTTTAAGTCAACACTAGGAAAGGGTAAAAGTAAACAACAAAAAATTGCTCCTTAATGTAGGGAGAAATCTCTTGGCCAGTGAAGCAATACAAAAACACAGACATTCTGCTTACAGGAACTAATTAAAAAGAAAAGGAAAAAACAAAACACAGACCTGTTCAGCCATATAAAGTTATAATGATGAACATCTGTAAAGATTACATGAAATCACCCATGTAAAGTGCTCAGCACATGTGCCTGGTCCGTAAGTGTTTAATGTTAGCTTGCATGCATGCTCATTTCATTCAATACAAGGCTACTTAAATGCTCTGTGCCTCTGCTGCCTCATACAAAACAGAGACAACAGTAGTTCCTACATCATAGGATTATTAGGACTGAGAATGTTTTCAAGGCACTTAGAACGTTAATTGTCAATATTATTCTCAGTGTGCTCGAAAAGGAAGGCCAGAGGTTTACAGGGCTGGGATCTAAACCTAGTCACTCCAAAGCACTAGCATCTCATTTCCTCAAACTCTGGGAGATTTACCTAGTTGCCAGCTCTCCTCCCACTGCTCAGGAAATTCCCAGGGCAGAAGGAACCCAAGGACTCGCTCCCTCTTGGAGGCTCAGCCTGCTCCAGGAGCTTGCAGCTCTAGCATCCCCAACCCCATCACCCAAACCTCACACCTGACCAAAAACCTATTGGCCAGGCACGGTGGTTCATACCTGCAATCCCAGCACTTTGGGAGGCTGAGGCAGGCAGATCACTTGAAGTCAGGAGTTCAAGACCAGCCTGGCCAACATGGTGAAACCCTGACTCTACTAAAAATACAGCAAAATGAAGTGTGGTGGCATGCACCAGCTACTCAGGAGGCTGAGATAGGAGAACCATTTGAACCCAGGAGGGTGAGGTTGCAGTGAGCCAGGATCCCGCCACTGCATTCTAGAGCAAGACTGTCACAAAAAAAAAAAAAAAAAGAAACCATTGCTCTTCAAATTTGTTTGCCAACTACTGATTTCTCTTTTCAAACGGGGCTTGAGGGAAGTTTTATAACCATGTAAAACAAATAATAATGCAACAACAGCCGCCACTCTCATTTATGCAGCACTCCCTTACAAGTGCCGTCACAGACTCTGTGACACCAGCACAATCTCTCCCAACCTGTCAGGTATTACTGTTATTATTATTTTTCTCCTCTGTACCAGTTGGGAAACTTGGACTCTAGGAAATAAATTGCCCAAGGTCACAGCTCCTTTGTGGTGAGCACAGGGTCCAAACCCAGGTATAATTTCTCTCTTTCTTTCTTTCTTTCTCTCTCTCTCTCTTTCCTTTCTTTCTCTCTTTCTTTCTGACAGTATTCTATCCCAGGCTGGATGGAGTGCAGTGGCACGATCACAGCTCACTGCAGCCTCAACCTCCTGGGCTCAAGCAATCCTTCCTCCTCAGCCTCCCGAGTAGCTGGAACTACAGGCGCACACTACCAACCTGGCTAATATTTGTATTTTTTGTAGAGACTGGGTTTTGCCCGGCTGGTCTCGAACTCCTGGCTTCAAGCAGTCCTCCTACCTCAGCCTCTCACATGGTGGGATTACAGGTGTGAGCCACTGCAACAGCCCCAGGTAGTTTCAAAGCCAGTATTCTTAACTACCTCACCAAAGTGAATGTGGAAAAGAGAAAAAGGGAATAGTACTTTTAAAAAACAGTTAACTATAGAAAACCCAATCAAAATTCATTTTCCAATTAAGTTATTGCTTAGTAAATGAAAATATTAAATAAAGAACCGGCTACTGCTCCACATGGCAAGGAAGTGTACTTCAGTGCTGACAACCCCATTACTCAGGAGAACAGTTTAACTGTGATATATGGATGGCTCCAGTGACCACTGCCACTGTATTTATAGTTTGTGATCTGTATAAACAAAATCATTTCTCATGCCTGTAACAGCATCTACTGCAGGCCTTTGTTACTTACAATTAAATCTCTATAAATGTTTAAATCTCATGGTCACAAAAAAAATGAGTCAGCCATCTAAGAATGACTGGTCACCAGTTCCCAAAACACAACCTCCAGCGTCATGACCACCAGCCCCAGTAGGTCTAAATTCCAGATGAATAATTCTTCCAACGTACAGTCAAATTAAAAAAAAAAAAAATCAATAGAATCGAGAACCCAGAAATAAAGCTTAACACTGACAGTCAACTAATTCTGCCAAGATAATTCAACTGGGAAAGAATAGTCTTTTCAACAAATGTTGGTGGAACTGGATATTCAAATGCAAAACAATGAAGTTGGACCCTTTCCCCATACCAGACAAAAATTAACTCATTAAGAATGGCCAGGTGCAGTGGCTCATGCCAGTAATCCCAGCACTTTGGGAGGCCAAGAAGGGAGGATTACCTGAGCCCAAGAGTTGGAGACCAGCCTGGGCAACATAGTGAGATCCCATCTCTATAAAATACCAAAAAAGTTAGCCAAGCATGATGGCATGCTCCTGTGGTCCCAGCTACATGAGAGGCTGAGGCAGGAGGATCACTTCAGCCTGAGGGTTCAGGGCTGTAGTGAGCCACGACTGTGCCACCACACTCCACCCTGAGAAACAGACCAAGATTCTGTCTTAAAAAAAAAAAAAAAAAAAAAGGCCGGGCAAGGTGGCTCACGCCTGTAATCCCAGCATTTTGGGAGGCCAAGGCGGGCAGATCACGAGGTCAGGAGATCAAGACCATCCTGGCTAACACCGTAAAACCCTGTCTCTACTAAAAATACAAAAAAAAAGCCGGGCGTGGTGGCAGGCCCCTGTAGTCCCAGCTACTCGGGAGGCTGAGGCAGGAGAATGGCAAGAACCCGGGATGTGGAGCTTGCAGTGAGCTGAGATCACACCACTGCACTCCAGCCTGGGCGACAGAGTGAGACTCTGTCTCAAAGAAAAAAAAAAAAAAAGTGGAAACAACCCAAATGATCATCAGCAAGGAATGGGTTTCAGTAAAGTGTGGTATATTCCAGTAAAAGGAATGAAGTACTGGCCAGGCACAGTGGCTCACGCCTGTAATCCCAGCACTTTGGGAGGCCAAGGCGGGTGGATCATGAGGTCAGGAGTTCAAGACCAGCCTGGCCAACATAGTGAAGCCCCATCTCTACTAAAACTATGAAAATTAGCTGGGCATAGTGGCACACACCTATATTCCCAAATACTGAGGAGGTTGAGGCAGGAGAATCACTTGAACCCAGGAGGCAGAGGTTGTGCTGAGCCAAGATCACGCCACTGCACTCCAGCCTGGTGACAGAGCGAAACTCCATCTCAAAAAAAAAAAATAAAAAGGAATGAAGTACTGACACGTGCTACAACATGGATGAACCTTGAGAACATACTAAGTTAAAGAAGTAGTCCTAAAGACTGTACATTATATGGTTTCATTAATAGGAAACGTCTACAAAAGCCCATAGAGACAGCAAGTAGATTAACAATTGCCAGGGCTCTGAGGGAGTTTGGGAGGGAACTGGGAGTGACTGCTAATAAGCATAGAGGTGACAAAAACTAAGTTGTCATGATGGTTCCACAACTCTGTAAATATACTATAAAACCACTGAATTGCACACTTTAAATGACTGGGCTGTATATGCTATGTGAAACTACTTTTTACTTTAGCAATAATTTCTTTAAGGCCGGGTGCAGTGGCTCACGCCTGTAATCCCAGCACTTTGGGAGGCCAAGGAGGGCGGATCATCTGAGGTCGAGAGTTCGAGACCAGCCTGACCAATATGGAGAAACCCTATCTCTACTAAAAATACAAAAGATTAGCAGGGCATGGTGGTGCATGCCTGTAATCCCAGCTACTCAGGAGGCTGAGACAGGAGAATCACTTGAACCCGGGAGGCGGAGGTTGCGGTGAGCTGAGATCGCACCATTGCACTCCAGCCTGGGCAACAAGAGCAAAACTCCATCTCAAAAAAACAATAATAATTTCTTTAGTTAAAAATAACCTAATAGCCATTTTAGGATAAGTTTAAAAAAAACTCAATAATTCTAAAATCACTTGGTTGGACATCTCTGCTCATTAGAGAAGTGCAAGTGTGGACATCTCTCCAATGCCACTTTAAGAATAAAAATAAAACTAGGACTTTTTTTTTGAACACTTGTTAATTTAAATAGGAAGTATCCTATAAATAAATAGGAAGTATCCTATAAATAAAAAGTATCCCCAAAAGCAAATTCCTAGGACTTTAGGAGCTGAAATTGCTTCATATGTTTCTTAAGTTATTAGTCTGCTGTAAAATGCTTTGTAAAGTTTACAGGAAGTATTTTATAGATCTTTCAACTTTTACTTTTTTTTTTTTTTTTTTTTTTTTGAGACAGAGTCTCACTCTGTCGCCCAGGCTGGTGTGCAGCGGCATGATCTCGGCTCACTACAACCTCTGCCTCCCGGGTTCAAGTGATTCTTCTGCCTCAGCCTCCTGAGTAGCTGGGACTACAGGTGCCCGCCACCATGCCCAGCTAATTTTTGTATTTTTAGTAGAGACAGGGTTTCACCATATTGGCCAGGCTGGTCTCAAACTCCTGAACTCGTGATCCGTCCGTCTCAGCCTCCCAAAGTGCTGGGATTACAGGCGTGAGCCACCATGCCCGACCCCAACTTTTACTTTTAAGAGACTGCACATTTGAAATGGCTGAATCTTAGCACCAGAGCAGTCATTTCTCCAGCAATTTTCTTGTCTTGTACCAAAGCAGCCCTTTGAATAATACTTCCTAATAATCCACAGCCAGCTGGAGCACTTGACAAAGACTGATCTGACAGTTTAATCTTAGCACCATTGTTTTAGGATTGGCGTACCCGTTTTTTCCAGTTCCATTCACCTCACTACACTTAAGAAAAATCTACATTTACATATGTAAATTGTAGACAATGTTGATAAAAATAAATTACACCACATATTCATACCAGTTGTGCAACCAAATTGATGTTTCCTTTCTAATGCAAAAATGTGTTAAACTCTGTTATCTCCAAACCCACTTCTAAACACATCACACACTACCACCACTCCCACCACAAAGGGCAGGGATGATATCAAAATGAAAACAGTGCTAGCAAATACAATTATAAAACATGATGAATTTCGCACATTTAGGTTTGCTAAAATAAGCTTTAAAGTTGTTGAATGAAAAACAAATGCCCCCAACGTTATCCCCTACCCTCCAACCTCCTATTATTACTCTATTGCTGTAACCACCGGTGGCAGTTTCTAGGATATCTTTAAAACTCTCAGAATTATTGCATATATATGTACCTACATACATGGATACATACATGCCTTTCAAATTGGAAACCATAATTGGGTTCATCATAGACACAGTGTTCTTTAACCTCCTCTTTTTATAACCCCTACTTAACTAACACTGTTATCTTGGCTACCTGTTCCTCACAGATTTAACTTACTCTTTTTTTTTACTATGCTGAAACACACATAACATTAAACTTATCATCCTAACCACTTTTAAGTGTACAGTTCAGTAGTGTTAAGTATATTCATATTGTTGTCCAACAGATTTCTATAACTTTTTCATCACGCAGCACTGAATCGCTATACCCACTAAACACAAGTTCTCCCTCCTACCTCCTCTGGGCCCTTGGGAACCACCTTTCTACTTTCTATGATTTTGACTACTTTAGACACTTCATATGAGTGGAATCATACAGTATTTGTCCTTTTGTGACTTTTATTGTATACTTTTATTTCACTTAGCATAATGTCCTTGAGGTGCAACCACGTTGTAGTATGTGACAAGTTTTCCTTCTTTATTAAGGCTGTATAATATTCCATTGTTAATTTCATTCTTTTTAACGGCAACATATTTCATTGTATGAAAGGCTAGTAACTTTTTATTTCAAATTAGTCTTCATTATCAGTGTTTAAGATGTTCCAAGTTTACTTCTAATACAAGAAATAGAAGAACTGCTAGACCCAAGAACATATTTAATTATGATTCAGACATTATGACAAAATAAATTCTCCATAAGTGAACAAACACAAATCAAGAAGAGTAGGTTTTTCTTTCACCTTTCTTTTTAACTTTGCCAATGAAAACTCTCTCATTTTTAATGGTAATTTTTTTGTTGTTTTTTGTTTGTTTGTTTTTGAGACAAGTCTTGCTCTGTCGCCCAGGCTGGAGTGCAGTGGCATGATCTTGGCTCACTGCAACCTCTCCCTCTTGGGTTCAAGCAATTCTCGTGCCTCAGCCTCCCAAGTAGCTGGGATTACAGGCATGAGCCACCGCGCCTGGCTGAATTGTAGTTCTTAAATTATAAGTAAGATTGAGCATTTTCTCACATTTGTTGGCATTTGCATTTTTTCCTAAATGATCCCTAACCTTTTAAATTTTTCTGTTATGTGTACTTTCTGTTGATTTATAAGAACACTGTGCAAATTAAGGCAAGTGGATCCCTGTTCTACGAATAACTGTGTGTCATGCTTAGAAAAATCTTGGCCATTTTAGATTATTTTAAAAGTTCACCCATCTTTTCTCAATACTTTTAATGGACTCCTTTTTAACCCATTTTATCACGGTTAAATACTGGATCTACACATTACTTATTTTAATGGAAAGGGTGTGGAGCAAACTTCAAAGAAAGCCTACTGACAACTTACAATTTGGATATCAGTATCCCAAGGGAGAGTGACGGTCCTCCCCAAAACTACAACATCTAACATTTATGAACTCATACTGTGGGCCAGCCACTGTTCCAAGCGCAAAATCCTATAAAAGAGATCCTAGGGATTATCCCATTTTACAGATGTACAAACTAAACAACAGACAGATGAAGTAACTGATCAAGGGCACACCACCAGTAAATGGCTGAGAACATACCGGAACTCAGGCTTCCTATCATTAGAACTGGCTCTTAACTTCTCAGCTACACCGCCTCTGAACTATATGCACAAAAAAGCCTAAAAAATCCACACCAAAAATATGTTTAAATTAATTCTCAGTAGAAAGCAGGTTTGTCCTTTTCCTCCCATCAAATACTTCAAGTAGCTTAAGTCCTAAATCTTTTTTTTTTTTTTTTCTTGAGACAGATTCTCGCTCTGTTGTCCAGGCTAGAGTGCCATGGCAGCTCGGCTCACTGCAACCTCCACCTCCTGGGTTCAAGCAATTCTCCTGCCTCAGTCTCCCAAGTAGCTGGGATTACAGGTGCACGCCACCACGCCCAGCTAATTTTTGTATTTTCAGTAGAGGCGGGGGTTTCACCATGTTGCCCAGGTTGGTCTCGAACTCCTGACCTCAGGTGATCCACCCGCCTCCGCCTCTCAAAGTGCTGGGATTACAGGCATGAGCCACCGCACCTGGCCCAGTGTTTCTTTTTTCTTTTCTTTTCTTTTTTTATTTTTTTGAGACAAGGTCTTGCTCTGTTGCCCAGGCTGGAGTGCAATGGTGCATTGTCATCTCACTGAAACCTCCATTTCCCAGGTTCAAGCGATTCTCCTGCTTCAACCTCCCGCCATCATGCCGGGCTAACTTTTTTGTATTTTGTAGAGACGGGGTTTCACCACGTTGGCCAGGCCGGTCTTTGAATTTCTGACCTCAGGTGATCCACCCGCCTCGGCCTCCCAAAGTGCTGGGATTACAGGCATGAGCCACTGCGCCCGGCCCCAGTGTTTCTTTTCTGGGCAGTATCACTGCCTGCCCCAGGGGTCAGGTGCATCCTTGGTAGTAAAGGCAGGGGCAGTGTTTTCACAAAGACTGGTGAGTGCTATTGGCATCTGGGGGTAAGTTAAATATCAGCTTTGCACAGGACTCTCTAATTGTTTTACAAACATCAAAAAAGGAGAATGAAATGCTAAGAAGAGAAGAAGAGGGCTTTCTCTCTCTTTTTTTTTCATGTCTTTTGTCATGTCACCCAGGCTGGGTTGCAGTGGTACAATCATGGCTCACTGCAGCTTCAACTTCCCAGCCTCAGGTGATCCTCCCACCTCAGCCTACAGAGTAGCTAGCACTACAAGTGCACGCCACCACGCCCATCTAATGTTTGTATTTTTTTGTAGAGATGGGGTTTCACTATGTTGCCCAGGCTGGTATCGAATTCTTGGGCTCAAGTAATCCGCCCACCTCGGCCTCCCAAAGTACTGGGATTACAAGCAAGAGCCACCTCCCCACCAGTTGCCAGTTCTCTCTAATAATCAGAGAATACCCTCAAGCAATCCATAATGAAAGGCAAATGAAATGAGCATTGGTGTTCCTCTCAAGCCCTGGGTCCAGCTATCTGCCACACCCCTCTGCAAGAAAAAAAAAAAGAAGTCAGAGACTCAGCCCTGCTGGAACTCTTGCTTCCAAAAAATATGCAATCGGCCAGGCACGGTGGCTCACGCCTGTAATCCCAGCACTTTGGGGAGGCCAAGGCGGGTGGATCACGAGGTCAAGAGATCGAGACCATCCTGGCCAACATGGTGAAACCCCATCTCTACTAAAAATACAAAAAATTAGCTGGGCGTGGTGGCGCGCGCCTGTAGTCCCAGCTGCTCAGGAGGCTGAGGTAGGAGACTCACTTGAACCCGGGAGGCAGAGATTGCAGTGAGCAGAGATCGCACCACTGCACTCCAGCCTGGGCGACAGAGTAAGACTCTGTCTCAAAAAAAAAAAAAAAAAAAGAAAAGAAAAAAGAAAAATTGCAATCCCGTGGCAACCCTCATTCCTCCCCGCCCCCCATCATAAGGAAATAATTTACAGCTTCATGCTTTTCAAAGCCTCCAGCCAGAAGCCGCTGCTAGGCAAAATGATTTGCATAAAGTGCCTCATTTAAATGGCTTCATACCCCTTACTCAGCAACCTGCAACTTCCGCCAACTACACTAACGGTGAGATAGTACACTCTTAGAAACCGCTTTCTGTTAAATTCTATCATCCACGCATAGAGCAGAACTTTCTGGAAAATAACTTAAACAACTGCTTGAGAGTTTAAGAGAAGGAAGGGAACAAAAAGTTTAAACAGATTTTATTACAACAAAATACAGTATAAAACCCCAATCCAGAGCCAGGCATGGTGGCGCATGCCTGTAATCCCAGCATTTGGGAGGCTGATGCAGGTGGATTGCCTGAGGTCAGGAGTTCCAGACCAGCCTGACCAACGTGGCAAAACCCGATCTCTACTAAAATACAAAAATTTGCTGGGCGTGATGGCAGGCACCTGTAATCCCACTACTTGGGAGGCTGAGGCAGGAGAATAGCTTGAACCCTGGAGACAGAGGGTAGAGGTTGCAGTGAACTGAGATCCTGCCACTACACTCCAGCCTGAGCCACAGAGCAAGACTTCATCTCAAAAAAAAAAAAAAAAAAAACCCAATCCGAGATTCAAATAATCAAATCATAAGACTGTGTTTAAAATCCATAGCTATGAGCTCTTTGTTGAACTGCTCTGCACAGACAGCAGATTATCTTTGGGAAAAGCCCAACATCCACTCATTCACGCTCTCGTCATTTACCAAAGGCCAAGTGTGTACTGGGCATTGGAAAATAGCAAAGGCTAGGAGAGCACAGGGGTAGTACCTGCTGTGAGCTGACTAGCTGTGTGGCCTTGGAAGATACCCTGTGCTCCAGGACCTGTTTCCTGAAAAAAACTTATTAGGTGGATATGCCACTGCCTTAAGGATCCTTCTAGCTCCAGAATTAGACTGTGACTTCCCAGATTCTCACAACCCCATGGACAGCCCATAAGCCATCTGAGAATGGCAACGCAGGACCCGGAGCAACGGGCATTACGCCCATCAGAAACCTCATCAGCAGCTGTGAGACTTTCTCTGGCTGGCTGCCAACCAAAGACTTCCCACAATGGTTCTAATTTCAAACTGCCTGACCATTATCCTTAAAAACTATTGGAGTGTGCTAAAAGGTCTGATATTTTGGCTTCTTAGTGAAATTTCTCATACCCAGAGGCACAATCCCCCTTGTCAGCATGCCCCCAATTTTCAGTTTATGGTTTGGGTGAACACTGGGATTCTTTTTTTTTTTTTTTTTCATGTCACATGGGTAATGTACCAACGACATGACAAGATTTAAGGGAGGCACATCTCACAGACAAGCATGAAAACCCAATCATCATGCTTATGAACTAAAAAGGAAACTGGATTCTTACAATCAGAAACAGGAATATCAACCAAATTGTGGTACCCTATGAGCCAGGAGCCACAGACCATGCCCACCTTCCACTCCGCCTCTTTTAACTTTATTATACAAAAATAGCTGTATCCCTCCCCAGGATACAGGCAAGTCACTACAGCCTTGAGAAGCCAGCAGGAAGAAGAATTAAACCAGATCTCCCTAAGGGTGAAGTAGAGCTGCCTTCAAAGATAGGAAGTTCCTGCCTCTGGAGTTGTTTGTTTATTATGGTACAAGAAATCGAGCACAATTGGGTCAGAAGAACAGAAGACCCTTCCAGCGCCAATTTTCTGGGAGGTGGTCCAAAGGAAGTCAGTGGGGCCAGCTCTCTCCCTCAGACAGCTAACAGGAGCAAGGCTTGGTCAGCCTTCCTGAAGCTCTGCAAGTCCAAGGCTTCTGAGCTATTTATTCTATACTTACTTTGAAAACACAAAATTGCTCCAACAGGATGGATATGTTACGGAACAATTAGGCATAATAGGATGTGCATTTCTGTCTACTGAGAAACACCAGGTAGAAAACTGCACCAAGCTGAATTGAGCTTCGTGGTAATACACAAAAAATGCACACAGCTCAGCTCAACAAGTGCACTGAGTCACACCAAACACATTTGATGTTACAACTTTCCATCCAATTCCAGATAACCTTCCTCCCACTGCTTCTCAACTGCTCAAAAGCCTAACTCTCCAAACCCATTTCCACAAGGTAATTTGAAGACTTTTTCAAATAAAATGCCAAATTTACCATAGTAGTTATGTATTTCTTAACCATTTAACATTTATAAAACTATATCATTTTTATTCAGTTCCTTTTTTCAGATGTGTCACTGACAAAGTTTTAGAATATTGTGCCCTTAACCAAATTTTCCCCGTGAGACCTGTGGTTTCATTGTGCAGTTCTGCTTAATGTGGTAATTTTTAGAATGCGTATGTCATGTTGTATTGTAGCAGAACTATTTCCAGGGCTCTAGTGTAGAGTATTTACATTCATTCTTAAAAATTACACTAAATGTCCAAAAGGAAAATAAAATAAACATTTGTATGATTAATTAAATCATATAAACAGGTATCCCTCTGCTGCCCAGGCTGGAGTGCAATGGCAAGATCATGGCTCACTGCAGTCTCGACCTCCTCAGCCTGGCTCAAGTGATCCTCCCACCTCATCCCCCTGCCGAGCAGCCGGGACTACAGGTGCATGCCACCATGCCTGAATAATTTTTTGATATTTTGTAGAGATGAGTTCTCACTATTTTGCCCAGGCTAGTCTTGAACTCCTGGGCTCAAGTGATCCGCCCACCTCAGTCCCCAAAAAGTGCTGGGATTATAGGCATGAGCCACTGTGCTCGGCCGTGTATTTCTGTAAAGCATAAAATATTGTTTTTAAGTTAGTTTTCATATCATGTTACTTAATTCATCATTTCAAGATTAAATCAGTATCTAGTAAATTGATCTGCCTACCTAGCGATTGGTTTCCATCACTAATGATAAAAGTTTTGATGCTTCTCCCTTTTTCAAGGTGCTACATACTATAATCCTTAGAACATCTTAAGAAATAAAAAGGCAAGGCTGGGCACAGTGGCTCACACCTGTAATCTCAGCACTTTGGGAGGCCAAGGTGGGCGGATCACGAGGTCAGGAGATCGAGACCATCCTGGCCAACACAATGAAACCCCATCTCTACTAAAAATACAAAAATTAGCCAGGCATGGTGGCACGTGCCTGTAATCCCAGCTACTCGGGAGGCTGAGGCAGGAGAATTGCCTGAACCCAGGAGTCGGAGGTTGCAGTGAGCCAAAATCGCGCCACTGCACTTCAACCTGGTGACAGAGCAAGACTCCGTCTCAAATAATAATAAGAAGAAGAAATAAAAAGGCATATAAACACAGTGAAAAATATTCAATTAGCCCTCTCCTCAAAAAAAGATAAGAACAAAGAACAGAAGAGGAAATGAGCCAGGTTTCAGTTACTTGGTAGGCTGAGGCAGGAGGATCACCTGAGCAAAGGAGTTTGAGGCTGCAGTGAGCTATGATTGCACCTCTGCACCCCAGCCTGGGTGACAGGGTGAGAACCCATCGCTAAAAAATAATTAATAGGAATAAAAAAAAGAAGGGGAAATGAAATGGAAACTGATCAACAATTTATAGCCTTAAACTCAAACATATGAGTAATTACATTAAATGTAAATGATCCAAGCATCCAATTAAATGACAAAGATTGGCTGGGTACAATGGCTCACACATGTAATCCCAGCACTTTGGGAGGCCAAGGCAGGAGGATCACTTGGAGCCCAGGAGTTTGAGACCAGCCTGGGCAACATAGTAAGACCGTGTCTCCACAAAAGAGAATTAAAAAAAAAAAAATCCATGTCAGGTGATGCATATCTGTAGTCCTAGCTCCTTGGGAAGCTGAGGTAGGAGGATCACTTGAGCCCAGGGCATTGAAGGTATAGTGAGCTGTGAACGTATCACTGCACTCCAGCCTGGGCAATGGAACAAGATCCCATCTGAAAACACAACAAAACAAAAAAAGTGAAACAAAACAAAAAGGCAAAGATTGTCAGATTGGATTAAAAAGCAAGAAAGACCCAGTTCTATCACGTCTATAAAAAGCATACTTTTAAGTATAAAGACAGATTAGTTGAAAGCCAAAAGGGTGGTATGGCTATATTAGTATCTACCAAATACTAAAAAAAAGACCCTTTTAGAAAAATAGGTCAGGTGTGGTGGCTCACACCTGTAATCCCAGCACTTTGGGAGGCCAAGGTGGGTGGATCATTTGAGGTCAGGAGTTCGAGACCAGCCTGGTCAACATGGCGAAATCCCATTTTTACTAAAAATACAAAAATTAGGCCAGGCGCAGTGGCTCACGCCTATAATCCCAGCATTTGGGAGGCGAGGCGGGTGGATCACGAGGTCAAGAGTTTGAGACCAGCCTGGCCAATATGGTGAAAGCTTGTCTCTACTAAAAATACAAAAATTAGCCAAGTGTAGTGGCATGCGCCTGTAGTTCCAGCTACTCGGGAGGCTGAGGCAGGAGAATCACTTGAACCCAGGAGGCGGAGGTTGCAGTGAGCCAAGATCTCACCACTGCACTCCAACCTGGGTGACAGAGTGAGACTCCATCTAAAAAAAATATATAACATAAAAAAAGTAACCGGGCGTGGTGACACATGCCTGTAATCCCAGCTACTCCAGAGGCTGAGACATGAGAATTGCTTGAACTTGGGAGACAGTGGTTGCAGTGAGCCAAGATCAGGCCTCTGCATTCCAGCCTAAATGACAGAGCAAGACTGCATCTCAAAATGTTACACATTGTTACATTTCTTCCCTGCTATACAAACCTCTAGTTTTAGTAGGTCAGGGAGACAGATTTGACACTGAGCTCCTATCTCCCTGGCTGCAGCACCCGATTAAAGCCTTCTTCCTTGGCAATCCTTGTCGATCTCAGTCGTGGGCTTTTTGTGTGCTGAGCAGCAGGACCTAGAGAGAACCCCTGGTCTTTAGGCAACATTCATAAGTTCAAGAGTCCCAGGGGGTGGCCCCTTCATTCTTGCTCCTTTAGTTCTACAATTATTTTTTAAACATACCTAATTCCCTATAGTAAATCTTCTTCTTTTTAAAATACCTAGAGTGATGTTGGCTTCCTACACTGAACCCTGACACACTGCATCACCACTTTACAG
Organism: Homo sapiens; assembly: GCF_000001405.40. Taxonomy (NCBI): domain Eukaryota; kingdom Metazoa; phylum Chordata; class Mammalia; order Primates; family Hominidae; genus Homo; species Homo sapiens. Next base: position 80,243,307 of record NC_000005.10, read on the forward strand.
ATAAAAAAAGACTCTTACATAAAACATCTGATTTGCATCCCTTCAACAATCACTAATATTGTTAAAGGGGATTTTATCTCTTTAACAACATTAGGGAGACAAGACAGGAATTTCCCCTACTTAACAAGAAAATTTAAGAACTAGGAACAGTAGTGAGCTCCCCAGCACTGGACAGATTCAAACACAGATGCACACTGAAGAGGGGCATTAAAAAGGACATCTAAGCTTCAGATGGGTCATTAAAAAAAAACAGATGCCTTTTAAGGTATCTTCCAAGAGTTTCTGTGGTTCCATAACCTGCCTCAAAAATCAAGCAAGGCTGGGCATGGTGGCTCACACCTGTAATTCTAACACTTTGAGAGGCCAAGGCAGGAGGATTGCTTAAGCCCAGGAGTTTGGGACCAGCCTGGGCAACATAGTGAGAGCCTGTCTCTATTTAAATAAATAAATAAATAAATAAATAAATAAATAAATAAATAAAACAAAATAAAATAAGCAAGCAGCAAAACCTGGATCTCTCCAGAACCAGACTTGCCTCTACAGAATTTTTCAAAGAACTGAATCCCAGTTGATGAGATTCCACAAACTTTCATAGAAAAAGTAGACGGTGGGGGAGCACAGAAAGTGGGGGATTTCTCTGAAGAAAAAAGGGGATGGAGGGCTACCCTTGGACTCGATTTTGGCAGAACTTAAAGAATAGTTAAACTTCAGCATCCTGCAATTTGGGGGCAGGAAGCTGTTTTCCTACTACCATCCTTTTAGGCCCAGCCCAGACCTCTTTAGGCTCTTAATCTGTGCTTCCTTTTATCTTAAAAGATAATAACCTCCCCTCCCTGGCTTCAGTTCCTCAGCTCCCCAGCATTTCTCTACCTTCTGCTGCCTGGAAACTGAGGCTGCCAAAACCCCCAAGCACTTTTTTTTTTTTTTGAGATGGGGTCTCGTTCTGTCACCCAGGCTGGAGTGCAATGGCACGATCTCGGCTCACTGCAACCTCTGCCTCTCAGGTTTAAGCGATTCTCCAGCCTCAACCTCCTGAGTAGCTGGGATTACAGATGTCTGCCACCAGGCCTGGCTAATTTTTGTATTTTTAGTAGAGATGGGGTTTTACCACGTTGGTCAAGCTGGTCTCAAACTCCTGACCTCAAGTGATACGCTGCCTCAGCCCCCCAAAGTGCTGGGATTACAGACAGGAGCCACCACACCTGGCCTTACTCTTTTTTTTATTTTTGGAAACATGGTCTCGGCCGGGCACAGTGGCTCACGTCTGTAATCCCAGCACTTTGGGAGGCTGAGGCGGGTTGATCAGGAGTTCGAGATCAGCCTGACCAACATGAAGGAACCCCATCTCTACTAAAAAATACAAAAATTAGCCGGGCCTAGTGGCATGCGCCCGTAATCCCAGCTACTCGGGAGGCTGAGGCAGGAGAAACGCTTGAACCCAGAAGGCAGAGGTTGCAGTGAGCTGAGATCGTGCCATTGCACTCCAGCCTGGGTGACAAAGCGAGACTCCGTCTCAAAAAAACAAAAACAAACAAAAAAAGAAACATGGTCTCACTCTGCCGCCCAAGCTGGAGTGTCGCAGATCAAAACTCATCCAGCCTCGACCTCCTGGGCTCAAGCGATCCTCCCACCTCAGCCTCCAGACAAGCCAGCACTCTCAAAAAATCCACAGGCACTGATCTTCGATCTTCCTCTCTCACTTGACTTCAAGTTGTCGTCTGACCAGGCCAGTTGGCTCCACACCTCTCCCCACCCTCCAGGCAGGCTCTACCTTCACTTAATTTCCTTTATTTCCCTGTTGGCTACAGGGAATGTGTGCCTTTTGAATTGGAGATGTTTCTCAAGGTTCCAAGGTTAGGCTTTCCTTCTCGTACTACAGCTGTTTTTTCCTGAGGTGAGATTTCCTTGAGAAGCTGAGAAATGATGGGGACTTTCTTCTTGGAAAAGTGTTCAGGACATAAACAACACAACTGTGTGTGCAACTGCAGGATTGCATGGATCTCTAGAGCCCATTCAGGAAAGAGGACCCACTCTCCCCGTGCTCCCCTGCATGGGCTCATCCACTTCTGGGGGCAAATGTCCCTGCCAAGGGACCCCCAGCTTCTACTCCTTTTCCAAAAGATAAAAGGTGCAAAGCTGAGGCAAACAAACCCTCAATCCAGTCTGTGAAGAAGCACTGGCCCAGGCACAGTCTCATAGGCTAGCAAATTCAGCATCTATTCACAAGTCACTCCCAAGCACAAGCAGGGCTAGCTACATACAGCCTCTGAACTTCATTATTCTAGGCACCCAGTGAATATTTATTTTTTTTTATTTTTTATTTTTTGAGACTGAGTCTCACTCTGTTGCCCAGGCTGGAGTGCAATGGCATGATCTCAGCTCACTACAACCTCAGCCTCCCATGTTCATGCAATTCTCGTGCCTCAGCCTCCTGAGTATCTGGGATTACAGGCATGTGCTATCATGCCTGGCTAATTTTTGTATTTTTAGTAGAGACGGGGCTTCACCATGTTGGCCAGGCTGGTGTCCAACTCCTGACCTCAGGTGATCCACCCGCCTCAGCCCCAAAAAATGCTGGGATTACAGGTGTGAGCCACCACACCTGGCCCCAGAGAATATTTATCAATTGACATTTTACTTTAGGGATTGTCAGCTCTTTAAAAAAAAAAAAAAAAAAAAAAGAGTAACAGCTAACAAAATAAGTCCAACAAAGTCCTAGAGTCCTTAGGGATAAGGCTAGCAAAGCTAAAGAAAAATTACCACTATAGAATCCTATTAGAGCAAACAGTTTCATTACTATGGAAACAAAATACTGCCATTGTTTCTGAGAATGGCAGTGGAGGAGATCAATGAGCATGGAATCAAGAACAAAAGACTGAATTCCTCCCTAGTTGGGGTGAACCACACTCACCAAGGATCAAAGCATTAGGAAATCAGCCCTCCATTAAATTGCTGAGACATAATGTGAGTGCAAAAACAAAACAAAACAAAACAAAAAAATGGAAAAGGCATTCCACAAAGACCTCATGAATTTTGTTTCAAAATGCACTTAGCTAGTTTATAAAAAAATGATACTTAAACACAAGTCTGATTTTCCCATCTTCGCTAGTTATCTTTTCATAAATAAGATTTAAGGGGTTATGCATGTGTTTTTCCTACTTTTGTTTTGACTACACAGTTTTCATGAGAGAGTGAAAATGCTGTCTAATCACTATATACTGTAACCTTACTTCAAAAACCCACAAATTGTTTCAAAATTTACTCTCTGATAAAAACCCACTAAGTCTTTCCACAACAGCTGCTTTCCTTAAACATCAGCAATTTTAATCTCACAAGGCAAACTACGGAAGAAAAGCCAAAAGTAAAATCCTGCTTCCCTTTAAAATTCAAACAGATGTTCTGTGTAATCACACCAACTCAGTATTTGAATTTCCTACTGCCCTATACTGACTCTCAGATTAAGTTCTAAAATGTTTTGAAATATCATTAATATATAAGCTAGAAGAATATGGGGATATTCTCACTGTAAATGTTTTAAAATACATTTTAAGCAGGGCAGCAAAGGTTTACTCTGGGCTACTTGGGATGCCTAATATTTGGGAACAATCACAGTGATTTAGAGAGGTAACTTGATTGATACTGTTCTCAGGATCCAATCATAACCCTAAATTCAACTGCAAACAGCAATATGTAAAATTCACCAACAATGCGGCTTGACTCAGAACACTAAGAAAACACTGGGTCTTTACAATTAGGCAGGTATGGCCACTTAAAGTACTAAAAATAGCTTGGTCAAAGAATTACATCCAATGGCTAGTTCTGTAGACATATCAGCTTATATGAAGACTTCCTTTTTAACATCAAGTTATCACAGATGATCTGGCCACATACTGCTCTGAAATAAAAGTAGACAATGCCATAATTACTGCAGTGCCCTTTCTGAGGCTCTAACTGGTGACTACATTAAAATACCTGGAAAACTGGAAAGTAAAGCTTCCGTGTCTCATAGTCACTCCCAGATACTCAGTATCTGTGGGAAATCTACAGCCTCTATACAGAAAACGAGGGCGGAAAGCAAGCAATGGGGAAGGGGGTGTTACCTTTTATTTAATTAGCACAGAGAGATGAGTCAGAGGCTGCCTTCCACGCCTACAGACTGGCCTCTCCTCAACCGTGCCTACAAAGTCAGACTTGCTGCAGTCCAAAGCTATTTGTCAGCTGGACAGGTCAGCTACAGAGCTGCCCAAGAAAACATATTTGAATGAGCAACCATCAAGCAACTCTCCAACTAAGAGTGCAACCTTCACTCTCCATACTGTTCAAGGTAAGTGACAGAGGATTACCTGACAACCTGAATTTAGCTACACTACACAAAGACACTCCTAAGCCACCCTTCCTGTATCAGCTCACCAGTGAGCTATACAGAGTAGTCCCTCCTTACCCAAGGAGGATGTGTTCCAAGATCCCCAGTGGATGCCTGAAAGTGTGGATAGTACCCAACCCCATATATACTGTGTTTTTTCCTGTATATACATACCTATGAGAAAGTTTTGTTGTTTAAGACAGGGTCTCACTCTGTCACCCAGGCTGGAGTGCAGTGACACAACCATGGCTCACTGCAGCCTCGACCTCCCTGGGCTCAGGTGATCCTCCCACCTCAGCCTCCCAAGTAGCTGGGACTATATAGGCACACACACCACCATGCCCTGGCTAATTTTTGTTTTTTGTAGAGACAGGGTTTCTCCATGTTGCCCAGGCTGGTCTCTAACTCCTGGGCTCAAGTGATCCACCCACCTCAGCCTCTGAAAGTGCTGGGATTACAGGCATGAGCCACCTTGCCTGGCCTCATGATGAAGTTTAATTTCTAAATTAGGCACAGTTAAGAGATTAACAACAATAAGAAATAATAAAATCAAACTCTTATGACACTATGCCAACATCACTACTCTTGCGCTTTGGGGCCACTAAGTCAAATATAGGTGACTTGAACGACTTGAACACAAAGACTGCAATTCTGCGACAGTGGATCTGATAACCGAGATGGCTCCTAAGTGACTAAGGGGTGAGGAGCATAGGTAGACAGCTAGACAGCATGGAGATGCTGGCCAGAATTGATTCACATCCCGGTGGGATGGAGTGAGGTTTCATCACACTATTCAGAACAGGGCATAATTTAAACCTGTGAATTGTTTATTTCTGGAATTTTCCACTTAATATTTTCATACCCCAATAGACCTCAGGTAACTGAAACCACAGAAAGCAAAACTGCAAGTAAAGGGGTACTACCGTATTTAGCCAACATCAACCAAAACACCACCTTGACAGAACAATTATAGGGCACTTTACTGCATTGTGCCCACATCTTTATAAAGATGAACAGGAAAATAAAAGTGCCAGTGCTAGTGATAAGAAACACAGGCCTCAATGTTAATGCAGTGGAAGCAAAGATGGCCACCATCATACAGCAGGAAAACAGTGACTCAACCACCATTTGGACAGACGTTATCTGTGAAAGTAATTGTAAAAAGAAAAGGTCAAAGTTAAAGAAAATGTTGAAAATGACAGAAATATATTGTCAATGATGCCATCTAACAGAGATGAAATTAGGGATTTTTTTTCATTACTTTTGTCCTTTTGGGAATAGAAACACACCCAAACCTCTTAATGCAAAAGCTCATTAAGTGACTTTCACACATTCAACATTAACACCTCTGAAGAAACCATCAGGCCGGGTACGGTGGCTCACGCCTGTAATCCCAGCACTTTGGGAGGCCAAGGCGGGTGGATCACGAGGTCAGGAGATCGAGACCATCCTGACTAACATGGTGAAACCCCGTCTCTACTAAAAATACAAAAAAATTAGCCGGGCGTGGTGATGGGTGCCTGTAGTCCCAGCTACTCGGGAGGCTGAGGCGGGAGAATGGTGTGAACCTGGGAGGCGGAGCTTGCAGTGAGCCGAGATCGCACCACTGCACTCCAGCCTGGGCAACACAGCGAGACTCTGTCTCCAAAAAAAAAAAGAAACCATCAAGTTTGAAGGTAGAAGACTATCTACATATGAATGTAAACCCAGAAAACATTAACAGCTACAATAAGTGGTGGGTGCATGTTAAAAAAAACTTTATCAGTCACCTCATAATTATGCAAAAAGAGTGGGATCAAATACAGCACTTCCAACAAAATCCCAACTTTGCAAAGTAAAATTATAAATATCGGCCGGGCACAGTGGCTCAGTCCTGTAATACCAGCACTTTGGGAGGCTGAGGCGGGCAGATCACCTGAGATCAGGAGTTCAAGACCAGCCTAGCCAACATGGGGAAACCCCATCTCTACTAAAAACACAAAATTAGCTGGGCGTGGTGGCGGGCACCTGTAATCCCAGCTACTCAGGAGACTGAGGCAGGAGAACTGCTTGAACCTGGGAGGCGGAGGTTGCAGTGAGCCAAGATCACGCCATTGCACTCCAGCCTCGGCAACAAGAGCGAAAACTCTGTCTCAAAAATAAAAAAAAATAAAATAATAAATATTAAATATAAGTAACTGACTATAAAGCATCAAAATGTGGTTCTCTCTGGGTAATGATATGTGTGATTTCCCTCTGTTTCACAAATACTTCCCACATTGTTCAAAAAAGTATCATCATGGAAATAATGAATTTTTGTAATTGGATCCCTTCCAGTGGAAGCACCATGTAATATAATGAGGACCTAACATTTCCAATCACTATAAACAAAGAGCAATAGGGAACAAGAGTTCTGTAACCAAAAGAGCTCAACAGGGGGTTCAGCTAGGTCACAATAAGTGCTCTGCTTATAAGAAGAGAGGAAACATCCTTGCAGTAGCCAGGATTTAATTCCAATGCATCAGATGACCCAGTACTAAGTGGTGCAATCAAGTCCACGAAGCAGAAATTCTGTGAGGACTCTCAAAACAAGAGAAAGATCATTACTGAGGAAACATTAATTGAGCTGGGACCTCAAAGTAGAGATTTGGGTTTTACAGTGAAGAAGGAAGGACATTTTGGGGGAAACATCATCATTATTATTATTTTTTGAAACGGAGTCTCGCTGTCTTGCCCAAGCTGGAGTGAAGTGCCATGATCTTGGCTCACAGCAACTTCAGCCTCCCAGGTTCAAGCGACTCTCCTGCCTCAGCCTCCTGAGTAGCTGGGATTACAGGCATATGCCATCACGCCCAGTTAATTTTTATATTTTTAGTAGAGACAGGGTTTCGCCATGTTGGCCAGGCTGGTCTCGAACTCCGCCCACCTGAGCCTCCCAAAGTGCTGGGATTATAGGCGTGAGCCACCATGCCCGGCCTGGAATCATCATTATTGTATGTGGTGTGTAATTTATTTTTTAAATAAGTCTTCTTCATGGACTCTGTGTATGTGGGTGTGTGTTTTAAGCTGCATTATAGGGGCATCAGTTGCCCTGATAAGACCCCTATTCCAGCAAACATTTAATCAAAGGCCACACAGCTGGCCTAATTGCATTTACAGCGACCAACCCTTTGTAACTTTTCACTTTCCTGACTCTTGAGCCACCGCTCACTCCCCTCCTTACTCCCTTATGCTCACTTTAAAAGGCCTAGTCACCTCTGCACAAAATCGAATGGAGCTCAGCTCTTTCCCCTACAGTCAATAGTTACTGAATAAACGTGTTTTTACTGCTTTAACTAATGTCCCGCTTTGTTTATCTTTGATGATGGATAGTTCCTGGTGGCATTCAAGGCTTTGTTAATTAACATAACGGACATCAGAAATGAGTTTTACTAGCCTGGGCAGCAAAGCCAGACCCAGTCTCTACAAAAATTTTTAAAAACTGGCCAGGCATGGTAGAACGCACCTGTAGTCCCAGCTACTTGGGAGGCTGAAGCAGAAAGATTGCTTGACCCCAGGAGTTGGAGGCTGCAGTGAGCTATGATTGAGCCACTGCAATCCAGCCTGGGCAAGAGCTAGATCCCATCTTTAAATACATACATGCATACATACATACATACATACATACATACATACATACATACATACATGGGTTTTCATTGAGGAAAATCTTGGTGATCTAGAAATAGGATCTGGCTGGAAATACCTGGGCCTGGGCATTCCTGCCTTGCATAAACTGGCTATAAAGATAGAGTGAATAGGGCCGGCGCAGTAGCTCATGCCTGTAATCCCAGCACTTTGGGAGGCAGAGGCGGGCGGGTCACCTGAGGTCAGGAGTTCGAGACCAGCCTGGCCAAGATGACAAAACCCCATCTCTACTGAAAATGCAAAAATTAGCCAGATGTAGTGGCAAGTGCCTGTAATCCCAGCTATTCAGGAGGCTGAGGCAGGAGAATCGCTTGGACCCGGGAGGCGGAGGTTGCAGGGAGCCAAGATTGCGCCACTGCACTCCAGCCTGGGTGACAGAATGAGACGCTGTCTCAAAAAAAAAAAAAAAAAGACAGAGTGAACCTTTACTCAGAATGGCAACCACAGGCTTGATCCTCCTGGTGCAATAGTCTTGGCTGCCCACCAACCAGACATTAGCTGAGTCTTGCCTACTAGAATGTTGGCGCATCTGCCTCGGGTGAACTTTTCAGGCAAGAAGCCTATTAATTTCAGCATTATTATTGTCATAAATGCCTATACTTGCCTGCAGCAAGCCCTCCCAATCCCTATTGTCAAACTGCCTTGGAAAGGTTGTCTAGATTTTCCAAGCACACACCTCACTTCCGCTCTGACAGTGAGCACTGTCATTTTCTTTTCTTTTCCTTTTTTTTTTTTTTTTTTTTTTGAGACAGCGTCTCACTCTGTTGCTCAGGCTAGGGTGCAGTGCTCAATATCAGCTCACTGCAACCTGCACCTTCCAAGTTCAAGTGATTCTGGTGCCTCAGCCTCCCAAGTAGCTGGGAATACAGGTCGTGCACCATCACGCCTGGCTAATTTTTGTTTTAGTAGAGACAGGGTTTCACCATGTTGCCCAGGCTGGTCTCGAACTCCTGGCCTCAAGCGATCCACCTGCCTCGGCCTCCCAAAGTGCTGGGATTACAGGCAAGAGCCACCATGCCCAGCCTGCACTGTCATTTTCTGTAGCTAACTTCCCCCAACACTCCCACCTCCACATAGCCCTTAAGTTAAAGGAGAACAAGGAAGCCCTGTGTTCATTACCGTGTCTCTAGGGGCCTAGCACAGAACTTTGAACCCATAAAGTGTTGAGTGACCACTCCCCTGTAATCTCTACTTTCTTAGCATCCATTAGCCAACAGCCTAAGCAAAACCAAAGTGAATATCAGAGTAGATACAAAAATAAAATAAGCTGATCTGGATATTATCCTGATGCAGATGGGTAATGGCCACTAATAAGATTTGGGGGGTTCCTCACACTCTGCCAAATCCTATATTACAGACTTTACACTTATCATCACATGTAATTTTCCCAATAACCCTAAGAAGTACCCATTCAATAGTTGAGGTAAAATGAGGTCATAGAGGGTAAGTAACTCATCCAGTCACACCAGTCCTCATTGTCCAGATTTCCAAATTGAAACCCAGGCCTGAGTCCAAAGCCCAGGCTCTTTTATGGGTTACATATTGTTCAGGATGGTCCGCAGTTAAAGAAAGTCACCAAAATGTCTCTCTCCGACCTCAAACTTCTCCCGACCTAAATACCTAATTGGTGACTTGCCATTTCCATTAAATTTATAATAGGCATCTCTAATGTAACGAAGCCAAGAAACTTGGGTTTTCCTCACCAAATGTCCTCTTCCTAACAATTTCCTACTTCACCTCAGTAATGCGATCATCATCTACCCAGTGGCTCAGGCCAGAAACCGAGCCTGTCTCATTCCCACATCCCACTTCTAATCCTTGCTCAAATCCAGTTCTACCTCTGAAATATACCCAAAGCCAATGATGTCCCACTGTACTCACTCCTACAGCCATAGCCTAAATTAAGGTACCACGCTGTCTCCTCCTGGGACTACAGCAACAGCAGATTGCCAGGATTCGAGCTCCATCAGGAAAGGATTTTTGTTCACTGCCGAAGCCTAGAACACTGCTTGCCCCTAAGAGGCAAATATCCACTTAGGTTTTCCTCACCAACTGCTTCATGACCAACTCGAACTGCTTTCCTCACCTCCACTCTAGCCCGTTACAGTCCAGTCTTCACGACATCCCAATTATCTTCTAAGTGCAAATCAAACCACAGCTCGCCCCTGCTCAGAATCCTCCCACAGCCTCTCACTGCAACCAGAATTAAATCCAAAGTCCAAAGGCAGCTGACAGGTTCTGGCCATTTCTGGTCCTGCTCTTCTCTCTGACCTCATCTAAGACACCCCAGCCACCCTAGACTCCCTTGCCTCTCCTCACTGAGCAGTCTCAACTCCACAGGCATCTTCTCAGACTCCCTCGGCAACCCTCCTCAAGGCTGCTTACCACACGGCCTTCTGACAGTACCAGTACCATATTCATTGTTTCATTGTTTACATGTTTATGAATGATCTCCCCTGCCCAGATAGGCCATTGAGAGCAGAGATGCTTGTCTGACTTATGACTATATAGCAGGCTCCTGGCAAAAGGCAGGTGCCCACAGAAACAAACAAGAATTGGTAACTTCTGACGGTGCTGTGAGGTTTTGTTTGCTTTCCTTTCTTTTGAGATGGAGTTTTGCTCTTTTTGCTCATTGCCCAGGCTTGAGTGCAATGGCGTGATCTCAGCTCACCACAACCTCTGCCTCTGGGTTCAAGCGATTCTCCTGCCTTAGCTGTGTAGCTGGGATTACAGGCATGCGTCATCACACCCGGCAATTTTGTGTTTTTAGTAGAGATGAGGTTTCTCCACGTTGGTCAGGCTGGTCTCCAACTCCTGATCTCAGGTGATCCGCCCGCCTCTGCCTCCCAAAGTGCTGGGATTACAGGCATGAGCCACTGCGCCCAGCCTGTTTGCTTTTCTTTTAACTTCCTACCGCCCCATCCACAGGAAATCACAGTGTGATCACCATCACACAGCACTGAGGCCCACCACAGTGATGCCTCCAGCAGGCCTGGGAAAGCAGGGGTTAACTTTGATTTGGTTCTTTCCAAAGTCCTAAGAGGGGAGACTTTAGAAACCTGCTAAAACATCAACAGCAAAATAATTCTTTTACAAAACCCATTTGAATACTGGTAATTACAGAGCTCTAAATTAGGAACTTGGGAATGGCAGAAAGAGCCTCAAGGGGACTTCAAGGGACCAGGACAGATGCCCCTAAAGAGCTGTATCATTACTACGTAATAAAAAGTGTCGCATCATATTGGAGAAAAAGTATTTCAAAACGGGAATAAAAGATTTGCAGAGCTTTCTGAAAACAGTCTTTCCTGGTCCACCTTGTTCTCAAATACCTGGTAAGGTGGTGACCATTCTCATTCTCTTTCTCTCTCTGCCTGACACAGGGAAAAAAAATCATTTCGTCTCAGTCGTCAAAAGCCTCAATTTCCTCAACTCTGAAAAGGCCAGCTTTAATGTATGCCAAGCACAGTATTAGACCTCAAAAACCAAGACAGCTCCACGTGGCCACTCTAAACAGGACAGATTATCTGCCAGTATAATCGCCGGTTACAGAAACCCACAGTTTAACCACTCCATCACTTACAGCTGGCCTCGATTGTGGAAAGGCTGAGTGTCAGCAAGAACACCCCGAACCAGGATGCTCCCTAGAGTCTGATTCGTTCGTGAAAACACTCCATTAAAACTCTGTACCGAAACGCTGATAATCCACATGTAAAGGGAGAAAAGAGCTCCACATCCAAGAGACTCACCTACTTCGTTTTTTCTAACTCTGCAGGAAGGAGTGAAACCAGCATTACAGGGCTAAGACGTACTAATTCTACACTGATGCAGTAACTGGTAGGAGACATAATGTTTTAAGACATCATAGGTTTAAATAGGCGAGAGTTAAAAAACAGGTTCGAACAAGTTTATTTGCAAAGAGAGGCAGGAAGGTTCCAGCCCTACCCAGGCAGTCGTGCTAGTACCGAGCCAGGGTTGGGTCGGGAAATTCAGGAAGCAGGGCTGAGTTTTCCCTTCGCCCAGACCTGCGCCCGGTAGTTTGGAAGTCAGGCTTCGAGACATTCTCAAAGGTACAGAGCCCACGCTCGACTACGAGATGCCAAGCGCAACCTGCCTGGGTTGTTTGACCCGAGTTTTATTCAGGGCATAGCAAAGGAGACGGTGCCTAAACCCACTTTTCTTCCTGGATTCATCCGACAAGCAGAGTGGAGAGGGCTACGGAGCTCAGCGCTATTCACCAGTGCTCGGCGCAAGAGGCGACACGCCCCTGGAGCAGTCGGGATCCTCCGCCCGAGCCCGGCACGCCCCGCTCCACGCGGAGTCCCGGAGGCCGGACGGGAAGACCCCGGGGTAGCCTCTCGGGCTTCCCCCTGCCCCTTCCCGCCCGCCCAGGGCACAGGATTTCCCGGACGGCTGAGCGCCGCGGGGCCAGCCCGAGCGACCCACCCGGGCCCTACGTTCGGCCGCGGAGCTGGGAGCGCACCCAGGCAGGTCCTCCACGCCTGGACTCCTGGCCCGGTTCTCCGATCTGACAACCCCCGCGCTGCGCCCGGCCTCGCTCACCTGGCCCGCACAGCACTGAGCTGACATCGCGGCGGCCAATGCCGAAGGCGCGCTCGCTGGCTCCCCGCGCCGCACGGGCCCTCCTGGCTGCCTCGCGCCTCGAGCGCTGGGCTCAGCCGCAGCTCACACTTGAACGAAGATCAGCCTCGGCGAAGCGCCTAGGCGCCGAGGCCTGGGTAAAAACAACTGCGGCCAAGCCCCGCCCCGCCGCCGGCCCCGCCTCGCCCGCCCCCAGCCCCGCCCCGTGCCCGCCCCTTCCCGGGCGCCCGGCGGCGGAGCAGGCTCGACCCGGGCTCGCACTTCCGCTGGCGTCAGGCGGGTGGGCTGCTGCGATCACTTCCCGGTTGGGGCGCCGAGCTCCGGAGTCGGCCGCCAGCCTTTGGGCCCCACGCTCCGGGTCTGGTGCGCGGTCTGGCCGCGCTCGGGCCCTCGCCAAATGAGAGCGCAGCGCCTCTCCGCCTTCGGATCCAGAGAAAGAGCTTGTTGCTGCCTCTAAAAGGTTGGAGCCTTAGTAAGCGGTTCCTGCCTTTCCTGCACAGACCAGACCGCCGGGTGCTGGTCTGCGCTCTGCCGCGCGCCGACTGGGACAGCCCACCCACGAGATCCTTGTTCCTGAAATCCCTTTCCTTCCCTCATCTGCCAAGAAAACTTTCAACTTTTGGGCTCTCCGCGCCTCCCAAGCTTCCTCGAATCCCTGGGCCCTTGACTGTTCTGCCCTGATGGCACTTGGTGAGAGATCCATTGAGAGCCCTTTCCGTGCCTTCCTGAATATTGATATGTTTTCCAGCCTCTCCTCCTGCGCTGGCCCAAGGACTCATTTTCCGTCCCTGCTTCCTCACTAAAAAGAGGGTGCCCAATAATTGCTTGTTCCATACAGAAGGCAGGGAGGCCGTCTCTAGGTTTTCTCCCACTCAGATCTGCTGTCCTCACAGCCACCTCCCCAAGAGGAATGAAGGTATTTCTTTTTTTTTTTTCTTTTTTTTCTCTGAGACGGAGCTTCACTCTGTCGCCCAGGCTGGAGTGCAGTGACGCGATCTCGGCTCACTGCAACCTCTGCCTCCCGAGTAGCTGGGATTACAGGCGCCTGCCACCACGCCCGGCTAATTTTTTGTATTTTTAGTAGAGACGGGGTTTCACCATCTTGGCCAGGCTGGTCTCGAACTCCTGACCTCAGGTGATCCGCCCGCCTCGGCCTCCCAAAGTGCTGGGATTACAGGCGTGAGCCACCGCGCCCTGCCGGAATGAAGATATTTCTGTTAGTGCGATTTTTGCGCCAATCCCTTTGCTCTTTCAAATAAGCATTACCGTACCCATTTTAGCGGTGAGGCAACTGAAGCCCAGAGAGGTTAAATAACTTGCCCAAAGCCTCACAGCAAAGTTGAGGAAGTAAAACTGGGCCTGGAATCCACTCGTCTGATCCCCTGGCACATGACGCAAGGCTTGACCTTAGAGGGACTCGTTTCCAGACAGAGCTCTGGCAAAGGAGTGTCTTGGGCAGCTTAGGAGTAGAAGAGGAAAGGTGAATGGAAACCAGGCCTTGGGTTATGAGCTGCGCAGGATTTTCCAGCATCTCAGATGCAGGCGTTTAGAGAAAGAGATATAATGGAGCAGGCCCTACTCAGAGCCACGAAAAGGAATGAGGACAGTTGGCTCTAACTCAAAACAAAAATAGGGTAAACCCAATCAGTCAAGCGCAGCAACCTGCTCCGTGGCGATCTGTGACTCATCAGAAGCTGAGGCTCTCACCAGGACTTTCTAATGAGCTTCGCTGTTGGCTACGACCGCGGTCACTTCACTTCAGCCCTACTCCTGGCCTGGGGAAATGGGCAGGCCCCCTAGTAGCTCGGGGTGGGGAGACGGGTGGAGAGGAAGGAGGGGCGAAAAGGGAAGGCGCGAAATCTACAAATGTTTAAGCCAGCTGGAACTCCGATGCCTCTTTGCCTTTTAGGGAAATTGACTCGACTCGGAACTCGAGGACCTTTCACAAGAGACCACTGGGTTAGGGGGCAGAGCTGGTAATAGAATCCAGCGCTCCGAACCCTGAATCATGTCCTCTTTTTGCTGCTGAGGCTCAGGCCACAGCACCCCAAATTATGACTGTAGAATACCAAAATATGCTATCCCAAAATACACTTGTTTGGCACATTTCAAGCTGGTTATTCTGAGAAACTGCAGACACGGGAGTAGCTCTGAAAAGCTGTCCTTTTGTAAAGCAAATTTACATCTATAAAGGAAGTCCACATAGTAAAAGTATCTGTGTCAGGAAGGCAGCTGCTCAGAGAACTTTTATTACATGAGAGACTTTACATAACAAGGCAACTTTTTTTTTTTTTTTTTTTTTTTTTTTTGAGGCAGAGTCTCGCTCAGTCGCCCAGGCTGGAGTGCATTGGCATGATCCCGGCTCACTGCAACCTCCGCCCCCCGGGTTCAAGCGATTCTCCGGCCTCAGCCTCTGAAGTAGCCGGGATTACAGGCGCGCGCCACCGCGCCCGGGTAATTTTTGTATTTTTAGTAGAGACGGGGTTTCACCATGTTGGTCAGGCTGGTCTCGAACTCCTGACCTCGTGATCCGCCCACCTCGGCCTCCCAAAGTGCTGGGATTACAGGTGTGAGCCACCGCGCGCAGCCACAAGGCAACATTATTTACCATACATTTCCTCCACTAACCCTCCTATATCCTACCTGTGGTGCCTCCCCACTGTCCCCACAGAAGCCCCAAGCCCTTATTTATTTCTAGCTCAGAATGCTATAAGCTTCAATCATCTGGCCCTTCATGTTTTGTGAGATTCCTGTGCTGCTGCGTATGCAGGTAATTAAAACGGTTTTTCTTCTGTTAATCTGTCTTATGTCGGCCAGGCGTGGTGGCTCATGCCTGTAATCCCAGCACTTTGGGAGGCCGAGGTGGGCGGATCACGAGGTCAGGAGTTTGAGACCAGCCTGACCAACATGGTGCAACCCCATCTCTACTAAAAATACAAAAGAAGTAGCCGGGCGAGGTGGTGCGCACCTGTAATCCCAGTTACTCAGAAGCTGAGGCAGGAGAATCGCTTGAACCCAGGAGGCGGAAGTTGCAGTTAGCCGAGATTGTGCCACAGCACTCCAGCCTGGGCGACAGAGCAAGATACCGTCTCAAAAAAAAAAAAAAAAATCTCTGTTATGTCAATTTAATTTGCAATCCAAGTAAAGAACCTAGAAGGGTAGAGGGAAGCCATTTTTCCCTCCCCTACATTGCTAGTTCCATGCCAATGTGAGAGGACTCTGAGAATGTGGATGTCTGCCACCTGGAGAAAGAGTCTTAATAACCTGGGCACTTGGCCAGGCACGGTGGCTCACACCTGTCATCCCAGCATTTTCAGAGGCAAAGGTGGGTGGATCACCTGTGGTTAGGAGTTCAAGACCAGCCTGGCCAACATGGCGAAACCCTGTCTCTACTAAAAATACAAAAATTAGCCAGGCAGGGTGGTGGGCACCTGTAATTTCAGCTACTCAGGAGGCTGAGGCAGGAGAATCACTTGAACCCAGGAGGCGGAGGTTGCAGTTAGCCTAGATGGTGCCATTGCACCCCAGCCTGGGCAACAAGAGCAAAATTCTATCTCAATAGATAAATAAATAAATAACCTGGGGACTTGTAGCCTCTATTGAAAGGTACCAGAAAAGGATAAAGCCTGAGTTTTCAAGCCAGGAAGTTGCAAATTCTAACTCTACCAAGAAGTAGCTGGGTGACCTCCAAGCCTCAGTTTCCTCATCTTCAAAACCAGGTTAATAGTGTCAGAGGCATTTGAACCAGAGAGACTCCATCTTGAATAGGGACTGGGTAAAATAAGGCTGTGACCTGCTGGGCTGTATTCCCAGGAAGTTAAGGCATTCTTCGAGGATGAGATGGTGGGGGTCAGCACAAGATACAGGTCACAAAGACCTTGCTGGTAAAATAGGATGTAGTAAAGGAGCCGGCCAAAACCCATCAAAATCAAGATGGCGACCAAAGTGAGCTCTGGTCGTGCCCACTGCTCATTATACACTAATTATAATTCATTAGCATGCTAAAAGACACTCCCACCAGCACCAGGACAGTTTACAAACATCAGGAAGTTACCCTATATGGTCTAAAGGAGGAGGAACCCTCAGTTCTGGGAATTGCCCATCCCTTTCGCGGAAAACTCATGAATAATCCACCCCTTGTTTAGCATATAATCAAGAAATAACTATAATTAGTTGAGCAGCCCATGCTGCAGCTCTGCCTATGGAGTAGCCATTCTTTACCTCCTTTACTTCTCTAATAAATTTGATTTCACTTTATGGACTTGCCCCAAATTCTTTCTTGCGTGAGGTTCAAGAACCCTCTCTTGTGGACTGGATGAGGACCCCACTCTGGTAACAATATACTTTTTGTCCAGTCACATTTCTACATGGCTGTCCATACTCTGTTGAATGTAAGCATAAGAATGGACAATTTTGCTGTATCTTTGGATCTTCATTCTGAAGGCTCCCATGGCATGTAAAACTATGATCAAATAAATTTGTATGCCTTTTTTCCTTTTAATCTGCCTTGTCGGTTGATTTTCAGTGAAACTTCAGAGGGTAAAGGGGAAGTTTGCCCTTCACCCCTACATGGTCAAGCTCAAGATACCAAAAGACATCAGCTGAAAATTCAATCAACTTGCCTGAATCATCCACCCCAAGCTTAGGAAGCATGCTTGAACCCACCTGGCCAAGGCTGGTTTTGCCGGCCAAAGTCCAAGGCCAAGGCTCCAACCAAAGCCCAGACTTCAGTTGCAGCTCCAGTTCCAGTTCCAGTTCCAGCTCCAGTTCCAGTTCCAGTTCCAGCTCCAGATCAAATTTCCAAGGGTGCCCATGCACACCCACAAAGGATCTGGAGGAGAGGCCTCTGTCTACCAATGGGAGGACAGAAGGACTGGTGTGAGCCCTGGGCTGCCATCTGTTTCTGCATGGAGCTGGTACCATTCTTTTCTATTTATACAAACAAACATGAGGCAGGATCTGTCCATTAAAAAAAAGAGGCCGGGCACAGTGGCTCATGCCTATAATCCCAGCATTTTAGGAGGCCGAGGTGGGTAAATCACCTGAGGTTGGGAGTTCGAGACCAGCCTGGCCAATATGGTGAAACCTCTTCTCTACTAAAAATACAAAAATTAGCCGAGCGTCGCGGCACATCTTTAATCCCAGCTCCTCAGGAGGCTGAGGCACAAGAATCACTTGAACCCAGGAGGTGGAGGTTGCAGTAAGCCGAGAAAACACCACTACACTCCAGCCTAGGCGACAGAATGAGGCTCCATCTTGAAAAGAAAAAGAAAATTAAAAAGAAACAGTCTATACAGGCTCATTCCCTTTCCCCACTCAGAGTTTTTTCAAAGGAATGTGGCCAGATCTGGAGGTTTACCTGCCTTCTGGCTCTGAGGACTTTGCAGTTACTATTTAAGGTCTGGTTAATAGCTTCCTTTGCATCGTGGTTGGTTAACAAGAGTAGGCTGGGCAGAGTGGCTCACGCCTGTAATCCCAGCACTTTGGGAGGCCGAGGCGGGCGGATCACGAGGTCAGGAGATCGAGACCATCCTGGCTAACATGGTGAAACCCCATCTCTACTAAAAATATAAAAAATTAGCCGGGCCTGGTGGCGGGTGCCTGTAGTCCCAGCTACTCGGGAGGCTGAGGCAGGAGAATGGCGTGAACCCGGGAGGCGGAGCTTGCAGTGAGCCGAGATCGCGCCACTGCACTCCGGCCTGGGCGACCTAGCGAGACTCCGTCTCAAAAAAAAAAAAAAAAAAAAAAAAACAAGAGTAGAGGTAATGTTAGCAGACATAACACGAAACAGTGGCACCTTAATTTTTATTTTAAGTACTCTGCAGACTTTTTCAGGGGAGACTTGATGTTCATAACACGTAGATAATTTTACAGTCAAGCTCTTTTGATGTGACTTTTTCAGTAACCAGCAGTAACAGACCTGTTTTAATAAGACTGTATAGCTCTTGGCAGACCATGTGAAATATTTCCCCCACAAAAATTTTCTTAAATTAACTGAATTAGCTCCTTTTATACAACATAATTATATATAAGTATATATAACATAAATATCTAGCTTATAATTTGCTTTTTTCTCCTCCTGAATTTGAAGATTTTTTTGGTAGAGTTCAATGTTGAGTTTAAAAACACCACACACTGGCTGGGCGTGGTGGCTCACGCCTGTAATCCCAACATTTTGGGAAAGCTCAGGTGCGTGGATCATCTGAAGTCAGGAGTTGGAGACCAGCCTGGCCAACATGGTGAAACCCCATCTCTACTAAAAATACAAAAATTAGCCGGATGTGGTGGCAGGCACCTATAATCCCAGCTACTCAGGAGGTTGAGGCAGGAGAATCGCTTGAACCTGGGAGGCGGAGGTTGTAGTGAGCCAAGATCGCAACTTTATTACAAATTTAATTTCCAATTATTCTAATTATTTAAAACATGAACAACTTTGAAAAAAAACCTAGTGAAGCATTCTGTTGGTTTTTAACTATAAAAGGAGAAATTTCTTTAATTTTCACTTATGAGGTCTCTAGGAACCTCAATCCAGTGGACGAAGTTTAATTAATTTCAATTAAAAGTAAACAACAAAGTATTCATTTAGAAACAAATAGCTATAAATTTGCAAGCCCCAGGCAAAAAGTAATCAGAGCCCTATAGTGCCTTCACCCCATTTCTCTGATAGCTATATTGTCATTTATTTCTATTAAATTAATATATGCACAGGTTTTTGTTTGTTTTGTTTTGTTTTGTTTTGTTTTTTGGCGACAGGGTCTCTCTCTCTGTTGCCCAGGCTGGAAGGCTGGAGTGCAATGATGCCATTACGGCTCACTATAACCTTCACCTCCCAGGCTCAAGTGATCCTCCCACCTCAGCCTCCTGAGTAGCTGGGACTACAGGTATGCACCATCACAGCCTGGCTAATTTTTGTATTTTTTGTAAAGACTGGGTTTCACCATGTTGCCCATGCTGGTCTTGAACTCCTGAGGCCAAGCAATCCACCTGCCTTGGCCTCCCAAAATGCGGAGATTACAGGCGTGAGCCACTGCACCCAGCATATGCAAAATGTTTTTTAATTTTTTTTTTTTTTAAGTAGAGATGGGGTTTCACCATGTTGGTCAGGCTGGTCTCGAACTCCTGACCTCGTGATCCACCTGCCTCGGCCTCCCAAACTACTAGAATTACAGGTGTGGATCACCATCACCGTGCCTGGCCCTTTTTTTGTGTGTGTGACGGAGTCTCACTCTGTTGCCCAGGCTGGAATACAATGGCGCAATCTCGGCTCACTGCAACCTCCAACTCCTGGGTTCAAGCTATTCTCATGTCTTAGCCTCCCGAGTAGCTGGAATTACAGGCGCCCACCACCACACCTGGCTAATTTTTGTATTTTTGGTAGAGACGCGGTTTCACCATGTTGGTCAGGTTGGTCTCGAACTCCTGACCTCAGATGATCCACCCACCTCAGCCTCCCAAAGTGCTGGGATTACAGGTGTCAGCCACCACGCCTGGCAATTTTTTTAATTTTTAGAGTAAAAATTTTTAGTGTCAAAAGTTTACAAATTGACAATGACATAAAATGGGTCCAAATATTACAAAAAATAAAATGAAAAATATCCTCTCCAGTCTCCATTCCTTACCTTCTAGTTCCTACCCCAGAGGCAACCACTTTCAGTCATTTATACAGTTTTCCCCTATTCACCTCCATATATATATATGTGTGTATATATATATATATAAATATATACATATATATAAATATATACATATATATATTTTTTGAGATTGAGTCTCACTCTGTCACTCAGGCTGGAGTACAATGGCACAATCTCGGCTTACTGCAACCTCCGCCTCCCAGGTTCAGGTGATTCTCCTGCCTCAGACTCCTGAGTAGCTGGGATTACAGGCATGTGCCACCATGCCCAGCTAATTTTTTTTTTTTTTTTTAGACGGAGTCTTGCTCACTTTCCAGGCTGGAGTGCAGTGGCACTGTCTTGGCTCACTGCAACCTCTGACTCCCTGGTTCAAGTGATTCTCCCATCTCAGCCTCCCGAATCGCTGGGATTACAGGTACACGCCACCACGCTCAGCTAATTTTTTGTATTTTTAGTAGAGATGGGGTTTCACCATGTTGGCCAGGATGGTCTCGATCTTCTGACCTCGTGATCTGCCCACCTTGGCCTCCCAAAGTGCTGGGATTACAGGTGTGAGCCACTGCGCCTGGCCTTTTAGTTTTTTGTTTTTTGTTTTTGAGATGTAGTCTTGCTCTGTCGCCCAGGCTAGAGTGCAGTGGTGCGATCTCAGCTCACCGCAACCTCCACCTCCCGAGTTCAAGCAATTCTCTGCCTCAGCCTCCTGAGTAGCTGGGATTACAGGCACCCGCCACCATGCCTGGCTAATTTTTTTGTATTTTTAGTAGAGACAGGGTTTCATCATCTTGGCCAGGCTGGTCTTGAACTCCTGACCTCATGATCCATTCACCTCAGCCTCCCAAAGTGCTGGGGTTATAGGCGTGAGCCACTGCACCCAGGCCCATCTAATATTTTTGTAGTTTTAGTAGAGACAGGATTTCATCATGTTGGCCAGGCTGGTCTCAAAACTCCTGACCTCAAGTGATTCACCCGCCTCAGGGTTTCAAACTGCTGGGATTACAGGCATGAGCCACAGTGCCTAGCCAATATCCCCTTCCCCTTCCCCTTCCCCTTCCCCTTCCCTTTTTTCTTTTTTTCAGTAGAGATGGGGTTTCACCATGTTGGCCAGGCTGGTCTCGAACTCCAGACCTCAGGTGATCTGCCCGCCTCAGCCTTCCAAAGTGCTGGGATTACAGGCATGAGCCACTGTGCCCAGCCTCATATTTTCAAATAATGTTCTTCTGCTGTTATTTCCTGATGTGTGGGCAGCATTTATTTTGCAGTTTCTTTTATGTTCCATTTAGGCTGAATTCTCAACCCACTTTCACCTGCCCCCTTGCCAATCTAATTACATCACGGTTTTCATAAAATTTATCGGCCAACATGTAATCATGTCTAGTCAAAATTATGCATTACATAGCCACATAGTATATAATATTAGCGTTTTTTGTCTACTTTTATTTTCCAATTTCATCCCTCCTGTTAGAGGCAGTATATTCTAATGGTTAGGGTTAGAACCCCTGGAGCTGGACCCTGGAATGAAATTTGTTCTTTACCATTTGTTAGGTCTGTAATCTTGAGGAAGTGACTTAATTTCTCTGTACCTCAGTTTCATCCTCTGTAAAATAAGGAGAGTTCATACATTTATACACAGTGAAGTACAATAACACATAGCATGCGTTAAGTTCTTGGGTTATATATTACTTGAATGGTTTTCTATGTACTTGTTCTTGCTTCTTCTCCACTTGTCCATCTGATCTGTCACAATCTTTTTTTTTTTTTTTTGGAGATGGACTCTCACTCTGTCTCCCAGGCTGGAGTGCAGTGGTGCGATCTTAGCTCACTGCAAGCTCTGCCGCAGCCTCCTGAGTAGCTGGGACTACAGGCACCCACCACTATGCCCAGCTAATTTTTGTCTTTTTAGTAGAGACGGGGTTTTACCATGCTGGTCTCAAACTTCTGGCCTCAGCGAGTGCTGGCTTCCCCCCGCCTCAGCCTCCCAAAGTGCTGGGATTACAGGCGTGAGCCACCATGACTGGCCTGTCATAATCTTTTTTTTTTTTCTTCTTTTGAGATGGGGTTTCTCTCTGTCACCTACCTAGGCTGAAGTGCAATGGCACAATTTTGGCTCACTGCAGCCTCAAACTCCTGGGCTCGAGCGATCTTCCTGCCTCAGCCTGCTGAGCCTCTAGGACTACAGATGGCTAAATTTTGTAATTTTTGACCAGGCTGGTCTTGAACTCCTAGCCTCAAGTGATCCTCTCACCTGGCCCTCCCAAAGTCCTGGGATTACAGGTGTGAGCCACAGTGCCAGGCCTGTCAAAATCCTTTTTTCCCAGATGATCATCCATGTCAGACAGTCTGTCATTCCACTTTCCCCAAGGGCCCTGTCTTGGTCCCAGAGACCTCTGCACTACTGCAGTCTGGATTCCTCCAGGTTGCTGCTGCACTTTCATCCTGGGACTCCCCTTTGCCACCTTCTTCTGCTGCTGTGGCTTTCTGGAGCTGGTGTCCTCCTTCTTGCTTTACTCCCTCATTTTGGTGAAGCATCATATCAGCAGTTTGTGGACTCCAGAACCTCTGCTTTTAACCCTGTATTGACTTTCCTTGAGCTGCCCAACTTAAAATAAAAATTGTTCATTTTTCTTTTCTTTTCTTTTCTTTTTTTTTTGAGATAGAGTTTCGCTCTTGTTGCCCAGGCTGGAGTGCAATGGGGCGATCTTGGCTCACTGCAACCTCCACCTCCCGGGTTCGAGAGATTCTCCCACCTCAGCCTCCCGAGTAGCTGGGATTACAGGCATGCACCATCACGCCCGGCTAATTTCGTAATTTTAGTAGAGACGGGGTTTATCCATGTTGGTCAGGCTGGTCTTGAACTCCCAACCTCAGGTGATCCACCCGCCTCAGCCTCCCAAAGTGCTAGGATTAAAAATTGTTCATTTTTCTTGTTAACATTAATCTCTTAATTTTGCCTTCAATCTACCTTTAATTCCATCACCTCGCCTATTTCCTCTCTTCCAAGCATTTTCAGGTCTTCCTTTCTATTGAATCATTCTCAAGCTACAAACTGGGTCAGATTTTTCATAAATTAAACAACAAACCTCTCTTTGGCCCAGCTACCGTCTTTCTCCTTTTCTTTGTCCTAAAACTTCTACAAAACAAAGCTTGGTGCTCCATGCTCCAGATCCCTCTCTGGCTTGGCTCTACCCCTCCAGCTCACCCAAGATCACTGGTGCCTCCTGCAGCCTCCCACCTGCTTTTGACAGGAGTAGCTCCTTAAAATGGTTTACTATTTAACTGTTTATCCAAAGGCAAAAAGAAAATTTAATGTAACTACTAATTCTTAGTAATGACTATAATAGGCTAGCAAAGTATTGCCTGGTCACGATTTTTAGGGGAGCTGCTTAAGGAAACAAGAGAAATCCTTTTGTACTTCTCATCAGTTAGTTTGTAAGTGTGGAAAGCTAATGATTCTTCAGCACTGTAATGGTGCTTTAAAAGTTTTAAATGGTGCTTTTAAAGTTTTAAAAATGGTGCTTTAAAAGCACTGTAATGGTGCTTAGCGGATCATGAGATCAGGAGTTCGAGACCAGCCTGGCCAACATAGTGAAACCCCGTCTCTACTAAAAATACAAAACAAAAATTAGCCAGGCATGGTGGCGGGCGCCTGTAGTCCCAGCTGCTTGGGAGGCTGAGGCAGGAGAATCGCTTGAACCCGGAAGGCGGAGGTTGCAGTGAGCCAAGATCGTGACACTGCACTCCAGCCTGGGCGACAGAGTGAGACTGTCTCAAAAAAAAAAAACAAAAAAAACAGTTTTGCCTTAGTATCTTAAAGATTCTCCCCTTAATGCCTTTCACATTAATAATTTGCATGGCAAGTTCTTTGAGTGTAGATAGTACAAAGGAAAATCTCCTTTACACACCCCAGGGAACCCAAATTCCAAATTAATGAAGACAGTAGAGAGTTGCTCAACAGGTTTTGCAGCCCCGTTCAATCTTTCTGGGAACAAATTAATTTTTTTTTTTTTTTTTTGTGACACAGTCTCGCCCTTTCGCCCAGGCCAGAGTGCAGTGGTGCGATCTCGGCTCACTGCAAGCTCTGCCTCCTGGGTTCACGCCAGTCTCCTGCCTCAACCTCCCGAGTAGCTGGGACTACAGACGCCCACGACAGCGCCCGGCTAATTTTTTGTATTTTTAATAGAGACGGGGTTTCACCGTGTTAACCAGGATGGTCTCGATTTCCTGACCTTGTGATCCGCCCGCCTCGGCCTCCCAAAGTGCTGGGATTACAGGCGTGAGCCACCACGCCCGGCCACAAATTAATTTTTTAAGTCCTCTTAGATTAGGAGACTACTCTTGATATATTTTTGTAAGTTGAATCAGGTACACTCAGATTTTGAGTTATAATCCTTTGTGTGAAGGCAACTGGACTCGGCACAGTGGCTCACGCGTGTATCCCAGCACTTTGGGAGGCCGAGGTAGGATGATGGCTTGAGCTCAGGAGTTCCAGACCAGCCTGGGCAACATAGTGAGACCTTGTCTGTCTCTACAAAAAAATTTAAAAATTAGAGTGTGGTGGTGCATGCCTGTAGTCTCAGCTATGCAGGAGGCTGAGGCAGGAATATCGCTTGAGCTCACAGGAGGCTTGAACTCACAGGAGGCGGCAGTGAGCTAGGATCATGCCACTACCCTTCAATCTGGGTGACAGAGAGATACCCTGTCTCAAAATATATAATATATATTATATATTTTTCATATATATGAAAACTATTTAGAGAGGCTTTGCCTCCTTAAGTAAAATACATAATAATCTTTGAATTTTTTTTAAAGTCTCCATTTTCTTCACTTAGAAATAAATATTTGTGTAAATTATTATAGTCACTATTCAACTTTATTATAAAATTTAAAAAACATTTCTGGGCCGGGCGCAGTGGCTCATGCCTGTAATCCCAGCACTTTGGGAGGCCGAGGCGGGCGGATCACGAGGTCAGGAAATCGAGACCGCCCTAGCTAATACGGTGAAACCCCGTCTCTACCAAAAAATACAAAAAATTAGCCGGGCGTGGTGGCGGGTGCCTGTAGTCCCAGCTACTCGGGAGGCTGAGGCAGGAGAATGGCGTGAACCCAGGAGGCGGAGGTTGCAGTGAGCCGAGTTCACGCCACTGCACTCCAGCCTGGGCGACAGAGCGAGACTCCGTCTCAAAAAAAACCCAAAAACCATTTCTGAACAGAGCTCATTCCTGTGATTCTGAATACCATGGAAAATTATTCTGGCTTCTTTGGTTTTAAAATCAATTCAAAAAACTTTCCACATCCTGATTTCAAGTAAACACATTCAGCTATGTTTGAGGCTGAGAGGGGAAAGAAAAAAACACACAAAGGCGAGACAAGTCTCTCTTTTCAGTTTTCTTGGTTAATCCATTCTAATTAATTTCCTGAGAGGAAGTACAAGAGGTAAGCCCATTTCTTCAAATAACAGCACTGTGTGTTGACTTATCTTTTTAACGTGTATTTAAAGAGAGGACTCCTGTCAGTTTCTTTTAAATTCACTTTATAAGATGCATACTTTGAAGTAAACTCTCTTTGGAGGTGCTTGGTTTTAAAATAACCACCGCCAGCTAACTGCCTGTGCAACCATATAGTTCCATGAAAATCAACAAAAGGCCTTCATTGCGGGTTTCACTTGGAAGATGTTTACATTGTTCTATGAAGGTTAGAAAGGCGGAAGGAGCTCCCTGAGGTTTCACAGGAAGACAGTCCAGCCTATTTATTCATAATGGGATTTCAGTTACAGAACATTTAGATTCAACAGAAGGAGAATTTTAAATGGCTGAGAGAAGATGATAAGAAAATGTTCATAAACCATTTCATTTTGTTTCCCTCTTTAATGAAAAGGGAGAAAACACTCAATGAAGAAAGTTAATGACTCTGAAGTCCAAATGAGAAGTTTAGAAACAACTTCTTGAAAAAAAAGAAAAAGTATGCATTTATTGAATGACATTACTCAATCAATAATTTTGGATATTTTCTTTTTGTGTTTTTTTTTTCCATGCTAATTCTACAAACTGAAGGCAAGAATAAATGTTGTTTTTTTTAACCCCCCAAGACGGAGTCTTGCTCTATCACCCGGGCTGGAGTGGTGCAGTGGCATGATCTCTGCTCACTGCAACCTTCGCTTCCCGGGTTCAAGCGATTCTCCTGTCTCAGCCTCCCGAGTAGCTGGGATTACAGGCGCCTGCCACTGCGCCCGGCTAATTTTTGTATTTTTAGTAGAGACGGGGTTTCACCATGTTGGCCAGGCTGGTCTCAAACTCCTGACCTCGTGATCCGCCCGCCTCAGCCTCCGAAAGTGCTGGGATTACAGGCATGAGCCACTGTGCTGGGCCAAGAAAATGTTCTTATGCCTTTGCTTTATTTAAAAGAAGCAGACTGGCCGGGTGCAATGGCCCACACCTGTACTCCCAGCACGTTGGGAGGCCGAGGTGGGGGGGCGGATCACCTGAGGTCAGGAGTTCAAGACCAGCTTAGCCAACATAGTAAAACCTCGTCTCTACTAAAATACAAAAATTGGCTGGGCTTGGTGGTGCACGCGCCTGTAACCCCAGCTACTCAGGTGGCTGAGGCAGGAGACTTGCTTGAACCTGGGAGGTGGAGGTTGCAGTGAACTGACATTGTGCCACTGAACTCCAGCCTGGGCAACAGAGCGGAAACTCTGTCTCAAAAACAAGAACAACAAAAAAACCACAGTAGACTTCCATTCCATCTTCAGACTATATTTCTAAAGAAGGAAATGGTGTCCTAAGCACGTTCATTTATGGTCTACCACTCAAAATATGAAATTCAACATAGGTGTATGTGACTTGAGCCACAGTAATCTGAGGAAGGCAACAGGCATCAAATTTTGCTTGCTGGGACATGGGACCAATTAGTGGAAAACACAGAGTTAAAGCCACATTGTAGACTTGAAAGTGGAAGGGTAAAAATAAGAGAAGGAAGAAAGCAAAAGGCTGGCCACTGAGCAGAGAAAAGGCTCAACTGGATTCTCTCTCAAAAACTTTAGGTAGCAATTTATGAAAATTGCTGTTGTCAGCCTCCAGATTTACCATCTAGCTCCTAAAAAGCTACTGGCGATGACTTCACACCCTTATCAAGGAGATAACTTTGAGAGGTTTCTCATTTAGAAGTATAAGATTTCAACCAGGCATGGTGACTCATGCCTGTAATCCCAGCACTTTGGGAGGCTGAGGAGGGTGGATCACTTGAGGCCAGGAGTTCAAGACCAGCCTGTCCAACATAGTGAAACCCCATCTCCACTAAAAATACAAAAATTAGCTAGGCATGATGGCACATACCTGTAATCTCAGCTCAGCTACTCGGGAGGCTGAGGCAAAGGAATTGCTTGAACCCAGGAGGCGGGGGGTTGTAGTGGGCTGAGATGTGCCACTACACTCCAGCCTGGGCGACAGAGCAAGACTCTGTCTCAAAAAAAAAGGGTACAAGGTTTCCTGGTACTATTATTTTCAAATGCCTTTGGAACACAAGGGCTTTTGAAAAAACAGGAGACAGGTCGGGCGTGGTGGCTCACTTCTGTAATCCCAACACTTTGGGAGGCTAAGGTGGGCAGATTACCCAAGGTCAGGTGAGACCAGCCTGGCCAACATGGTGAAACCCTGTCTCTACTAAAAATTCAAAAATTAGCTGAGCATGACGACGGGTGCCTGGGAGGCTGAAGCAGGAGAATCACTTGAACGCAGGAGGCAGAGTTTGCAGTGAGCCAAGATTGCGCCACTGCACTCCAGCCTGGGCAAGAGAGCAAGACTCCATCTCAAAAAAAAAAAAAAGGAAAAAATAGGAGACAGAGTAGAATGTCTTACCTGCCACCCTAAGAATAAGCATAAGGTTCTTTGCTTGGCAGGAAAAAAATACCAGTAGACGTTGTAAAGCCTCTTCGTGTTGATGTCTTTAAGAATGTCAAATGCTTGCAGCCTCTGCCTATGCGCTCAGTGCAGCCAGAAGCTGGTGGTCAGCCTGGCTGGAGCAGCTGTACAATAGGTGATGTTTGCCTCCATCTTCCCTTTAAGCTCTGCTCCATGGGAACCCTCAAGAGGAGACTACCTTAACCTAATCCAAGGAGTTCTCCATCTCTGGCAACATTCACACAGGAAGTACCTGCAGGCAAACAGGTATTTGAACATTTGTTCAGAGCTATCAAAATTTTAGGATGTAAACCCCTGTGACCCCTGTGTACCATAGTTGACATTGGGGGCCTCTGATTGCGGGGAAGAGCCTGAACCAAGAACCACTATCTCTTGTGTAATAGGATGCCAGGGCAAGGGAATCCCATCATGACCCACTTATTTCCAAACTTGTATGTTTGGAAACATTTGGAGCCTTATCTCTGCTCTTAAGTCCAATGCAGGGCAAGATTCACAAGGGCACTTCAGGAGGACAGCTCACACAGTTAGTCTCGCCTTATATTTTTGTTCTGGTGAAATAATTTTAAAACAAAGGAGCCGGGCATGGTAGCTCACGCCTGTAATCCAGCACTTTGGGAAGCTGAGGCGGGCAGATCACCTGAGGTCAGGAGTTCGAGACCAGCCTGACCAACATGGTGAAACCCCGTCTCTACTAAAAATACAAAAAAAATTAGCCGGGCATGGTGGCGCATGCCTGTAGTCCCAGCTACTCAGGACGCTGAGGTAGGAGAATCACTTGAGCCCGGGAGGCGGAGGTTGTAGTGAGCTGAAATCATGCCACTGCACTCCAGCCTGGGCAACAGAGCGAAACTCTGTCTCAAAAACAAAAAACAAAACACAAAACAAAACAAAAACAGACCGGGTGCAGTGGCTCACGCCTGTAATCCCAGCACTTTGGGAGGCCGGGGCAGGCTGATCACTTGAGGTCAGGAGTTTGAGACCAGCCTGGTCAACATGGTGAAACCCCATCTCTACTTAAAATACAAAAATTAGCTGGGCGTGGTGGCGTGTGCTGTAATCCCTGCTACTCTGGAGGCTGAGGCAGGAGAATTGCTTGAACTCGGGAGGCGGAGGTTGCAGTGAGCCAATATTGTAACACTGCACTCCAGCCTGGGCCACAGAGTGAGAGTGTCTCAGAAACAAAAAAAAACAACAACAACAACAAAAAACAAAAACCAAGAGGATTGGGGTTTTGAAATGGCAGGCTGTGTAATCCCAGCACATTCAGAGGCCAAGGTGGGAAGATTCCTTGAGGCCAGCAGTTCAAGACCAGCCTAGGCAACATAATGAGACTCTATCTCTTCAAAAAATAAAAATAAAAAAAATTAACCAGGCATGGTGGCATGTGCCTGTAGTCCTAGTTACTCAGGAAGCCAAGTTGGGAGGATGGTTTGAACCTAGGAGAGAGCTATGATTGTGCCACTGCACTCCAGCCTGGGTGACAGAGTGAGACACTGTCTCAAAAAAAAAAAAAAAAAAAAAAGCAAACTGAATGACAACTTTTATCTCCCCTCTTTCTCAGATCTATACTTATTCTTTTAAGCGGTGGCGAAGGAATAAAAGGAACAAGTTCCCCACAGTAAAATAAATGGGAGTGGTGAGAGACATCAAGTAAATGATATGGAATAAATATTTTTTAAATGATGTAACTGTATTGCTGAGCTAGCCAAAGTGAAATCACAATGATAAGCCATTTTACATCTACTAGATTGTAAAAATCAAAAATACAATTACAAGTGTTGAAAATGTTGGAAAATGCTTAAAAGAGTCCTGATGTAGCCAGGTGTGGTGGCTCATGCCCGTAATCCCAGCACTTTGGGAGGCTGAGGTTAGGTGGATCACCTGAGGTCAGGAGTTCAAGACCAGCCTGGCCAACATGGTGAAACCCCAACTCTACTAAAACTACAAAAATCAGCCTGGTGTGGTAGCACACACCTGTAATCCCAGCTGTTTGGGAGGCTGAGGTAGGAGAATTGGCTTGAACCTGGGAGGCAGAGGTTATAGTGAGTCAAGATCACGCCACTGCACTGCAGCCTGGGCCACAGAGTGAGACTCCCATCTCAAAAGAAAAAAAAAATCCTGATGTATAGTAAGTTTTATATAACTTTTTGCTATTATTATTATCATCATTGTAGTATTACTACTAATGTAAACACTGCTAATCTTTGGTCAGTTATATATGTCTTTTCCTAGTGTGTGGCTACTGTCTTTATAGTATTTAGTTGGTTTTTAAAAAATTTGTTAGAGAGGTAGGGAATCTCGCTATGTTGCCTAGGCTGGATTCGAACTTATGGGCTCAAGCCATCCTCCCTCTGTGGTCTTCCACCTCAGTCTCCTGTAGCTGGGACTTCAGGCACATGCCACCTATAGTGTTTTTTGATTATGAGAAATTCTTCACTTTTTCTTTTTTCTTTTTCTTTTTCTTTTTTTTTTTTTTTTTGAGACGGAGTCTCGCTCTGTCACCCAGGCTGGAGTGCAATGGCACGGTCTCAGCTCACTGCAACCCCCACCCCCCGGGTTCAAGTGATTCTCCTGCCTCAGTCTCCCGAGTAGCTGGGATTACAGGTGCCCACCACCACGCCTGGCTAATTTTTGTATTTTTAGTAGAGACGGGGTTTCGCTATGTTGGCCAGGCTGGTCTCGAACTCCTGACCTCAAGTGATCCGCCCACCTCGGTGTCCCAAAGTGCTGTGATTACAAGCATGAGCCACCGCACCTGGCCGAGAAATTATTCACTTTAATGTAGAAGATTCCTTTTGTCTTAAGAAATCCTTCCCTAAATAAAGTTGTAGAGAGATATTCTCCTGCATGAGAATAAAGATATTCCTCATGTATATATTTTTAAAATTATATAGTGTTGCTTTCAGTGTTTATCTTCTGTGATTTACTTTTGTGTATAGGTTTAGGTAGGGATCTAATTTTCTCCCAGTGTGGCCAGCCAATTGTTCCTGTACCTATTATTAAATATACTTTCCCTGTTCATCTGCAATGCTAAGTCATGAATCAAGTTTCTATATATGCATGGGTCTGTTTCCTGGGCTCTTTATTACATTTTATTTGTCTATTTATCTATCCCTGCACCTATATATACTATATAATTTTATTTTATTTTTATTTTTTTAAGATGGAGTCTCACTCTGTCAGCCAAGCTAGAGTGCAGTGGCACAATCTCGGCTCACTGCAACCTCCCCCTCCCAGGTTCAAGCAATTCTCCTGCCTCAGCCTCCTGAGTAGCTGGGACTATAGGCACACACTATTACACCCGGCTAATTTTTGTATTTTTAGTAGAGACAGGGTTTCACTATGTTGGCCATGACGATCTCAATCTCTTGACCTTGTGATCTGCCCGCCTCAGCATCCCAAAGTCCTGGGATTACAGGCATGAGCCACTGCGCCTGGCCATACTATTTTATTTTTATATTTTATTTTTCAGAGACAGGGTCTCACCCTGTCACCTAGGCCAGAGTACAGTGGTGTAATCATAGCTCAGTGTAACCTTGAACTCCTGACCTGGGCTCAAATGATTTGATCCTCTAGGAGGTCAAGACCAGCCTGGGCAACATAGCGAGACCCCCATCTACAAAAAAAAAAAAAAAAAGAGGTTGGTGTGGTTCTTAATTTCCTACCCAAATTAAGGAATAAAACCTTGCTTGTACTATTGTTTATAGTTGTATTACTTTTTTTTTTAAGACATGAGGTTTATGTTGTCCAAGCTGGAGTGCAGGTACTATTCACAGCTGCAATTCAAGGCACTGCAGCCTTGAACTCCTGGGCTCAAGCAATCCTCCTGCCCCAGCCTCCCAAAATGCTAGGATTACAGGCATGAGCCACTGGGTCCAGCCTTCGTTCTAGCTTCATATAGATTTGTCCTATAGCTTGTACTCTGCCCTAGTTTCATGTAGGTCTCTTTTCCTACCTCTTCCTTCACACTACTATACTTCATTGATTCTGACATGCTCCTTTCCCCGCCATCCCACTATTTCTGAAATTCAGATGCATGTTACCCTCTGTGTTGGCCAAGTGGTGGGCTTACCATGGTTGTTTTTGCCTGACACCTTCTGGTAACAGCAAGAAAGTGCCAGCATCAAAACTTGAAGAATGGATGTCAGTGATGTAGAATAAAATTTCTGAGACAAGAGTGGAGCAGTTTTTAGGAAATGCTGCTTCACCAATGCTCTTGATGCTCCTGAGACAACTTTTTTTTTTTTTTTTTTTTTTTTTTTTGCGATGGAGTTTCGCTCTTACTGCCCAGGCTGGAGTGCAGTGGCACCATCTCTGCTCACTGAAACTTCCGCCTCCGGGGTTCAAGTGATTGTCCTGCCTCAGCCTCCCGAGTAGCTGGGATTACAGGCATGTGCCACCACACTCGGCTAATTTTGTATTTTTAGTAGAGACAGGGTTTCTCCATGTTGGTCAGGCTGATTTCAAACTCCCGACCTCAGGTGATTCACCCTCCTCGGCCTCCCAAAGGAGGTGGAGGTTGCAGTGAGCCAAGATCGTTTCACAACACTCCAGCCTGGGCAACAGAGCAAGACTCCATCTCAAAAAAATAAAGAAAGAATAAAATAAAAATACCTCCTGCTCATGTGAAAATTCTATTTCCATGACACCCCTTTCTATGTCTCATTCACATCTTGCACTCCTGTGGCAGAAACTGCTAGCTATTCACCCCAATACCTTTGTCCTCTCTAAGAACTTTCAAACCAGACAAGGTCAGCACAAGAAAAGAACACTAAAATCTCATTCATGGACATACATGGAAAATTCCTAAATGAAATACAAGAATCACTTCCACTTACATCCCATTGGCTAGAACATGTAGTCCTATGACCATATCTAGTCTCAAAGACAACTGGGAAATTTACTCTAGGCAGCCTTGTGACCAAATAAAAACTGGTTTTACATTTTCAAGGAAATCATTTCCCCCTCCCTCCACTCAGCAACAAGGTCAAGATAAGCAAGTTTCCTTGCTGTTCCCTTAAGAGCATTTATTTCTAGTTTACCTGCACACAAGGGGCTTAGCCTTTGTAGACTCAGCTTTATGAGGAAACCTTCTGTTAGACTTTGAGGCTGGGCACGGTGCCTCACGCCTGTAATCCCAGCACTTTGGGAGGCCGAGGTGGGAAGATCACGAGGTCAGGAGTTCGAGACCAGCCTGACCAACATGATGAAACCCCATCTCTACTAAAAATACAAAACTTAGCCAGGCATGGTGACACGCGCCTGTAATCCCAGCTACTCAGGAGAATCGCTTGAACCTGGGAGGCAGAGGTTGCAGTGAGCCAAGATCGCGCCATTGCACTCCAGCCTGGGTGACAGAGCAAGACTGTCTCCACACACACACACACACACACACACACACACAAATATATATATATATATATATATATGTATGTGTATATATATATCTGTATGTGTATATATATGTATGTGTGTATATATGTGTATGTGTATATATATGTATGTGAATATATGTGTGTGTGTGTATGTGTGTGTGTGTGTGTGTGTGTGTGTATATATATATATATGCCAGGCATGGTGGCACACACCTGTAGTCCCAGCTACTCGGGAGGCTGAGGCAGGAGAATCACTTGAACCCGGGAGGCAGAGGTTGCAGTGAGCTGTGATCACGCCACTGCACTCCAGCCTGGGTGACAGAGTGAGACTCCATCTCAAAAAAAAAAAAAAAAAGAAAAAGACTTTGAGATGGCCTTGTCACCTACCCTCCTGCATTCGACTCAGCCAACAAAACTAAAATTCAAATTCACCAAGATTTGGAGATGCCCTGAGGGAAGGGTCTGGTTTCTTACTTCCTCTGAATTCCTGCTTTCCCTTGCCTTTTTTTTTTTTTTTTGGCTAGCTCAGCAATACAGTTACATAATTTTAAAAATATTCACTCCTGCTTGTGTAGTTGTTTTACTGGGAAGCTTGTCCATGATATATAGACACCATCTTGCCTAAGGAGAGGTTCACCCTCATATTTTCAGAGGTGTGTTTAATACAACTTCAGACGACAGCTGATCTTCATCTTACACAAAGTATTTCAGAGAATAGAAAAGAAGGAAAGTTACACAAATCATTTTCCAAGACTTGTTTAACTCTGATACTCAAACCAGACAAGGTCAGCACACACACACACACACACACACACACACACACAATTAAAAATCATTCTCATGTATAAACATAGATGGAATTATGACTGAATTTTCCGGTTAAATGAGCCAATAAATTCTCTTTTGTTCTTAAAAAGCAAAAATGAAAAACATTGTTCATAAACATACTGTTAAAATCCCCAAATAAAAGACAAGCAAATCCAATCCTAGAAAAAAATAACATGACTCAAAAATAATTCCATAGCCAGGCATGGTGGCTCAGCCCGGTAATCCCAGCACTTTGGGAGGCCAAGGTGGGCAGATCACCTGAGGTCAGGAGTTCAAGACCAGCCTGACCAACATGGTGAAACCAGTCTCTACTAAAAATATAAAAATCAGCTGGGCATGGTGGTACATGCCTGTAATTCCAGCTACTCGGTAGGCTGAGACAGGAGAATCACTTGAACCTGAGAGGCAGAGGTTGCAGTGAGCCAAGATCATACCACTGCACTCCAGCCTGGGCAACAGAGCAAGACTTCATCTCAAAATAATAATAATAATAATTCCATGATGGATGCTTTGGGTTTTTTGTTTTTGTTGTTTTGAGACAGGGTCTCCTTGTGTTGCCCAGGCTGGAGTGCAGTGGCATGATCTCGGCTCACTGCAACCTCCGCCTCCTAGGTACAAGCAATTCTCATGCCTCAGCCTCCCCAGTAGCTGGGATTACAGGTGCATGCCACCATGCCTAGCTACATTTCTTTATTCTTTATAGAGAGGGGGTCTTGCCACGTTGGTCAGGCTGATGTTGAACTCCTGGATTCAAGTAATCCTCCTGCCTCAGCCTCTCAAAGTGCTGGGATTACAAGTGAGAGCCACCGTCCCCTGTGTTTTTTTTTTAAATAAATTTTATTGTGTATATTTCAGGTTTACAACATGATGTAACAGGATATATATAGATAGTAAAATGGTTACTATAGTGAAGCAAATTAACATAACTTTTACCTCACATAGTTACATTTCTGTGTGTGACAAGAGCAGCTAAAATCTATTTATTTAACAAAAATGTCTAATATAATACAACTTTATTATCTATAGTCCTCATGTTGTACATTGGATCCCTAGACTTGTTCATCCCACATATCTACTACTTTGTATCTTTTGACCTAAATCTTCCATCTCCTCCCCACCCCACAATGATGGTTTAACAACAGAAAATATGTCAATATGGCCAGACTTGGTGGCTCATGCCTGTAATCCCAGCACTTTGAGAGGCCAAGGTGGGCAGATCACTTGAGGCCAGGAGTTGGAGACCAGCCTGGCCAAGGTGGTGAAACCCTGTCTCTACTAAAATACAAAAATTAGCCAGGCGTGGTGGCAGGTGCCTGTAATCTCACCTACTCAGGAGGTAAATTGGGAGAATCTTTTGAACCTGGGAGGCAGAGGTTGCGTGAGCCCAGATCACACCACTACACTCCAGCCTGGGCGACAGAGTGAGCCTCTGTCTCAAAAAGAAAGAAAGAGGCTGAGCGCAGTGGCTCATGCCTGTAATCCCAGCACTTTGGGAGGCTGAGGTGGGTGGCTCACCTGAGGTCAGGAGTTCAAGACCAGCCTGGCCAACATGCTAAAACCCCGTCTCTGCTAAAAATACAATAATTAGCTGGGTGTGTTGGTGGGCGCCTGTAATCCCAGCTACTCAGGAGGCTGAGGCAGGAGAATCGCTTGAACCTGGGAAGCAGAGGTTGCAGTGAGGCGAGATTGTGCCACTGCACTCCAACCTGGGTGACAAGAGCGAAACTCAGTCTCAGAAAAAAGAGGCCGGGTGCAGTGGCTCACGCCTGTAATCCCAGCACTTTGGGAGGCCCAGGTGGGCAGATCACCAGAGGTCAGGAGTTCAAGACCAGCCTGGCCAACATGGTAAAACCCCGTCTCTACTAAAAATACAAAAAAATTAGCTGGGAGTGGTGGTGTGCACCTGTAATCCCAGTTACTTGGGAGGCTGAGGCAGGAGAATCGGTTGAACCTGGAAGGCAGAGATTGCAGTGAGCTGAGATTGTGCCACTGTACTCCAGCCTGGGTGACACAGCAAGACTCCGTCTCAAAAAAAGAAAAAAGAAAGGAAAAGAAAGGGAAGGAAGGAAATATATCAACATAATTTAATTTACCAGATTAACAGATTTAAGGAGAAAGCCACATGGTCCTTTCAATAGATGTGGAAATCAGAGAACATATTTGATAAAAGTCAATATTAATTCACGACAAACTAGAAATAGAAGGAAACTTCCTTAATCTGGTAAATGGACCCTACCTAAGACATTCAACGCTTGTTCAAGTTCTGCATAATTAGAAGCTAGATGTGGCTCTGACTTTGTGTGAAAATAACACAAGGAAAGAGTCAGGCTGCTTGTCCAGGTCTAGGTAATATGCCATTAGTTATTTCTCCCAAATGAGCAACCTTGCCCAAGTCAGCTCCTCCCAGAAGAGTAGTTCACTTTTCTAGGTTTATCACTGTTCCTTCAAAGTCTGGTCACTAACCCGTGACCACTGTACATGTGTAGGAGTAGTCCTCATGATCATCTAGTTCAGTCCACTTATCTTACAGGTAACAACTATGAAGTCCAGAGTGAAAGGCCCAAGGTAAAATATGAGCTCAGCTAATGGCACACCTGAGAATGGGATCTGGGCCTCCCTATACCCAGTCCCTCCTCCTTACACTTCCCTCTCATGAGCAAAATCAAATGCTACTCAATTTCTTATGCAGCTTAACTATTTCCTTTAAGATTCTGGGCTTCTCTGGACACTTATGACCTCAGGGGCTTACCTTATTTCTTTTTATTTCCTTTTTTTTAGAGACGAAGCCTTGCTCTGTTGCCCAGGCTGGAGTGCAGTGGCTTGATCTCAGCTCACTGCAACCTCTGTCTTCCAGGTTCAAGTGATTCTCCTGCCTTAGCCTCCCAAGTAGCTGGGATTACAGGCACGAGCCACCATGCCCAGCTAATTTTTTTTTTTTTTCAGACGGAGTCTCAATCTGTCGCCCAGGCTGGAGTGCAGTGGTGCTATCTCGGCTCACTGCAGGCTCCGCCTTCCAGGTTCACACCATTCTCCTGCCTCAGCCTACCAAGTAGCTGGGACAACAGGCACCCGCCACCATGCCCGGCTAATTTTTTGTATTTTTAGTAGAGATGGGGTTTCACCGTGTTAGCCAGGATGGTCTCAATCTCCTGACCTCGTGATCCGCCCACCTCAGCTTCCCAAAGTGCTGGGATTACAGGTGTGAGCCACCGCACCTGGCCAATGCCCAGCTAATTTTTTGTATTTTTAGTAGAGACAGGGTTTCACCATATTGGCCAGGCTGGTCTTGAACTCCTGACCTCAAGTGATCCGCCTGTCTCAGCCTTCCGAAGTGCTGGGATTACAAGTGTGAGCCACCGTACCCAGCTGTTTCCTTTTATTTTCTTTTAGAGACAGGGTGTTTCTCTGTCACCAGGCTGGAGTGCAATGGCATGATTATGGCTCACTGCAGCTGCAATGTACTGTGCTCAAGCAATCCTCCCACCTTAGCCTCCTCAGTAGCTGGGACTACAGGCACTGGCCACTGTGCCCAGCTAATTTTTCAATTTTACTAGAGACGAGGTCTCTCTGCATTGCCCAGGCTTGTCTCAAACTCCTGGGCTCAAGTGATCCTCCCAAAGTGTTAGGATTACTGATGTGAGCCACCAAGCCTGGTCTACCTTCTGTCTTGAGTGGCAATGCTGGGAAGGGGTGAAGGAAGAGGGAGGGCAGGTGAAATGAAATGAGCTAGAGATGCAAACTTCCCCAGAAGGAAGGGAATGCCTATTTTTATTTATTTTTTGAGACGGAGTCTCACTCTGTCATCCAGGCTGGAGTACAATGGCATGATCCTGGCTCACTGCAACCTCTGCCTCCCAGGTTTAAGTGATTCTCCTGCCTCAGCCTCCTGAGGAGCTGGATTACAGGCACGTGCCACCACGCCCTGCTAATTTTTGTATTTTCAGTTGAGACAGGGTTTCCCTATGTTGGCCAGGCTGGTCTTGAACTCTAGACCTCAGGTGATCCACCTGCCTTGGCCTCCCAAAGTGCTGGGATTACAGGGGTGAGCCACCGCACCCAGCCAGGAATGCTTATTTTTAGGCTCAATTTAGGGTAGGAAGTTAAAGAAGCCCAAAGGGGCTTTGAGGAATTAGGGGGTCACATTGCAGGAGGTAGGAGGGACAGTCCACAGCGTATGATTGTGCAAGTTGTGGATGGTGTGACTTTCAGAGGTACCAGTCACATCATACTCATTGCAGATTTGTGTGTGTATTACAACAATCTTGGGGGCAGATGACAGCAAAGCATCCTGAAAGAACATGCTGGAAAGGTACCACTGGTACTAACCATACTGCTGAGGAGAGGGTCCAATTGCATCAGGGTGGGAATAAGATCTGGGGATGCGCCTGCCTTACTTGATTCTAGAATTCAGACCTGGGTACCACGGCCAGATACTACACAGCAGGAATTCCTGTGGGGAGCAATGGGTTCCAAGCTCCAGTTCCTTCTTCCCTTGGGCTCTTCTTTTCACCCTGGCTCTGCCAGGAATCAGCTTCAACTAGTCACCTACTTCCTGCTCCCGGGCCCAGGCTCTTATCTCTGGCACTTCTATCTCTTCTCTGCCACATCACTGTCCTCCAGTCTAATCTCCATGGCCTGAGTTGTAATAAGTGCCTTGGGAAATTATAACTGCCTTACTAGGAAGTAATTACTTTGGCATTTTCTTCATGGAGAATGCTTCTGTCAATAAAAAGAAAAAAAAGATATGAAGTGACTGGTAGTATGCTTGCAGAAATTAAAAACCTCTTCAGAACAAAAAGAAATGCTGTGGCCAGGCACAGTGGCTCATGCCTGTAATCCTAGCATGTTGGGAGGCCGAGGGAATTGCTTGATCCCAGGAGTATGAGACCAGCCTAGGCAACATGGTGAAACTTCATCCTCTCTACAAAAAATTAGCTGGGTGTGGTGGTGTGTGCCTGTAGTCCCAGCTACTTGGGTAGCTGAGGTGGGAGGATCACCTGTGCCTGTGAAGGCTGAGGCTGCAGTGAGCCATGATCGAGCCACTGCACTCCAGCCTGGGTGACAGAGTGAGACCTTGTCTCAAAAAAAAGAGTCTTAATGTAGGCATTTATTGCCATCCACTTCCCTCTTACCTGTGTGTTTGCTGCGTCTCATGAGTTTTGCATGTTGCGTTCCATTTTTGTTTGTCTCAAGATACTTTTTGATTTCACTTTTGATTTGTTCAGGAGTATGTCATTTAATTTCTAGATATTAATTTTTTAAAAATTTCTTCAGTTATTGATTTCTAGTTTTACGCTATTATGGTCAGAAAAAATACTTTAGATGATTTTAATATTCTTAAATTTGTTAAGACTTGTTCTGTGGCCCAAAACATGATCTATCTGGAAGAATGTTCCCTGTGTGCTTGAAAAGAATGTGTATTCCACTGCTATTAGATGGCATGTTGTATATATGAACAGATGTTAGGTTCATTTGGTCTGTAGCATTATACAAGTCTTCTGTTTCCTTACTGATTTTTCTGTCTGGATGATTCCATTGTTGAAAGTGGGGTACTGAAGTTCTTTATTATTGTATTGCTCTCTGTTTCTCTCTTCTGTTTTGTTAATATTTGCTTTCTATATTTAGGTGCTCCAATGTTGGGTGCATGTATATTTACAATTGTTATATCCTCTATTAATTGATCCTTTTATCATCATATATTAACCCTCTTTGTTTCTCATGACAGACTGAAAGTCTATTTTTTTCTTTTTTCTTTCTTTCTTTTTCTTTTTTTCATGGAGGGACGAGGGAGGAGGAGCAGAAGGAGAGAGAGGGAGCTGAAAGATTGTTTTGTCTGATGTAAGTATTGCTACCCTTTCTCTCCCCTGGTTACCTTTGCATGAAGTATCTTTTTCCATCCCTTCACTTTCAGTCTGTGTGTCCCCTTAATGCTAAAATGAGTCTCTTGTAGCATATTGTTGGATCTGTTTTTTTTTTAAATCCATTCAGCTACTCTGTCTTTTGATTGGAGAATTTAATTCATTTACATTTAAAGTAATTACTGACAGGTAAAGTATTTATTGATAGGTAAGGACTTACTGTTGTCATTTTGTTAATTATTTACTGACTACTTTGTTGTTTCTTTCAATCTTGCTTTCTTCCTTTGTGATTTGTTGAATTTTTTTGTAATTGTATGCTTTGATTCCTTTCTTTTTCTTTTTCTTTTTCTTTCTTTCTTTTTTTTTTTTTAATCACCCAGGCTGGAGTGCAGTAGCACTATCTCAGCTCACTGCAACCTCTGCCTCCCAGATTCAAATGGTCCTCCTGTCTTAGCCTCCCAAGTGGCTGGGAATACAAGCATGTGCCACCATGCTCAGCTAATTTGTGTATTTTTAGTAGAGACGGGGTTTCACCATGTTGGCCAGGCTGGTCTCGAACTCCTGGCCTCAAGTGATCCACCAGCCTTGGCCTTCCAAAGTGCTGGGATTACAGGTGTGAGCCACTGCACCCAGACTTAGGCTGTTTTATTTATTTATTTAGATACAAAAAGTCTCACTCCGTCACCCAGGCTGGAGTCCAGTGGCACAATCTTGGCTCATTGCAACCTCTGCCTCCTGGGTTCAAGCCATTCTCCTGCCTCAGCCTCCTGAGTAGCTGGGATTACAGGTGCACGCCACCATGCCTGGCTAATTTTTGTATTTTTAGTAGAGATGGGGTTTCACCATGTTGATCAGGCTGGTCTCAAACTCCTGACCTCGTGATCTGCCTGCCTCAGCCTCCCAATGTGCTGGGATTACAGGCATCAGCCACCATGCCCAGCCTAAGCTGTTTTATGTTGTTATAAAGGTTGGGCAATTTATAAAGGAAAGGCTGAGGCCAGATGCAGTGTCTCACGCCTGCAATCCCAGCACTTTGGGAGGCTCAGGTGGGCAGATCACCTGAGGTCGGGAGTACAAGACCAGCATGACCAACATGGAGAAACCCCAGCTCTACTAAAAATACAAAAAAATTAGCTTGAACCCGGGAGGCAGAGGTTGAGGTGAGCTGAGATCAAGTCATTGCACTACAGCCTGGGCAACAAGAGTGAAACTCCGTCTCAAAAAAAAAAAAAGGGCTGGGTAATTTATAAAGGAGAGACTTATTTAGTATGGCTGTGCTGGCTGAAAGGTTCAATATAGGCACCTGGTGGGGGCCTAAGGTTGCTTCCACTCATGGTGGAGGGTGAAGGGGAGCTAGCATGTGCAGAGACCGCATAGTGAGAGAGGAAGTGACAAAGAGGTGGGAGGTGCCAGGCTCTTTTTAACAACCAGCTCTCTCTGGAACTAACAGAGAGACAACACATTTATCCTCCCCACCCCACCCAGAGAGGGCATTAACCTATTAAAGAGGAATCTGCCCCCATGACCCAAACACCTCTCATTAAGCCACACTCCCAACACTGGGGATCAAATGTTAACATGAGATTTGGAGGAGAGAAACATCCAAACTATATGATGTTTGGATCAGAGGTTTTTTTCTTTATAGTTATCATGGGGCTTGTAGAAAACACCTTATGATTATAACATTCTAATTTAAGCTGATAACAATTTAACTTCAATTGCGTACAAAATCTATAT
Organism: Homo sapiens; assembly: GCF_000001405.40. NCBI lineage: Eukaryota > Metazoa > Chordata > Mammalia > Primates > Hominidae > Homo > Homo sapiens. Next base: position 80,285,280 of record NC_000005.10, read on the forward strand.
ACTTTTACTCCTACCACGCACGTTCTATACATTAACAGTGAACTCTCCAGAAAAGAAATTAAAAAAAGATCCCATTTACAATAGCACCAAAAAGAATAAAATATTTAGGAATAAATTTAACCAGGAAGGTGAAGAATCTGTACATTTAAAACTATAAGATATTGATGAAAGAAAGAGAATAAATAGAGTTGGGCATGGTGTCTCACACCTGTAATCCCAGCACTTTGGGAGTCTGAAGCAGGAGGATTGCTTGAACTCAGGAGTTCAAGAACAGCCTGGGCAATAGTGTGAGACCTCATCTCTACAAAGAAGAGGGAGAAGGAGGAGGTGGAGGAGGAGGAAGAGGAAACAACTAAATGGAAAGCTATTTCATCTTAATGGATTGGAAGAATCAATATTGTTAAAATGTTTATAGTACACAAAGCTATTTCATCTTAATGGATTGGAAGAATCAATATTGTTAAAATGTTTATAGTACACAAAGCTATCTACAGATTCAATCCCTATCAAAATTCTAATCCCTATCACAATTCTAATGCTATTCTTTACAGAAATAAATAGAAAAAGAGTCATAAAATTCATACAAAACCACGAAAAAAATCCAAATACCCAAAGCAATCTTGAGAAAGAAAAAGAATTCTGGAAACATGACACTCCCTAATTTCAAACTATATTATAAAGCTATAATAGTCAGAATAATATGATACTGGCATTAAAACAGACACATTGACCAATGAAACAATAGACAGAGCCCAGAAATAAAACTATGTATACATGGTTAACTAATCTTTGAGAAGGGTACCAAGAACATACATGGAAAAAGGAAAGTCTCTTCAATAAGTGACGTTGAAGCTGGGTGTGGTGGCTCATGCCTGTAATCCCCGGACTTTGAGAGGCTGAGGCGGGTGGATCACATGAGGTCAGGAGTTTGAGACCAGCCTGGCCAACATGGCAAAACCCCATTTCTCTTAAAACATGCAAAAATTAGCTGGGCGTGCTAGTGCACGCCTGTGATCCCAGCTACTCAGGATGCTGAAGCAGGAGAATTGCCTGAACCAGCAGAGGCTGCAGTGAGCTGAGGTCACACCACTGCACTCCAGCCTGGGCAACAGAGTGAGACTCTGTCTCAAAAAAATAAATAAATAGGGCAAGCACGGTGGCTCAGGCCTATAATCCCAGCACATTTGGAGGCCGAGGTGGGCAGATCACCTGAGGTCAGGAGTTCGAGACCAGCCTGGCCAACATGGTGAAACCCTGTCTCTACTAAAAACATAAAAATTGGCCAGGCATGGTGGCACATGCCAGCTACTTGCAAGGCTGAGGCAGGAGAATTGCTTGAACCCTGGAGGGGGTGTTGCAGTAAGCCAAGATAGCGCCACTGCATTCTATCCTGGGTGGCAGAGTGAGACTCCATCTCAAAAAAAAAAATTTTTAAATAAATAAATAAACAAATAACTGATGTTGGGAAAACTGTATGTCACATGCAAAAAAAAAAGAAATTGGACCCTTACATTATATATAAAAATTAACTGAAAATGACTTAAATGTAAGACTTGAAATATAAAACTCCCAGAAGAAAACATAGGAAAAGACTTCTTGATATTAGGGGAAAAGTTTCTTGACATTGGTCTTTATAATTATTTTTTGGCTGTGACACCAAAGCTCAGGCAATAAAAGTAAAAATAAACAAATGGAACTACATCAAACTAAACTGCTTCTGCGTAGCAAAGGAAACAACCAACAAAATGAAAAGGTAACCTATGGAATGAGGGCAAATATATGTAAACCTTACATTTGAAAAAAAGTCAATATAGGCCGGGCGCGGTGGCTCACGCCTGTAATCCCAACACTTTGGGGGGCCGAGGCGGGCAGATCACTTGAGGTCAGGAGTTCAAGACCAGCCTGGCCAACATGGTGAAACCCCATCTCTACTAAAAATACAAAAATTAGCTGGGCATGGTGGTGCACGCCTGTTATCCCAGCTACGCGGGAGGCTGAGGCAGGAGAATTGCTTGAAACTGGGAGGTGGAGGTTGCAGTGAGCCGAGGTCACACAACTTCACTTAGGCCTGGGCAATGAAGTGAGACTCTGTCTCAAGAAAAAAAAAAAGGTTAATATAAAGAAAATAAGAAACTCATACAACTTACCAGCAAAAAACCAAATAACCAAATTTTTAAAATTATTTTTATTATTTTTTTGAGAAGGAGTCTGGTTCTGTTGCCCAGGCTGGAGTGCAATGGTGAGATCTCCACTCATTGCAACCTCCGCCTCCTGGGTTCAAGCGATTCTCCTGCCTCAGCCTCCCAAGTAGCTGGGATTACAGGCACCTGCCACCACACCCGGTTAATTTTTTGAATTTTTAGTAGAGATGCGGTTTCACCATGTTGGCCAGGCTGGTCTCAGACTCCTGACCTCAGGTGATCCACCTGTCTCAGCCTCCCAAAGTGCTGGGATTACAGGCATGAGCCACTGCGCCTGGCCACAAATAACCCAATTTTTTAAAAGGGCAAAAGATCTTGAATATAGATTTTTCCAAAGAAGCTATACAAATGGCCAAAGGGTACATGAAAAAGTGCTCAACAGCACTAATTGTCAGAGAAATTCAAGTCAAAACTCCAATGACGTATTGCCTCACACCTGTTAGAATGGTTATCAAAAAGACAAGGAACATGAACTTTTGGTAAGGGTGTGGAGAAAAAAGAACTTTTGTATATTGTTGGTGGGAATGTAAGTCAGTACAACCATTATGAAAAAGAGTATGGAAGTTTCTCAAAAGTTAAAAATAGGGCCAGGTGTGGTGGCTCGCATCTGTAGTCCCGGCACTTTGGGAAGCTGAAGCAGGGGGATTGCTTGAGCCCAGGAGTTTGAGACCAGCCTCAGCAACATAGTGAGACCCCATCTCTATAAAAAAATACAAAAATTAGCCAGATGTGGTGGTATACACCTATAGTCCCAGATACTCAGGAGGCTGAGGTGGGAGGATTGCTTGAGCCCGGGAAGTGGAGGCTGCAGTGAGCTGAGATCATGCCATTGCATTCTAGCCTCTGGGCAACAGAGTGAAGCTCTGGCTAAAAATAAATAAATAAATAAATAAATAAATAAATAAATAAATAAAATTAGGTCCTAGGCAGAACTTGAGTCCTGTCCTCTTGCTTTCCTCCCCAGACAGCATGAGCTTTACCACTCACTCCACCACCTCCTCCACCAACTACTGTTCCCTGGGCTCTGTCCAGCTGCCCAGCTACGTGGCCCAGCTGGTCAGCAGTGTGGCCAGTGTCTATGCAGGTGCTGGGGGCTCAGGCTTCCAGATCTCCGTGTCCCACTCCACAAGCTTCTGGGGTGGCTTGGGGGACCTGGTGGGAATAGGGGATATCCAGAACGAGAAGGAGACCATGCAAGGCCTGAATGACTGTCTGGCCTCCTACCTGGACAGAGTGAGGAGCCTGAGAGACCGAGAAATGGAGGCTGGAGAGCAAAGTCTGGGAGCATCTGGAGAAGAAGGGACCCCAGGTCAGAGACTAGGGGCATTACTTCAAGACCATTGAGGACCTGAGGGTTCAGATCTTCGCAAGTACTATGGACAGTGCCTGCATCATTCTGCAGACTGACAAGGCCCATATAGCTGCTGATGACTTTAGAGTCAAGTGTGAGACAGAACTGGCCATGTGCCAGTCTGTGGAGAGTGACATCCATGGGCTCCGCAAGACCACTGATGACACCAATGTCACTCAGCTGCAGCTGGAGACAGAGATTGAGGCTCTCAAGGAGGAGCTACTCTTCATGAAGAAGACCCACGAAGAGGAAGTAAAAGGCCTCCAAGCCCAGATTGCCAGCTCTGGGTTGACCATGCAGGTAGATGCCCTCAAATCTCAGGACCTGGCCAAGATCATGGCAGACATCCGTGCCCAATATGACAAGTTGGCTCAGAAGAACCGAGAGGAGCTGAACAAGTACTGGTCCTAGCAGACTGAGGAGAGCACCAAGCAGTCCGCTGAGATCGGAGCTTCTGAGATAATGCTCATGGAGCTGAGACATACACTCCAGTCCTTGGAGATCAACCTGAACTCAATGAGAAATCTGAAAGCCAGGTTGGAGAACAGCCTGAGGGAGGTGGAGACCCGCTATGCCATGCAGATGGAGCAGCTCAACAGGGTTCTGCTGCACTTGAAGTTGGAGCTGGCACAGACCTGGGCAGAGGGGCAACACCAGGTCCAGGAATTTGAGGCTCTGCTGAACATAAAGATCAAGCTGGAGGCGGAGATCACTACCTACCACCACCTGCTGGAAGATGAGGAGGGCTTCAATCCTGGTGATGCCCTGGATAGCAGCAACTCCATCCAAAGCATCCAGAAGACCACCACCCACAGGATAGTGGATGGCATAGGAGGTCCCCTAGCTGTTTGAGACCAACAACACCAAAAATCCCCTAGGTGTTTGAGACCAACGACACCAAAAAAACCCTAGGTGTTTGAAACCAACGACACCAAAGTGCCGAGACATTCAGCCAGCAGAAGCAGGGTATCCTTTGGGGAGTAGGAGGCCAATAAAACATTCAGAGGTCATTGGGAAAAAAAATTTTAAATAGAAATACCATACAATCCAACAATTCCACTTCTGAGTATATATCCAAAGGAAATGGAATCAGTATCTCAAAGAGATATCTGCATTCCCATGTTAATTGCAGCATTATTCACAATAGCCAAGATATGGAAACAACCTAAGTGTCCATGGATGGATGAATGAAGAAAATTTTGGTGTATATATATACAATAGGATATCATTCAAGCCAAGTAAAAGAAGAAAATCTTGTAATATGCAACAACATTGATGAAAGCAGAAGACCTTATGCTAAGTGAAATAAGCCAGACCCAGAAAGACACATAACGTATGATTTCATTTACTTGTAGAATCTAAAAAAGTCAAACTTATAGAAGCAGAGAGTAGAACGATGGTTGCCAAAGGCTGAGGAGTAGGAGAAATGAAAAGATGTTGATCACAGGATATAAACTTTCAGCTATAAGAAGAACAATTTCTGAGCTTGGCTCAGACCCCCACGTCTAAATAAAAAAAAAAGATGAACAAGTTCTAGGGATCTACTGAACAGCAAGGGTAGTGTTGAATGTGTTAATTTGATTGTGATAATCATTACAAAATCTATACACATATATCAAATCATCATGCTGTATGCCTCGAGTATATACAATCTTTGTCAATTAATTTTTTTTTTTTAAGACAGAGTCTCACTCTGTTACCCAGGCTAGAGTGCAGTGGCAGGACCTTCGCCTCCCAGGTTCAGATGATTCTCATGCCTCAGCCTCCCGAGTAGCTGGGATTACAGACGCCCGCCACCACGCCTGGCTAATTTTTGTATTTTTTTGTTGGTTTGTTTGTTTTGTTTTGTTTTTGAGATGGAGTGTCGCTCTGTCACCAGGCTGGAGTGCAGTGGCATGATGTCAGCTCACTTCAACTTCCAACTCCCTGGTTCAAGCAATTCTCCTGCCTCAGCCTCCCGAGTAGCTGGGATTACAGGAACATGCCACCATGCCCAGCTAATTTTTCTGTATTTTTAGTAGAGACGGGGTTTCACCATGTTGGCCAGGCTGGTCTCACACTCCTAACCTCAGGTAATCTGCCCACCTCGGCCTCCCAAAGTGTTGGGATTACAGGCGTGAGCCACCATGCTTGGCCTAATTTTTGTATTTTTAATAGAGATGGGGGTTTCACCATGTTGGCCAGGCTGGTCGCGAACTCCTGACCTCAAGTGATCCACCCACCTCAGCCTCCCAAAGTGCTGAGATTACAGGCGTGAGCCACTGCCCCCGGTCTAATTTTTTTTTTTTTTTTGAGATTGTCTTGCTCCGTCACCCAAGCTGGAGTGCAGTGATGCCATCACAGTTCACTTTGACTTTGAACCCCTTGGGCTCAAGCAATCCTTCTGCCCTAGCCTCCCGAGTAGCTGGGACTACAGGTGTGTACCACCACACCTGGATAATATATTTTTTTTTCTTTGAGACAGGGTCTCAATCCCATTGCCCAGGCTGGAGTGCAGTTGCACAATCATGGTTCACTGCAGCCTTTACTTCCCTGATTCAGGTGATCCTCCCACCTCAGCCTCCTGCACAGCTGGGGACTATAGGCACATGCCACCATGCCTGGCTAATTTTTGTATTTTTTTGTAGAGACAGGGTTTTGCCTTGTTGCCCAGGCTGATCTCAAATTCCTGAGCTCAGGCAATCTGCCTGCCTCAGTCTCCCAGAGCGCCGAGATTACAGGCATGAATCACCACACCTGGCCGCACCTATTTTAAAAAGAGAGAGACTTGAATACTTGCAACAGGAAGCAGAAGACTGAAGTGAGTTCGGTGATCCAATCGAACGTTGTCAGAAATTTCCAGAAGACATAGCAAGTGCTCTTGTTCACAAAGAAAATGAAATTCAAGTTTTGAGTAATGGCATTGTGCAGCTGAAATAGCTGCAGGTGACCAGACTGAGAAATTAAAAAACAGATGATGAATGTCTCACAAAAGGAATCTTTGTTAACAATAGTTGAAAACTACATAGACCATTTCTAATCCGAACTGAGTGCTGAGTTGATAGCTTGGCAGGGGCTGGGAAGCAGAGAAGTTGGAACACAACTCTCGCTTGTTGCATCAAGCCATAGATCTGCTAGAAAATGAATATAAAACCTTACAGCAAGGCCAGGCGCGGTGGCAGAGGCTGCAGAGAGCCGAGATCGTGTCACTGCACTCCAGCCTGGGTGACAGAGTGAGACTCCGTCTAAACAACAACAAAAAAGAATGGGAAGGGAAGAGAAAGATAAGACATACCAGCTATAGAGTAGGTAAAATTCTGCAAGTACAGAATTCGAGGAATGGAGGATGAAGGGCAGAAAGCAAAAGATCTTAGCCAGGTTTCTCTTGGTGCTAAGAAAGGCTGTGACAGCTAGTTGACAGCACATACCCTAGAATGAGCTCTAACTGGCAAGAAGATGCAAGCTGCTAGACTGAGACAAATCAAAATTAAATATTTTTGTCCAAAAAACTGGGAATTTCCAACAAACTCCAGGAAGACCAAAATGACAAAATCTTTCAGAGAGAGGTTTAGTAATCCAAGATTGATTGTTGGCCCACCCTTTGAACCTGGTGAAAGCCTCCGCTGTTACTGATATTGTACCCATATGGAATATCTTACTCTTGTTTTTTTTTTTTCTTTTGAGACAGAGTCTTGCACTGTCACCCAGGCTGGAGTACAGTGCCGTGATCTTGGCTCACTGCAACCTCTATCTCCCGGGTTCAAGCAATTCTTGTGCCTCAGCCTCCCAAGTGGCTGAGACTACAGGCATGCACCACCACACTTGGCTAATTTTTGTAATTTTTGTAGAGATGGGGTTTTGCCATGTTGGCCAGGCTGGTCTCAAAACTCCTGACCTCAAGCAATCTACCCGTCTTGGCCTCCCAAAGTGCTGGGATTACAGGCGTGAGCCACCACGCCCAGCCTCACTCTGGTGTCAGTGAAACAGATGTGTTAAAGTGAACCTGTGTCTGTGGATGGTCCTATACCTAGTCCCCGGTGACCATTTCAGGTATCTAAAACAGTATCTATCTCTCATCTGCATCTTGGGATAGCTTCATCGGTAAACCTGACTGGGGAAACTCACCAACTTCTTACATTTATTCATTCTTTCTACAAAATGTTATTAAGTGCCTTTCATGACTCATGGATTTTGTTAAGTGTTGGAGATAGAACACAGAACAAGACAACATTCTAGTCTTTGTAGAACTTACATTCTAATAGAGGAAACAGACAAGTAATAGAGAAACTGATAATACAATTTCAGGCAGGGATAAGGGTTATAAGGAAAACTAAGCAGAGGAAAGGGGTAGTCATGGGAATGCTACTTTATATATGGTGGTCAGAGAAGGCTGCCTAAGGAGACAGACATGAATGGACAGAGGAAGGGAACTATGTGAAGACCCAGGAAAGGTCACCCAGGCAGAGAGAATAGTCAGTGCAAAGGCCTTGAGCCAGAAGCATGTTGGATATGTTGGAAAAATAGCTTTGTTTCTGAATCTAAAATAAAAGTTGGAGAGGGGGAAAAAAAAAGATGTTCTTAAAGTAAAAAAGGCAGCCCACAGAATGGGAGGAAATATTTGCAAACCATTGATTTGAAAAGGGGCTAGTACTTAGAATATATAAAGAACACTTACAACTCAACAATAAAAACACAAATAACTCATTTTAAAAATTGGCAAGATATTTGAATAGATATTTCTCCAAAGAAGGTATGAAAATGTCTGATAAGTATATGCAAAACAATAAACATCACTATTCATTAGGGAAATGCTAATCAAAACCAGAATGAGGGCTGGGCACAGTGGCTCACACCTGTAATCCCAGCACTTTGGGAGGCTGAGATGGGTGGATCACCTGAGGTCAGGAGTTCAAGATCAGCCCGGCCAACATGGTGAAACCCTGTCTCTACTAAAAATGCAAAAATTAGCTGAGCATGGTGGTGCGCGCCTGTAATCCCAGCTACTTGGGTGGCTGAGGCACAAGAATCGCTTGAACCAGGGAGGTGGAGGTTGCAGTGAGCCCAAATCGTGCCACTGCACTCCAGCTTGGGCAACAGAGTAAGACTTTGTCTCCAAAACAAACAACAACAACAACAACAAAAAACAACCAGAATGACATATCACTTTACACACACTGGAATGGCTAAAATTTAAAAAGATAATAATAAATGTTGACAAGAATATGGAGAAATTGGAACTCTCTTACATTGCTGGTGGGATTGTAAATTGGTATTATGACTTTGGGAAACTATCTGGCAGTTCTTCTGAATGTTAAACACACAGTTACTGCATGGCCTAGTAATTTTACTCCCAAGTAGAACTGAGCTTAGGTAACTGGCTACAGTTGCTGGGCTAACCAAGAGTGGTGAAAACATATGTCCACACAAAAACCTGTACATGAGTGTTCATAGTGAAACATCATTCATAGTAGCCAAAAAGTGAAAACAACACAAATGTCCATCAGTTGATGAATGGATCAGTTTTGAGACAGGATCTCACTCTGTTGCCCAGACTGGAGTGCAGTAGCTCAATCGCAGATCACTGCAGCCTCGACCTCCTGGGCTCAAGTAATCCTCCCACCTCAGCCTCCCAACTGGAACTACAGGCATGTGCTACCACACCAGCTAATGTTTAAAAATTTTTTTGTAGAGAAAAGGTCTTGCTGTTGCCCAGGATGGTCTCAAACTTCTGGGCTCAAGCAATCTTCCTGCCTTGGACTCTTAAAGTGCTGGAATTACAGTCATGAACCACCATGCCTGCCGACAAGAGAAATTTTTATTAGAAAATCATAATTCATTGAGTGCTTACCAAATGCCAGACATGGTGTTCAGCACTTATGGCAACCTGTTCCAGGGGTACATATTGTTACAATCTCCATGCAACACTTGAGGAAACTGAGGCTCTGATATTAGGTAGCTGGCTATGGTTGCTGGGCTAGTGAGTGGCCAAGCCAGGATTTGAATTTAGGCTGTCTGACTTCAAAACTTGTTCTGGGTCTGCGTGTCTGGAATGGCCAACAGTGTAAAACACGGCTGAGGACCAGTTAATAAAGAAGGAAAGTTGTCCTTTGGGTTTATTAGCAAGGAAATCTTTGGGGGACTTGGTAAAGTTCTGGGCAAGAGGGCCGATTCTAATGGTTTGAAGAGTGAGTAGGAGTGAGGAAATAGAAAGTGCTCAGCAGTTTGCCTGGAAAGTGCGGAGAGATGGGGCCCTATCTGGAGGATGAATGTGGTGGCAGTGCTATTGCTTTTTATTTTTTGGCAATTTCAGCACATGTAAGTAGTGAAAAACATCTTTGAGGAGGTGAAAAGGCCCAGTATGGTGTTCTGGGCCCAGAGGAAGTAAGAAAGAAAAGATGGAGACTGGGGGCAGTGACACGCACCTGTAATCCCAGCACTTTGGGAGGCTGAGGTGGGTGGATCGCTTGAGCACAGGAGTTGGAGACCAGGCTGGATAACATGGCAAGATCCCTGTCTCCACAAAAGAAACAAAAATTAGCCAGGCATGATGGCATGCATCTGTGGTCTCAGCTACTTGGGAGGCTGAGGTGGGAGGATTGCTTGAGCCCAGGAGGCAGAGGTTGAAGTGGGGTCAAGTTCATGCCACTGCACCCCAGCCTGATAACAGAGTGAGATCCTATCTCAAAGCAAAACAAAACAACAACAACAACAAAGGAAAACATGGAATAGCTCCTAGTACTGACAGTCAAGAGAACTGAAATCTGACACCTAGAGTCAAGCTACTTTGGTTCTTAACTCTTGTGTTGATTTCATTGTGTGCCCTTTTTACTTTTTTATTTATTTATTTTTTGAGACAGAGTCTCACTCTGTTGCCCAGGCTGGAGGGCAGTGGTGCGATCTTGCAGGCTCCGCCTCCCAGGTTCATGCGATTATCCCACCTCAGCCTCCTGCGATTATCCCACCTCAGCCTCCCGAGTAACTGGGATTATAGGGGCCCACCACCACACCGGCTAATTTTTGCATTTTTAGTAGAGATGAGGTTTCATCGTGTTGTCCAGGCTGGCCTTTTTACTTTAGCAATCGAAGCTTGTCTTTAGAAATTAAGAAGCCAGAATTGATGACTAAGGAACATCATTGTAATTAGGAAGGAAGATTAATTATTTACATCATTCAAGCCCTCTGCAATTCGTTTAATGTAGTTTCATAATCATTTGTCTTATTAATTACCATAAAAGCATGCCAATATTAGGTTTATACCATGTCATCTTTATAATCTCTCTGTCTTCAGAGCTTCCTAAACACTTTGAGACACTATGCAGAAGTTACAAACTGCCTGGTTTAATTGGGCCAGTAGTGAGGTCTAAATGAAGACTACGGGAGAAACTCTACTGATTTTCAAATTTGGCTGCACATGGAAATCTACCAGGAACTTTAAAAAGTGCTGATGCCTGAGTTTCAGTCTGAAGATTGTATTCAAATTTAACTGATGCTTTTTATAGACCTTTTTTTTCCAGTCATGATCCAGTCCAGGATTGCATATTTTATTTCGTTTTCAGGCTGGTTAGTCTCCTTTAAACAGTTCCCCAGTCTTTCTTTGCTTTCATGATCTTGATTTTTTTTTTTTTTTTTTTTTGAGACGGAATTTCGCTCTTGTTGCCCAGGCTGGAGTGCAATGGCACGATCTTGGCTCACCACAACGTCTGCCTCCCTGGTTCAAGCAATTCTCCTGCCTCAGCCTCCCGAGGAGCTGGGATTACAGGCGCCTGCCACCATGCCTGCCTAATTTTTGTATTTTTAGTAGAGATGAGGTTTCGCCATGTTGGCCAGGCTGGTCTCACACTCCTGACCTCAGGTGATCCACCCAACTCAGCCTCCCGAAGTGCTGGGATTACAGGCATGAGCCACCGCGCCCAGCCACTATCTTGACTTTTTTGAATAGTCCAGTTATTTTATAGACTGTCCTGGCCGAGTGCAGTGGCTCACACCTGTAATCTCAGCACTTTGGGAGGCCGAGGCAGGCAGATCACAAGGTCAGGAGATCGAGACCATCCTGGCTAACACGGTGAAACGCCGTCTCTACTAAAAATATAAAAAATTAGCTGGGCGTTGTGGCAGGCGCTGTCACAGCTGTAGTCCCAGCTACTTGGGAGGCTGAGGCAGAATAGCTTGAACCTGGGAGGCGGAGGTTGCAGTGAGCCAAGATCACGCCACTGCACTCCAGCCTGGCGACAGCATTTAGACAGACTCCGTCTAAAAAAAAAAAAGTCCTTCAATTTTGTTTTCTTCTGACATTTCCTCATACTTAGATTTGTATTACACATTTTGGCTATGGTTACCATAGAAGTGACATGTCCTTCTCAGTGCATCACACAGGGGGCACAGAAAAATTTATTTGTCCCTTTACTGGTGATGTTAACTTCAATCACTTGGTTAAGGTGATGGCTGCCAGATTTCCCCACTGTGAAGTTACTTTTATTCCTTCCCCCTTTCCATATCCTACTTTTTGGAAGTAAATTATTCAGCATAGGCACAGTCTAATTGCATCCCTTTATCTTTGACCTCCTTGTTGATTTTTTTTTTTAAATTTCATACATTAAGTTTTCATACATCCTTTTTGTTATAGATTCTATGGGTTTGATAAATGCTTAAAGTCCTAGATCCATCCCTGCAGTACCATATGGGTTAGTTTCATCACCCTAAAGAATAGCCTATGCAGCTGGGCACAGTGGCTCACGCCTATAATCCCAGCACTTTGGGAGGCCGAGGTGGGCAGATCACCTGAGGTCAGGAGTTCAAGATCAGCCTGACCAACATAGAGAAACCCCATATCTACTAAAACTACAAAATTAGGTGGGCATGGTGGCACATGCCTGCAATCCCAGCTACTCAGGAGGCTGAGGCAGGAGAATCGCTTGAATCCAGGAGGCAGAGGTTGCGGTGAGCCGAGATCACGCCATTGCACTCCAGCCTGGGCAACGAGAGCGAAACTCTGTCTCAAAATAAATAAATAAATAAAAATAAAGAACAGCCTGTGCTTTCCCTAGTTAACTTCTCCTTTTCCTAGTCCCTAGAAACCACTGATCCATTTTCCATCCCTACAGTTTGGCCATTTCTAGAATGTCTTGTGAAGGGAATTATTCAATATATAGCATTTCTAGTCTGTTTTATTCCCCCTTAGCAAAATTCCCTTAAGATTCATCCATGTGGCCGGGCATGGTGGCTCACATGTGTAATCTTAGCACTTTGGGAGACCAAGGCAGGTGGATCACCTGAGGTCAGGAGTTCAAGACCAGACTGGCCAACAAGGCAAAACCTGTCTCTACTAAAAATACAAAAATTAGCTGGGCATGGTGGCAGGCGCCTGTAATCCCAGCTACTCAGGAGGCTGAGGCAGGAGAATTGCTTGAACCTGGAAGGCGGAGGTTGCAGTGAGCAGAGATCATGCCATTCACTCCAGCCTGGGTGAAAGAGTCAGACTCCATCTCAAAAAAAAAAAAAAAGGCCGGGTGCAGTGGCTCACACCCGTATTCCCAGCACTTTGGGAGGCCAAGGCGGGTGGATCACCTGAGGTCAGGGTTTCAAGACCAGCCTGGTCAACATGGTGAAACCCTATCTCTACAAAAATACAAAAAATTAACTGGGCATGACGGTGGGTGCCTGTAATCCCAGCTACTCAGGAGGCTGAGGTGGGAGAATCACTTGAACCCAGGAGGCAGAGGTTGCAGTGAGCCGAGATCATGCCACTGCACTCCAGGCTGGGTGACAGAGTGAGACTGTCTCAAACAACAACAACAAAAAGATTCATCCATGCTACTGTGTGGATAAATAGTATTTCCCATTTTTTCTTGCTGAATAGTTTTCCATCATATGTGCCACATTTTGTTTACCCATTCACTTATTGAAGGACATCTTGGTTGCTTCTGGTTTTGGATAATTATGAATAAATCTGTTATAAACATTCACGTACAGGTTTCTGTGTGGACGTGTTTTCAAATCAGGTGGTTTTGAAAACCTAGGAGAAAGACTACTAGGTCATATGGTAAGTCTATGTTGAACATTAAAAACTGGGAAACTGTCTTCCAACATGGCTGTATCATTTTTGCATTCCCATTAGCAATGAAAGACAGTACCGATGTTTCAAATCCTTGACAGCATTTGTTATTGTTAGTTCATTTCTTATCTTAAATATTCTGATGTGTATGTAGTGGCATCTTATGTTTTGTACTTTGCCTTTCTCTAAATGAAAAACGATGTTGACAGCATCTTTTCTTTCTTTTTTTTTTTTTTTTAAGGTGTACACTTTTATTCAACTGGTCTCAAGTTAGTGTACAGGTAAGTCCTGGCTGCATCCACGCACTTCCAGGGAGACCAAAAGCCTTCATACATCTTAAGTTGGGGGAAAAGAAATGGGGAGCCACGAAGGCTGATCATTCAAAATAAAACAAAGTAAAAAAGTATTAAGGTGAAGATTTTTTAAAAATTGTATTACATAATTTACACGAAAGCAATGCTATCACCTCCCCTGTGTGGACTCCGGAGAGGACTGGGCCATTCTCCTTAGAGAGAAGTGAGGTGGCTTTTAGGAGGGCAAGGGACTTCCTGTAACAATGCATCCCATGATATTTGGAATGACTATCAAAAAAAAGAACAACGTACAATCAAAGTCCTCGGCCACATTGTAGAACTTTGGGGGATGCTCGCTCCAACCGACTGCTGTCACCTTCACCGTTCCAGTTTTTAAATCCTGAGTCAAGCCAAAAGAAAACTCCAGCCACAAAAAAAACAAAGTCACACCAATCTCATCTTGTTTTTAGTGCAAGTTAGGTTTTGTCAAGAAAGAGTGTAATGCAACTAAGTCACAGTCCACCTAGAAGCATTTGCGGTGGACGATGGAGGGGCTGGACTCACTGTACTCCTGCTTGCTGATCCACATCTGCTGGAAGGTGGACAGCGAGGCCAGGATGGAGCCTCTGATCCACACAGAGTACTTGCACTCAGGAGGAGCAATGATCTTGATCTTCATTGCGCTGGGCGCCAGGGCGGTAATCTCCTTCTGCATCCTGTTGGTGATGCTAGGGTACATGGTGGTGCTGCCAGACAGCACTGTGTTGGCATACAGGTCTTTGTAGATGTCCACATCCGACTTCATGATGGAGTTGAAGGTAGTTTCGTGGATGCCACAGGATTCCATGCCCACGAAGGAAGTTTGGAAGAGTGCCTCGGGGCAGCAGAACCACTTGTTGCTAATGGTGATGACCTGGCCATTGGGCAGCTTGTAGCTCTTCTCCAGGGAGGAGCTGGAGCCCACCATGGCCATCTCCTGCTCAAAGTCCAGGGGGATGTAGCACAGCCTTTTCTTGATGTCACACACAATTTCCTGCATGACTGTGGTGGTGAAGCTGTAGCCACACTGGGTGAGGATCTTCATGAGGTAGTCAGTCAGGTTCCGGCCAGTCAGGTCCAGACACAGGATGGTGTGGGGGAGGGGTGTACCCTTCATAGATGGGCACAGTGTTGGTGACCCCATCACCGGAGTCCATCACAATGCCAGCTATGGCCAGAGGCGTACAGGGACAGCACGGCCTGGATGGCCACGTATATGGCTGGGGTGTGAAGGTCTCAAACATGATCTAAGTCATCTTCTCGCAGTTGTCCTTGGGGTTCAGAGGGGCCTCAGTCAGCAACACAGCGTGCTCCTCAAGAGCCACACCCGGCTCGTTGTAGAAGGTGTGGTGTCCCTCTCCCTCTCCCTCTCCCTCTCCCCACGGTCTCCCTCTCCCTCTCTCCCCACGGTCTCCCTCTGATGCCGAGCCGAAGCTGGACTGTACTGCTGCCATCTCGGCTCACTGCAACCTCCCTGCCTGATTCTCCTGCCTCAGCCTGCCGAGTGCCTGCGATTGCAGGCGCGCGCCGCCACGCCTGACTGGTTTTCGTATTTTTTTGGTGGAGACGGGGTTTCGCTGTGTTGGCCGGGCTGGTCTCCAGCTCCTAACCGCGAGTGATCCGCCAGCCTCGGCCTCCCGAGGTGCCGGGATTGCAGACGGAGTCTGGTTCACTCAGCGCTCAATGGTGCCCAGGCTGGAGTGCAGTGGCGTGATCTCGGCTTGCTACCACCTCCACCTCCCAGCCGCCTGCCTTGGCCCCCCAAAGTGACGAGATTGCAGCCTCTGCCCGGTCGCCACCCCGTCTGGGAAGTGAGGAGCGTCTCTGCCTAGCTGCCCATCGTCTGGGATGTGAGGAGCCCCTCTGCCTGGCTGCCCAGTCTGGAAAATGAGGAGCGTCTCTGCCCGGCCGCCATCCCATATAGGAAGTGAGGAGCGCCTCTTCCCGACCGCCATCCCATCTAGGAAGTGAGGAGCGTCTCTGCCCGGCCGCCCATCGTCTGAGATGTGGGGAGCACCTCTGCCCCGCCACCCCGTCTGGGATGTGAGGAGCGCCTCTACCCGGCCGCGACCCCGTCTGGGAGGTGAGGAGCGTCTCTGCCCGGCCGCCCCGTCTGAGAAGTGAGGAGACCCTCCGCCTGGCAACCGCCCCGTCTGAGAAGTGAGGAGCCCCTCCACCCGGCAGCCGCCCTGTCAGAGAAGTGAGGAGCCCCTCTGCCCGGCAGCCACCCCGTCTGGGAAGTGAGGAGCGTCTCCGCCCGGCAGCCACCCCGTCCGGGAGGGAGGTCGGGGGGTCAGCCAGCCGCCCCGTCCGGGAGGGAGGTGGGGGGGTCAGCCCCCCGACCGGCCAGCCGCCCTGTCCGGGAGGGAGGTGGGGCCGGGAGGGAGGTGGGGCGGGTCAGGCCCCCGCCCGGCCAACCGCCCTGTCCGGGAGGTGAGGGGCGCCTCTGCCCGGCCGCCCCTACTGGGAAGTGAGGAGCCCCTCTGCCCGGCCAGCCGCCCCGTCCGGGAGGGAGGTGGGGGGGTCAGCCCCCCGCCCGGCCAGTCGCCCCGTCAGGGAGGTGAGGGGCGCCTCTGCCCAGCTGCCCCTACTGGGAAGTGAGGAGCCCCTCTGCCCGGCTGCCACCCCGTCTGGGAGGTGTGCCCAGCAGCTCATTGAGAATGGGCCATGATGACAATGGCGGTTTTGTGGAATAGAAAGGGGGGAAAGGTGGGGAAAAGATTGAGAGGTTGGATGGTTGCTGTGTTTGTGTGGAAAGAGGTAGACATGGGAGACTTCTCATTTTGTTCTGTACTAAGAAAAATTATTCTGCCTTGGGATCCTGTTGATCTGTGACCTTACCCCCAACCCTGTGCTCTCTGAAACATGTGCTGTGTCCACTCAGGGTTAAATGGATTAAGGGCGGTGCAAGATGTGCTTTCTTAAACAGATGCTTGAAGGCAGCATGCTCGTTAAAAGTCATCACCACTCCCTAATCTCAAGTACCCCGCGACACAAACACTGCGGAAGGCCGCAGGGTCCTCTGCCTAGGAAAACCAGAGACCTTTGTTCACTTGTTTATCTGCTGACCTTCCCTCCACTATTGTCCTATGACCCTGCCGAATCCCCCTCTGCGAGAAACACCCAAGAATGATCAATAAAAAAAAATAAAAAAATAAAAATAAAAAATAAAAAAAAAAAAAGAAACTATCCAATCCTCAGCCTGCTCGGCTGCTTACTCTGTTTCACCCATGCCTTCTGTGAAAACAACAGTAAAGGTTTTGCCCAGGCTTTTTCCTCATTCTGCTGCTTCCTGATTGACCTCGTTCTTCCCTGTGTGGCCCCTCATGGTGTGACATGCCCCTTTCTCTTGGAAACTGTAATAAACTTTTCTTTTAAAGGAAAAAAAAAAAAAAAAAAAAGAAGGTGTGGTGTCAGATCTCCATGTCATCCCAGTTGGTGATGATGCTATGCTCAATGGGGTACTTCAGGGTCAGGATGCCTCTCTTGCTCTGGGCCTCATCCACATAGGAGTCCTTCTGACCCATGCCCACCATCATGCCCTGGTGCCATGATGAAGGGGAAGGCAGCCCGGGGGACACCATCGCTCGCAAAGCTAGCCTTGCATATGCCAGAGCCATTGTTGAATACGAGAGCAGTGATATCGTCATGCATGGTGAGCTGGCAGCAGGTGTGGATGGGCGGCGGAGTGGAGAGGGCGAGGCTCTGTGCTCGTGGGGAGGATGCAGTCTTGGCTTCTTTTGTTTTGTTTGTTTTTTGAGATGGAGTTTCGCTTTTGTTGCCCAGGCTGTAGTGCAATAGTGCAATCTCGGCTCACTGTAACCTCTGCCTCCTGGGTTCAAGCGATTCTCCTGCCTCAGCCTCCCAAGTAGCTGGGATTATAGGCATGCGTCACCAAGCCCGGCTAATTTTTTGTATTTAGTAGAGACAGGGTTTCACAATGTTGGTTAGGCTGGTCTCAAACTCCTGACCTTAGGTGATCCACACGCCTCGGCCTCCCAAAATGCTGGGATTACAGGTGTGAGCCACCGCCCTGGCCAACAGCATCTTTTCATGTTCTTATTTGTCATTCATATATCTCCTCTGTTGAAGTGTTCTATTCAGATATTTTGTCCATTTAAAAAATTGAGTTCTTTTCCTATTGTTGCATTTGAAGAATTCTTTATATATTGGATATATGTCCCTTATCATGTAAACCAAAAAGTATCTGAGACAAGTCTCAATCAATTTAGAAGCTTATTTTGCCAAGGCTAGGGATTGTGACTGGTGACACAGCCTCAGGAGGTCCTGGGAACATGTGCCCAAGGTGGTTGGGTTACAGCTTGACTCTATACCTTTTAGGGGGACAGAAGTTATAGGCACACATCAATCAATGTAAGGTGTACATTGGTTCAGTCTGGAAAAGTGGGACACACCTGTAATTCCAGCTACTCGGGAGGCTGAGGCAGGAGAATCGCTTGAACCCGGGAGGTAGAGGTTGCAGTGACCTGAGATCACACTATTGCACTCCAGTCGACAGAGCAAGACTCCGTCTCAAAAAAAAAAAAAAAGAAAAAGAAAAAGAAAATTGGGACAACTTGAAGTGAGGACGGGGACGGTTCCTGGTCATAGGTGGATTCAAAGATTTTATGGTTGGCAGTTGGTTGAAAAAAATTATGTTATTATCTAAAGACCTGGAATCAACAGAAAGGAACTCTGGATTAAGATAAGCGGTTGGCCAAGTGCGGTGGCTCATGCCTGTAATCCCAGCACTTTGGGAGGCCGAGGTAGGTGGATCACCCGAGGCCCAGGAAATCGAGGCTGCAGTGAGCTGAGATTGCACCACTGCCCTCCAACCTGGGTGATAGAGTGAGACCCTGTCTCAAAAAAAAGGTGCTAGACTCTTAGTTAATCTCTCCTGAGTCAGGAAAAGTTCTGGAAAGGGAAGGAGGTTCTCTACAGAATGTAGATTTCCCCCATAAGAGTCGTTTTGCAGGGCCATTTAAAAAATACATCAAGGAAGCCGGGCACGGTGGCTCACACCTGTAATCCCAGCACTTTGGGAGGCCGAGGCGTGTGGATCACGAGGTCAGGAGATTGAGACCATCCTGGCCAACATGGTGAAACCCAGTCTTTAATAAAAATACAAAAATTAGCTAGGCGTGGTGGTGCGTGCCTGTAATCCCAGCTACTCGGGAGGCTGAGGCAGGAGAATCACCTGAACCAGGGAGTCAGAGGTTGCAGTGAGCCGAGATCATGCCACCGCATGCCAGCCTGGTGACAGAGACTCCATCTCAAAAACAAAAACAAAAAAAACCCAAAAAATATATATTTCAGGGTAAAATACTTCACTTTCAGGGCCTGCTATCTGGCATGTGATGTTATACTAGAGTCAGGTTGGAATTTGGTGTATTATTGCTACGAAGAGTCAGCTTTGTTAGCTGACAGTTTAAAAGCTCTGTTTTAATGTTAATGCTGGTCAGCTGTGCCTAAATTCCAAGGAGAGAGGGTATAACGAGGCAATCACTTCAACAAATCCCTTCTTCCCATCACGGCCTGAAATAGTTTTTCAGGCCTCCTTTGGAATGCCCTTGGCTGATGGGGGTCCATTCACTTGGTTCAGAGTCTGAGAATGTTATTTTTGGTGTAGGATCATATATACCAAAATCTACTGCAGAAGATTTTATAGGCAGATTTTATACGTAATTTGCAATTTTTTCTTCCAGTCTGTGGCTTGTCATTTTGTTCACAATGTCTTTCACAAGTGAAAGTTTTTAATTTCTAGAACGTCCAATTTATTAAATCTTTCTTTCATAGATTATGCTTTTGGTATTGTATCTAAAAAGTCATTGCCAAATCAGGAGTCACAAAGACTTTCTCCTGTGTTTTCTTCTAGCCGTTTACAGCTTTGTATTTCATATTTAATTTTTTTTTTTTTTTTTTGAGACAGGGTCTCTCTCTGTCACCCAGGTTGGAGTGCAGTGGCACGATCTCTGCTCATTGCAACCTCCGCCCCCCTGGGCTCAAGCGATCTTCCCACCATAGCCTCCCAAGTAGCTGGGAGTTGCCATGTTGCCCAGGCTGGTCTCGAACTCCTGAGCTCAGGCAACCCGCCCACCTCAGGCTCCTGAAGTGTTGAAATTACAGGCGTGAGCCACCGTGCCCGGCCTGTATTTCATATTTAAATCTATGATTCATTTAAAGTTAATTTTCGTCTAAGGTGTGAGATATGTGTCAAAGTTTATTGTTTTTGCATATAGATGTCCAATTTGTTCATCACCATTTGCTGAAAAAGACTATTTCTTCATTGAATTGCCTTTCTATCTTTGATAAAAATCAGTTGACTATATTAGTGTGGTTCTATTTCTGAGCTCTCTCTTTTGTTTCACTGGTTTATGTGTCTGTCCTTTCTTTTTTTTTTTTTTGAGACGGAGTTTCCGCTCTTGTTGCCCAGGGTGGAGTGCAATGGAACGACCTTGGCTCTCTGCAACCTCTGCCTCCCAGGTTCAAGCAATTCTCCTGCCTCAGCCTCCCAAGTAGCTGGGATCAAATGCATATGCCGCTACAGCTGGCTGATTTTGTATTTTTAGTAGAGATGGGGTTTCACCATGTTGGCCAGGCTGGTCTCAAACTCCTGACCTCAGGTGATCCACCCTCCTTGGGCTCCCAAAGTGCTGGGATTACAGGCGTGAGCCATTGTGCCTGACTTTATGTGTCTATCCTTTCACACTGCCTTGATCACTGTCAGTGAATATGAGCCTTCCTACTTCATTCTCCTTTTCCAAGATTGCTTTGGTTATTCTAGATCCCTTGAATTTCCATATGAATTTTAGGATCAGCTTGTCGATTTCTTCCCCCCACAGTCCCCAACTGGCTTGCTTTTCATTGTCTTAACCTTCAAGCTTTTACTTAAGTGTAATCAACCAGGTGAGGGTGGTAGGAGGTATTTCTCAACACTTCTCATGTATACTCAAATTTTGGGTTCTTGTTTGGAGTAAAACAGGCTCTTCACTGTTTACAAGGTTATTTCTGATCTGCGAAACTTCTCTGTCCATATTTTTCCTCTGTTTTCCTCTATTCAGTCTTGGCTACCACAATAAGACAGACAGAAAGGACAATGACACCTTTTTCTTGCATCTGTAGTGAGAACCTTAGCAGCACCCAGTAATTGCACTAGGTCTGTCAAACAGATGTATAGCTTGTCAATTTTGGCAAGAGGCAGCTGGGATTTTGAAAGGGATTATGTTGAATCAGTGAATCAATTTAGGAAATATTGCTATCTTAACAATATTAAGTCTCCAAATCCATGAAAGTGAGATATTTTTCCATTTATTTGAAGTTTTAATATCGTTCAACACTGTTTTAGAGTTTTCAGAAGTATTGCACTTCTTTTGTTACATTTATTTCTATGTAGAGTTGATTCTCATCATTTGCAGCAATCACAATCTATGAAGTCACTCCAAACATTGAACTAGTGATTACTATAGCTTTTGGAGCAATACACAGTGAGGTTCTTGTGAGCCTCCGGTCTCAACATTTTTGTCAGTTGAAATGCCATTTGTGTTACATAGGTTTGTTTGCCAGTGCCCTTGTAAAACAAGCCAGTCCCATCAGTGTTGAAAGCCTGCTCTTCCTCATAATCCTCTTTCTTTTTTTTTTTTTTTTGAGACAGCGTCTCACTCTGTTGCCCAGGCTGAGTGCAGTGGTGCCATCTCGGCTCACCACAACCTCTGCCTCCCAGGTTCAAGTGATTCTCCTGCCTCAGCCTCCCAGGTAGCTGGGATTACAGGTGAGTGCCACCACATCCAGCTAATTTTTGTATCTTTAGTAGAGATGGGGTTTCACCATATTGGCCAGGCTGGTCTCGAACTCCTGACCTCAGGTGATCCACCCACCTCGACCTCCCAAAGTGCTGGGATTACAGGCGTGAGCCACTGCACCTGGCCTCATAATCCCTTTTCTGTATAACACTTAGCAGGTATTTTTAAAAATTCTTCTGTAGCCTCCTGTCTGCAGAACCTGCCTCTCCAGCAACTTTAAAGAGGCAGGAGACTTGGACTCTGATCCCAACTCTCATCATAACTAGCTGTAACGTTGGGCAAGTCTCTTAGAAAAAAGAAAAAAGACTTTGGATGAGAATATCACTAAGGTTCCACTTTATAGAGTTCAGGTATTATGCCACCTAAAAAGGTAACATTTGTGGCCGGGCGCGGTGGCTCACGCCTGTAATCCCAGCACTTTGGGAGGCTGAGGCGGGTTGATCACGAGGTCAGGAGATCGAGACCATCCTGGCTAACATGGTGAAACCCCGTCTCTACTAAAAAAAAAATACAAAAAATTAGCCGGGCGTGGTGGCGGGTGCCTGTAGTCCCAGCTACTCGGGAGGCTGAGACAGGAGAATGGCATGAACCCGGGAGGCGGAGCTTGCAGTGAGCCGAGATCGCGCCACTGCGCTCCAGCCTGGGCGACAGAGTGAGACTCCTCCGTCTCAAAAAAAAAAAAAAAAAAAACAAACAAAAAGTAACATTTGTAGAGTAATTTTTAAAGCTCATAGCACCACCTGGTGGTTACAGAAAAGGACACGCTCCGGAAAGGAGATTCTGTATGTTTTGATTTTTGAATAAAAATTTCAATTTTCAGATAATTTCCCCTCTAAACTGGCTACCTATAGGTGCACTACTACATCTAAACGCATCATAAAATTATGCTTAAAATCTCACCCTGCATAGAATTCCTTGCGAATGTAAAGACTCTAACCCTTGGATAGTTATCACCAATCAGCAGCTATTATTCTCTCTTTTTATTTATTTATTTATTTATTTATTTATTTATTTATTTTGGAGAGATAACATCTCACTATGTTGCCCAGGCTGGTCTCGAACTCCTGTACCCAAGAGATCCTCCCACTTCAGCCTCCCAAAGTAATAGGATTACAGGTGTGAGCCACCATGCCCTGCCAGCTATTATTCTTTGGTTTTAAAGAAACCTATTAAACAATTACATAAAATAAATTTTTTATTATACCAAAACATTTCCATATTAAAGTTTTTCATATGAGAAATGACTCTGTCAGAGGCACCAACAGATGCCTACCACATTGGGCATAAAACACAATAATAACAGTTTATATCTATTTGTGTTTGTCTTATTTCTAATCATTATTAGATTGAGGTGATGCAATTTTGGTAAAAATGCCACAGAAGTGGTAAGTTCTTAGTGTATCATTTTGAAGCAGCATCGTCTGTGGTAAACACCTGGGGTTCGTCATCTTGCGCCAAGAAAATTAAGGACAGGGACATGTGGGTGGGTTAAGGAGTGTAAAGTTTAATAGGTAGAAGAAAGGAAAGAGGAGAGCAGCTCCTTGGGTGACAGAGGCTGGAAAACAGAGAATAGCAGCTGATTGCCGCAGATTTTATAGGCAGGCTTGAGAAGGCGGCAGCGTGTGATTTACCCGGGCTCACATATTGGTTTGACCAGGTGTGACACTTACATAGAGGCCGGGGAAAGCTGGTCGCCCCACCCTAATCTTGTTATGCAAATGAGCTTTCCACTGGGCTGGCGCCATCTTGTCTGTTCCTTATGGTACACGTGGCTGGCAAAAAGAGAAGACAGAGCCACCATTTTGAACATTCCTAGTCCTAGGTCATATATTCCTATGGGCACAACTGCTGGCATTCACCCGTGCACGCTTCCAGCTTGCTGCTGTCTGCAGCTCGATTTTACAGGCTGCTCTTTGTTAGAAAGGGAAATGATTTGGGGGCTGCTTTTTTTTTTTTCTTAAGACGGAGTCTTGCTCTGTCACACCCAAGCTGGAGTGCAGTGGTGGGAATCTCAGCTCTCTGCAACCTCTGCCTCCTGGCTTCAAGCGATTCTCCTGCCTCAGCCTCCTGCGTAGCTGGGATTACAGGCGCCTGCTATCACGCCCGGCTAATTTTTTGTATTTTTAGTAGAGACAGGGTTTCACCATGTTGGTCAGGCTGGTCTCAAACTCCTAACCTCAGGTGATCCACCCACCTCGGCTTCCCAAAGTGCTGGTGTGTCCGAAATTGGTGGGTTCTTAGTCTCGCTGACTTCAATAATGAAACCACGGACCCTCGCGGTGAGTGTTACAGTTCTTAAAGATGGTGTGTCCGGAGTTTGTTCCTTCTGATGTTCGGACGTGTTCAGAGTTTCTTCCTTCTGGTGGGTTTGTGGTCTCACTGGTTTCAGGAGTGAAGCTGCAGATCTTCACGGTGAGTGATACAGCTCATAAAGGCAGCAGCAAGATTTATTGCAAAGAGCGAAAGAACAAAGCTTCCGCAACGCGGAAGGGGACCTGAGTGGGTTGCCACTACTGGCTAGGGCAGCCTGCTTTTATTCCCTTATCTGGCCCCACCCACATCCTGCTGATTGGTCCATTTTACAGAGAGCTGATTGGTCTGTTTTGACAGGGTGCTGATTGGTGCATTTACAATCCTTTAGCTAGACGCAAAAGTTCTCCAAGTCCCCACTAGATTAGCTGGGCACAGAGCACTGATTGGTGCGTTTACAAACCTTGGGCTAGACACAGGGTGCTGATTGGTGCGTTTACAATCCTCCAGCTAGACATAAAAGTTCTCCAAGTCCCCACCAGATTAGCTAGATACAGAGTGCTGATTGGTGCATCCGCGAACCCCGAGCTAGACGCAGAGTGCTGATTGGTGCATATAGAATCCTCTGGCTAAACATAAAAGTTCTCCAAGTCCCCACCTGACTCAGGAGCCCAGCTGGCTTCGCCTAGTGGATCCCGTGCCAGGGCCATGGGCTGAGCTGCCCGCCAGTCCCGCACCAGGCGCCTGCACTCCTCAGCCCTTGG
The DNA here is from genome assembly GCF_000001405.40 of Homo sapiens. NCBI lineage: Eukaryota > Metazoa > Chordata > Mammalia > Primates > Hominidae > Homo > Homo sapiens. Next base: position 80,310,007 of record NC_000005.10, read on the forward strand.
GCGGTAGATAGGACCGGGTACCGCAGAGCAGGGCGCGGTGCCCGTTGGGGAGGCTCGGCCGCGTGGGAGCCCACCACGGGAGGCTCAGGCATGGTGGGCTGCAGGTCCCGAGCCCTGCCCCGGGCGGGAGGCCACTGAGGCCTGGCGAGAATTCGAGCGCAGCACGGGTGCGCTGGCAGTGCTGGGGGACCTGGCTCACTCTCTGCAGCTGCTGGCCTGGGTGCTAAGCCCCTCACTGCTGGGGGCTGGCGGTGCTGGCTGGCCGCTCCAAGTGTGGGGCCACTGAGTCCGTGCCCACCCGGAACTCGTGCAGCCCTGGTTCCCACTGGCGCCTCTCCCTCCACACCTCTCTGCAAGCAAAGGGAGCCAACCAGCCCAGAGAGGGGCTCCCACAGTGTGGTGGCGGGCTGAAGGGCTCCTCAAGCACGGCCAGAGTGGGCGCCAAGGCTGAGAAGGCCCTGAGAGTGAGTGAGGGATGCCAGCATGTTGTCACCTCTCACTGGGATTACAGGCATGAGCCACCGTGCCCGGCCCTGGGGCTGCTTTTCATTAAAAGGGAAACCTTACCCAGGATTTCTGTATCCTATCTGCCTAAGTAATTTCTTTTTAAACTCCTATATCAATACAAAAGGGTACATTATGTCAATATGTCTAATTTCTGGTTATGTTAGCTTTGATCATTAAGACAGCTATCTACTGGGTTTATCCACTATGAAGTTACTATCTTTTCGTTTGTATTTAACAAACATCTTGTTAATTACTTTGAGACTATGGGGAGACATTTTGAGACTATGCAAATATCCTGTTTCTCTCTCCTAATTTTAGTACTCATAGGTGGATCTTGCCTGTAACAATTATTACAGTGGTGTTCTAAGGATGGTTTCTGTTTTCCTCATTCCTTTCCTATATATTAATGGGAATTATTTGGTAAAGAAGTGTCTCTTTTCCTGTATTTAGTTATTTACTCATTCAACAACCTATGGTTTCATAGAATTTTTTTTTTTTTTTTTTTTGAGACAGAGTTTCACTCTTGTTGCCAAGGCTGGAGTGCAATGGCACGATCTCGGCTTCCTGCACTCACTGCAACCTCCACCTCCCAGGTTCAAGCGATTCTCCTGCCTCCTCCCCAGTTCATGCGATTCTCCTGCCTCAGCCTCCCAAGTAGCTGGGATTACAGGCATGCGCCACCATGCCTAGCAAATTTTGTATTTTTAGTAAAGACGGGGTTTCTCCATGTTGGTCAGTCTGGTCTTCAACTCCCGACCTCAGGTGATCCGCCACCTCGGTCTCCCAAAATGCTGGGATTACAGGCGTGAGCCACTCACTGCACCTGGCTAGATATTTATTTTATTATTTAGGTTATAATCCAATACAATCATGTATTTTATTGCTCAAATATGTTTGATTAATTTTAATATGATGAAAAGTTTTTGGTATAATGAAAAACATTTGAGTTGGGCATGGTGGTGTATGCCTGTAATCCCAGTGACTCAAGAGGTTGAGGTGGAAGGATGGCTTGAGCCTAAGAGTTTGAGTCTGCAGTGAGCTATGATCACACCACTGCACTCCAGATCCTGACTCCAAAATATACATATATATATATAAATTTTATGTAATTAATAGTTTGTTTGGTTTGTTTTTTTTTTCCAGAGACGGAGTCTCCCTCTGTCGCCCAGGCTGGAGTGGCTCACTGCAAGCTCCGCCTCCTGGGTTCACGCCATTCTCCTGCCGCAGCCTCCTGAGTAGCTGGGACTATAGGCGCCCGCCACCACGCCTGGCTAATTTTTGTATTTTTAGTAGAGACGGGGTTTCATTGTGTTAGCCAGGATGGTCTCGATCTCCTGACCTCGTGATCCACCTGTCTCGGCTTCCCAAAGTCCTGGGATTACAGGCGTGAGCCACCGCACCTGGCCTGTTTAATAGGTTTTTTTTTTAAAACCAAAGAAGAATAACTGATTGGTTGTGACCATTCAAGGGTTAGAGTCTTGATGTTTACAAGGATTCTATGCAAGGTGTAATTTTCATCATCATTATTTGTATGATGTTTTTAGATGTAGTAGTGCATTTGTAGGTAGTCATTCTAAAGGGAAAATGGTCTGAAAATTGAAATTCTACAAAATAACTGAGGAGTACTCTTCAGAAGTGTCATGAAAAATAGGAAAAGATTGAGACCTGTCACTGAGGAAACTAGACATGACTAAATGCAGTGTGGGATCCTAGAACAGAAAAAGAACATTAGAGAGGAAACTGGTGAAACCCCAGTAAAATCTGTAGTTTATTTAGTAGCATCGTGCTGAAGTTAGTTTTGATAATTGTACTATAATTACATAAGAAGTTAAACTTAGGCGATATTGGGTGAAGGATACATGGGAACTCTCTGTACTATTTTTTCAGCTTTTCTCTAAATCTAAAATTTTTCAAAATAAAAGGTTAAAAAATGATTCCCACATAAAAAAGGATTATCTCTGAGTTAATAATATAAGCGATTATTATCAAGGGTAATTATCAGTTGCACAAGTCTTTTTTATTTTATTTTATTTTATTTAGAGACAGAGTTTTGCTCTTGTTGCCCAGGCTGGAGTGCAATGGGGCGATCTCGGCTCACTGCAACCTCTGTCTCCCGGATTCAAGCAATTCTCCTGCCTCAGTCTCCTGAGTAGCTGGGATTACAGGCATGCACCACCATGCCCGGCTAATTTTTGTATTTTTAGCAGAGACAGGGTTTCTCCATGTTGGTCAGGCTGGTCTCAAACTCCTGACCTCAGGTGATCCGCCTGCCTTGGCCTCCCAAAGTGCTGGGATTACAGGCATGAGCCACTGTGCCTGGCCTGGTTACACAAGTCTTATAGGAGAGATATCAGAATCTCCAAGGGGTACAGAGTATCTTTAATTTGGATAGAAAGCAGAGGTTTGTGCTATTATTCTGTTGTAGGCACAATGTGGTAGGCATCTGTTGGTTTTGCCAGACAGACACTCATTCCCCTATTTTCCTTTTGTGTGTGTGTGTGCATGAGATGGAGTCTTATTCTGTTGCCCAGGCTGGAGTGCAGTGGCATGATCTTGGCTCACTGCAACATCCACCTCTCAGGTTCAAGCGATTCTCCTGCCCACAGCCTCCCGAGTAGCTGGGATTACAGGTGCCCACCATCATGCTCGGCTAATTTTTGTATTTTTGTATCTTTTTTGCTATTTTTCTTAAATTATACTTTAAGTTCTAGGGTACATGTGCACAACGTGCAGGTTTGTTACATATGTATACATGTGCCATGTTGGTGTGCTGCATCCATTAACTCATCATTTACATTAGGTATATCTCCTAATGCTATCCCTCCCCCCTTCCCCCACCCCATGAGAGGCCCCAGTGTGTGATGTCCCCCTTCCTGTGTCCAAGTGTTCTCATTGTTCAATTCCCACCTATGAGTGAGAACATGCGGTGTTTGGTTTTTTGTCTCTGTGATAGTTTGCTGAGAATGATGGTTTCCAGCTTCATCCATGTCCCTACAAAGGACATGAACTTTTTTATGTCATCATTTTTTATGGCTGCATAGTATTCCATGGTGTATATGTTCCACATTTCTTAATCCAGTCTATCATTGATGGACATTTGGGTTGGTTCCAAGTCTTTGCTATTGTGAATAGTGCCGCAATAAACATACGTGTGCATGTGTCTTTATAGCAGCATGATTTATAATCCTTTGGGTATATACCCAGTAATGGGATGGCTGGGTCAAATGGTATGTCTAGTTCTAGATCCTTGAGGAATCGCCACACTGTTTTCCACAATGGTTGAACTAGTTTACAGTCCCACCAACAGTGTAAAAGTGTTCCTATTTCTCCACATCCTCTCCAGCACCTGTTGTTTCCTGACTTTTTAATGATCGCCATTCTAACTGGTGTGAGAGGGTATCTCATTGTGGTTTTGATTTGCATTTCTCTGATGACCAGTTATGATGAGCATTTTTTCATGTGTCTGTTGACTACATAAATGTCTTCTTTTGAGAAGTGTCTGTTCATATCCTTCGCCCACTTTCTGATGGGGTTGTTTTTTTTTTGTAAATTTGTTCGAGTTCTTTGTAGATTCTGGATATTAGTCCTTTGTCAGATGAGTAGATTGCAAAAAATGTCTCCCATTCTGTAGGTTGCCTGTTCACTCTGATGTTAGTTTCTTTTGCTGTGCAGAAGCTCTTTAGTTTAATTAGATCCCATTTGTCAATTTTGGCTTTTGTTGCCATTGCTTTTGGTGTTTTAGACATGAAGTCCTTGCCCATGCCCATGTCCTGAATGGTAATGCCTAGGTTTTCTTCTAGGGTTTTTATGGTTTTAGGTCTAACATTTAAGTCTTTAATCCATCGTCAATTAATTTTCGTATATGGTGTAAGGAAGGGATCCAGTTTCAGCTTTCTACATATAGCTAGCCAGTTTTCCCAGCACCATTTGTTAAATAGGGAATCCTTTCCCCATTTCTTGTTTTTGTCAGGTTTGTCAAAGATCAGATGGTTGTAGATGTGTGGTATTATTTCTGAGGGCTCTGTTCTGTTCCATTGGTCTATATCTCTGTTTTGGTACCAGTACCATGCTGTTTTAAACCAGGAAGAAGTTGAATCCCTGAATAGGCCAATAACAGGCTCTGAAATTGAGGCAATAATTAATAGCCTACCAACCAAAAAAAGTCCAGGACCAGATGGATTCACAGCCGAATTCTACCAGAGGTACAAGGAGGAGCTGGTACCATTCCTTCTGAAACTATTCCAATCAATAGAAAAAGAGGGAATCCTCCCTAACTCATTTTATGAGGACAGCATCATCCTGATACCAAAGCCTGGCAGAGACACAACAAAAAAAGAGAATTTTAGACCAATATCGCTGATGAACATCGATGCAAAAATCCTCAATAAAATCCTGGGAAACCGAATCCAGCAGCACATCAAAAAGCTTATCCACCATGATCAAGTGGGCTTCATCCCTGGGATACAAGGCTGGTTCAACATATGCAAATCAATAAAAATTAATGTTTGTATTTTTAATAGACACAGCATTTCCCCATGTTGGCCAGGCTGGTCTTGAACTCCTGACCTCAGTTGATCTGTGGCCTCAGCCTCCCCAAATGCTGGGATTACAGGTGTGAACCAACATGCCCGACCACATTCCCCTGTTTTCTAATAACTGCCCCCCATCATGCCACTTCATCCCTGGTCCAGTTCTTGGGCTGACCCACCCCAAAACTCCATGAGAACATGACCCACCAGGGCCAATCAGTGCCTTCCTTGGCACTTTTGCTATAACTATAGTGAAAGATAAATTTGTTTTCCTCTGGGATTGTTCAATTTCTAGGATATAAACCTGGAGCTACCTGATACCACCATGTAGAGAAAGAATCCTAAGAATGAAGGCACAGAGAGAGACAACTCAGAAATGGTGAGGTCCAGCCCTAATTGTATAACCTCAGCCCCTGAAACTAGGTATGTCAGAAACCATAGGTTTCTTGTTTAACTTAACCATGTTAAGCATGAGTCATTGATACTCTCAACCTTCCACCCTTTCTGCCTCAGTTTATTTGGCTTAAGCCAGTTGGAGTTTAGTCTCTGTCACTTGGTACCAAAAGAGTCATGAATGAGCTCTTCCTTTCTCCACCATCGTGGTGTGTGCTTGACTCCGCTTCTCACCATGTCTTCTCACAAGACTTTCAGGATTAAGTGATTCCTGGCTAAGAAACAAAAGCAAAATCGTCCCATTCCCCGGTGGATTCGGATGAAAACTGGTAATAAAATCACGTACAACTCCAAAAGGAGACACTGGAGAAGAACCAAGCTGGGTCTATAAGGAATTGCACATGAGACGGCACACATATTTATGCTGTCTGAAGTTCACAATCACATTACCATATCAAGCTGAAAATGTCACCACTATCTGGAGAGTTGGACGTTTTATTGGGAATATATTTTTTCTCTCTGAATCTGTTATGAACTTGTTGGTTGGCTGGGTTGAGTAATAAATATGTGAGACCTTTCATTTAAAAAAGAATAATGAATGAAACATTCTATATTTTATTCTTTTAATTAATTTATTTTTGAGACAGGGTTTCACTCCTGTCTCTGAGGCTGCAGTGTAATGGTGTGATCTCGGCTCACTGAGGTCTCTACTTCCTGGGTTCAAGTGACCCTCCCACATCAGCCTCTCGAGTAGCTGGGGCTACAAGCACACACCACCACACCCAGCTAATTTTTTGTATTTTTAGTAGAGAAGGAGTTTCACCAAGCTGTGCAGCCTGGTCTCGAACTTCTGAGCTCAAGTGATGAGCCTGCCTTGGCCTCCCAAAGTGCTGGGATTACAGTCGTGAGCCACTGTGCCCAGACTACATTCTACATTTTGATACTCACTTTGAAATTCAAATGTATTAAAGGAGAACATTGATTTTATATTTTTGTAAAGGCAATCTTGTTTTTTCTTTTTTTGAGACGGAGTCTCGCTCAGTCGCCCAGGCTGGAGTGCAGTGGCACGATCTCGGCTCACTGCAAGCTCCGCCTCCTGGGTTCACGCCATTCTCCTGCCTCAGCCTCCCGAGTAGCTGAAGGCAATCTTGTTTTAAAGAGAGAAAAATTTGGGCCAGACACAGTGGCTCATGCCTGTAATCCCAACACTTTGAGAGGCTGAGGCAGGAGGACTAGATGAGCCGAGGAGTTTGAGACCAGCCAGGGCAACATAGTGAGATCCCCATCTCTACAAAACAAACCAGAACTAGCTAGGCGTGGTGGTGCATGCCTGTAGTCCCAGCTACTCAGGAGGCTGAGGCAGGAGGATTGCTTGAGCCTTGGAGTCTGAGGCTGTAGGTGAGCCGTGATTGCCCCACTGCACTCCAGCCTGGGCTACAGAGCAAGACACTGCCCCCACCCCAGAAACAGAAAATGAAAGAAAAATTTGACACAAATTGTCACCTTAACAATTTTAGAAACAGTTTTTTGCAGTTTTTTTTTTCTTTTCTTCTTCTTCTTCTTCTTTTTTTTTTTGACAGGGTCTCATTCTGTCACCCGGGCTGGAGTGCAGTGGCATGCTTACGGCTTACTGCAGCCTCAACCTTCCGGGCTCACACCATCCTCCCACCTCAGCCTCCCAGGTAGCTGGGACTATAAACACGCGCCACCATGCCTGGCTAATTTTTGTATTTTTAGTAGAGACGGGGGTTTCACCATGTTTCCCAGGCTGGTCTTGAACTCCTGGGCTCAAGTGATCCTCCCAGCTCAGCCTCCCAGAGTGGCATGAGCCACGATGCCCAGCCAATTTTTTCTTTCTTGAGTCATTAAGCTATGTGAAACTTAGTGGATAGAAATTGTAAAACAGTCCAAATGTGTTTAACCTCCATGGTTATCCACTGGGGAATATGGGTCAATAGAGACAAGAGGACCACTCTTGTTTCTCAAAATCTATTTACCTTTCAGTTCCTAACGTAAACACATTCCAACAAAATTAACAACTGTTAATTGGAATTCATTCTAGTTGTAGGGGAAAGGAAATATTTAAATCCTTTTCAGATTTTGTTTTTGTTTTTGTTTTTTTCTTTCTTTCTTTTTTTTTTTTTTGAGATGGAGTTTCACTCTTGTTGCCCACACTGGAGTGCAGTGGTGCAATCTTGGCTCACTGCAACCTCCACCTCCTGGGTTCAAGCGATTCTCCTTCTTCAGCCTCCCGAGTAGCTGGGATTACAGGTGCATGCCACATGCCCGGCTAATTTTTTTTTTTTTAAGTAGAGACGGGGCTTCACCCTGTTGGCCAGGCTGGTCTCGAATTCTTGATCTCAGGTGATCCGCCCACCTCAGCCTCCCAAAGTGTTAGGATTACAGATGTGAGCCACCATGCCTGGCTCTTTTCAGATTAAAGAAAAAAATTATCTTCGTATCTTGACCATGCTACCTTCAAACCAGTTTTCATAAAAAAAAAAATCAAGACAAGAGCAATATTAGATTTATGTCTGACAGCATTAAAAAGCTGCAAGCACAAGAGGATGGAGAATACATTTTCTTTTTAATATCTAGGGAACATACATGAACACTGATAATCTATTAGGCCAGAAAGAAAATATCAATTTCAAAAGGTAGAAACATTACAGACATTTTCTGAATATAGTATGATAAAGCTAGAAATTAATTATCAAAAATTCCCCTGTGCTGGAGATTAAGAAATTGTCTTAAATGATGCTTGAGTCAAAGGGGGAAATAAGAACCAATGCTGAACTTCTAAGATGGAATTAAAGCATAAGGACAGTTGCTAGCATCTATGCTGTCATTGTGTGAATTAGAAAAGGAGTTCCTTTTTCAAGTAAAAGCAGAGACCAACCCTGCTGTATCTGTGAGTAGTCAGTGACGATGGCCTGGAGCCCAGCTGGCTGAAAGATGAGCATGAGGCTCTGGGGAATTAGAGCCAAAATGAGTTGGTAACTGGAGAAGAAAGAAAACATATAAATTTCTCTTCTCTAGGGGAAAAAAAACCTGAGTATGAGTTTTCCCTTAAGACTGGAAGCAAATTTCTATTAAAGTGCTTGCTAGCAAGATTTTGAAGGCCAGGAAAAAGTCATACACAAGAAATGTTTCTTTGATTGAGTTCTATATTCACAAGACCTGACTCCTAAGAACAAAAAGACAAGAAAGCAGCTTATTAAAATGCAAGAAGTTTAATAAACTTGTTACTTTCTATAACCCACTAGAGAATTTACCTGTTTCAAATGCTTTTTATTTTTTAATTTTTAATTTCTTTTTTTGAGGCAGTGTCTTGTTCTGTCACCCAGGCTGGAGTGCACTGGCACGATCTCAGCTCACTGCAACCTCCTCCTCCTGGGTTCAAGCAAGTCTCATGCCTCAGCCTTCTGAGTAGCTGGGATTACAGGTGTGTGCTGCCATGCCCAGCTAATTTTTGCATTTTTAGTAGAGATGGGGTTTTGTCATGTTGCCCAGGCTGATCCTGAACTCCTGGCCTCAAGTGATCTGCCCGCCTTAGCCTCCCAAAGTGCTGGGATTACAGGCATGAGCCACTGCACCTGGCCAATTTTTTAATTTTTTGTGATAGATCTTGCTGTGTTGCCCAAACTGGAGTGCACTAAGTAGCACAGTCATGGCTCACTGCAGCCTCAACCTCCCAGGCTCAAGTGATCCTCTCGCCTCAGCCTCCCAAGTAGCTGGGACCACAGGCACACACTACCATGCCCTTCTAATCAAACACTTTAGAAATATAACTATGTCATTTTAACAAGTTACTGTGTAGAGTGTGGAAATCTTAGGGGATCAATAAAAGAGCCAAAAAAAAAATCCCCAAATAAGTTACTGTGAAAAGTAATAGTCAAAGTTTTCTATCACCTGATGTAAATGATTTGTGAGTAAGCTTGCCAAGCCTGTCTTAAAGGATGCCTATATTCAAAGCCAAGAAAAGTCCCAGTTTGTAATTGTGTTGCTATTATAACCATTCAGATAGTCCCTTCTTGGAGCAGTAGAATATTTTTGAATGGAGGGACTCCTGACATTACTTTCCTAAAATCACAAAAGGCTGTCACTCTCAGGGTTTTGTTTTGTGTGGATAACTTTCTCTTACAGTCACATCTCTCCTAGAATGGGAGCAATAGAGCCTCTAGGTGCTATGAAAGGATGGGGACCTCACCAGAGAGGACTGGTCTCAGCAATGTCCTTAAGTGGTCAAAACATGCTGCGGTTGAGGTCAGGATTGTGAGGGGATAGAGGTGACGTAGAGAAGTAACTGAGTGCATTTAGACTGAGATGAATAGCAACCTAGAAATTAAGGAGGGGAAGAGCTATTGTAGAGCTCTTTCTGGCATGAGGAGTAGGGATAGCTCAAGGTTGGTTTTGATGCAGGAGTCACTGGGCAGGAATTTAAGAGGCTTCCATTGTGACACAAAGGAGACAGACACTATGGATAGGCCACAATGGTGCAGTGACAAAATAAAGACCTGGTTGCTAGGGCCAGAGAATAAACACCGGGTGCCTAGAGGAGAAGAGATGGAGCCCCAGCCTTGGTCCCCTTTCCCACCCTTCCTCCCCACAAGGCTGTCTGAGATGCCACCTTCCACCTAAACATCATCTCCCAAATTTTAATCCTTAACTTTGGTCTCTGACTTCTGCTTGATTCCACAGTCTCCACCCACATTTGCACAAAGGACCATCACCTGTCCTTCCTGGAATCTCTAAAGTTTTCTGCTTTCCTTCTGTCCTGATGGCCAGCTCTGCTAAGTCAGCTGAGATGCCCACCATCTCCAAAACCGTTAACCCTACTCCTGATCCTCATCAAGAATATCTGGACCCTAGGATTACCATTGCCTTATTCGAAATTGGATCACATTCCCCTTCCTCCTGGGGCTCTCTCCCTTTCCTAAAGAATAGCAGCCATCAAGTTACAGAACAACAGACTGCACAGAAGTTTAACAATCTCTTAAAAGAAATTAAAGATATTCTTAAAAATATGGCAGGTTTTGAAGAGAAGATCACAGAAGCAAAAGAACTTTTTGAGGAAACCAATATTACTGAGGATGTGTCAGCCCACAAAGAAAATATCAGAGGACTTGACAAAATCAATGAAATGTTATCAACAAACCTGCCTGTTAGTTTAGCCCCAGAGAAAGAAGACAATGAAAAGAAACAGGAGATGATATTGGAAACCAATATTACTGAGGATGTGTCAGCCCACAAAGAAAATATCAGAGGACTTGACAAAATCAATGAAATGTTATCAACAAACCTGCCTGTTAGTTTAGCCCCAGAGAAAGAAGACAATGAAAAGAAACAGCAGATGATAATGGAAAACCAGAACTCTGAGAACACCGCACAAGTTTTTGCAAGAGATTTGGTAAATCGTTTAGAAGAAAAAAAAGTCCTTAACGAAACTCAACAAAGTCAGGAAAAAGCAAAAAACAGACTTAATGTTCAAGAAGAAACTATGAAAATTAGGAACAACATGGAGCAGTTACTACAGGAAGCAGAACACTGGAGTAAACAACATACTGAGCTCAGTAAACTGATAAAATCCTATCAGAAATCTCAGAAAGACATAAGTGAAACTCTTGGAAATAATGGAGTCGGTTTCCAAACCCAGCCAAATAATGAAGTGTCGGCTAAGCATGAGCTGGAGGAACAGGTGAAGAAACTGAGCCATGACACCTATTCATTGCAGTTGATGGCAGCTTTGCTAGAGAATGAATGCCAAATCTTACAGCAGAGAGTAGAGATTCTCAAGGAACTCCATCATCAGAAACAGGGAACTCTGCAAGAGAAGCCAATTCAGATAAACTATAAACAGGACAAGAAAAATCAGAAGCCATCAGAAGCAAAGAAAGTAGAAATGTATAAGCAGAACAAGCAAGCAATGAAGGGTACATTTTGGAAAAAAGACAGATCCTGTAGAAGCCTGGATGTTTGTCTTAATAAGAAAGCTTGCAATACCCAGTTCAATATTCATGTTGCAAGAAAAGCTCTTAGGGGAAAAATGAGGTCAGCTAGCAGCCTAAGATAGAAAATACCAAAAGCAGATGAAAAGGTGAATCCTTAAAAAACTACATCTGTTACCTCCAACTTGTCAGTCATGATCAATCATCAAACCTTGGGCAGATCTGCTGGTTCAACCAAGAAAGAGCTATAGAATAAGGAGATTGACACTTATATTACTCATTACTTCAGCAGTTATGTAAGTCTGGTCTTTAATGACCATTGTGTCTACATCAAGTTCATAACTTTTCACCTTTACAATCTGCTTGTTTTTTTTGTAATTATTAGATAGACAGCCTAGAGTGAGAAGTTAAAGGTCCAATTAAGTAAAGATCTAAATAAAAACCAGAATACAAGGGAAATTTTTTTTTTCTTTATTTAATCATTGCCTGGGGGCAGGGGGAGTTCTGGGGGGAAAAAGTATATAGTGTTTTTGGCCAGGTGCAGTGGCATTTTGGGAGGCCAAGGTGGGAGGATCGCTCGAGGCCAGGAGTTTGAGACAAACCTGAGCAACACAGCAAGATCCCATCTCTAAAAAAAAAATTAAGTGAAAAAAAAGTACATAATGCTTTAGTTGTGACCTTTTAAAGCTCCCTTTCTAAATGTATGTTTCCTTTTCCTATTATACACTGAAGTGTGGGATGTGGGGGAATTTAAAAAATGCTGATAATCCAACCCTAACAAATCATTTTTCTCTTATAAATCTGCACTGGCTCTACTTTTCCTAAGGTGCCTCCCTTGCTCCTCTGCTAGTGAACTGTGGGCATACGGGGCAGCAGAGGCCCTTGGGAAGGACCCCCTCAACTTGTTTGGAAGAATAGAGACATATCTGAATTTTATTTTATTTTATTTTATATTTTATTTTATTATTTATTTATTTTATTTTATTTTTGTATTGTATTGTATTGTATTGTGTTATATATTTTTGAGGTGGAGTTTTGCTCTTGTTGCCCAGGCTGGAGTGCAATGGCACGATCTCAGCTCACTGCAACCTTCACCTCCCAGGTTCAGGCGATTCTCTTGCCTCAGCCTCCTGAGTTGCAGGATTACAGGTGCCCACACCACACCCGGCTAATTTTTCTTATTGTTTAGTAGAGATGGGGTTTCACCATGTTGGCCAGGCTGATCTCAAACTCGTGACCTCAGGTGATCCACCTGCCTTGGTCTCCCAAGGTGCTGGGATTATAGGCGTGAACCACCGTGCCGGCCTAGATTTTATTTTTGCTGGAAAAGTTTCTCCCATTCCTCCAGATATAGACGGTAGTGTTACCCAGGGGGAAAAAACAGTATCTTCTGTTAAGGGAGCTGGATTTCTGGTTCCAGAAAAGATGGAGCTGATAAATTTTCCCCTATTCTTCTCTTTAAGTAAGCTGAAACCCCTGGACATTATATATAAAGCAAATATAAGAAGATTCTGAAAGATGGAGAGAAGGAGGTAGAATGGTTAGGGACCCTGAAACTTAAGGAACAACATGGTGCTTAGTTCTCTGGGTTTTCTTTTTGCCTCTTATATATTCTGAGCTAGGTGCTGGAGAAGTCCACAACCTAAAAATGTCAATGCATGTAGACAAAAAAATTCCCCCATAAAGCCTGCTTTCTTTTGTCAACAGATGAGGAAAGGAACAGTCTGGTGAGACAGAAACCTTTTTGACAAAACTGCCCTAATCCAGCCAAATTGTATAGAAACATATTTCTACCCCCATCCCTGTTGGCAGATACTGAGTAGAGAGCCTAGACATTCATCCTTGCCTGGCAGTCATGAGGCACACCTCCCCTACTCTACTGGGATGGTGCAGAGGAGGTAAGAGTAGGGATCCTAAAGTTCTATCCTCCACCTGATGGTAACAGTGCTCTTCCCTGGCCTCCCCCAACCCCTCCAGTAGAGTGGAGTCCACGTAAGTAGCCTAGATTTCTACTCCTTTTCCCTGCTGGCATCATCAGCAGGGCCCTACTAAAAAAGAAGACTTAAGATCCAGGGTCTCCTAACAATCCCTAAAATGTCCAGAATACAATAGAAAAATCACTCATTATATTGAGAGCCAGAAAAATCTCAACTTGAATGAGAAAAGACAATTAACAGATACCAACAATGGGACAACACAGACAATAGAGTTATCTGACAAGGATTTTAAAGCAGTCATTATAAAAATGCTTCAGGCCAGGCGCGGTGGCTCACGCCTGTAATGCTAGCACTTTGGGAGCCCGAGGCGGGTGGATCACCTGAGGTCGGGAGTTTGAGACCAGCCTGACCAACATGGAGAACCCCCGTCTCTACTAAAAATACAAAATTAGCTGGGTGTCATGGCACATGCCTGTAATCCCAGTTACTCGGGAGACTGAGGCAGGAGAATTGCTTGAACCCAGGAGGCAGAGGTTGCAGTGAGCCAAGATCATGCCATTGCACTCCAGCCTGGCCAACAAGAGTGAAACTCCATCTCAAAAAAAAAAAAAAAAATGTGTCCATGAACAGTTACAAACATGAAACAAATGAAAAAATAGAAAGTATCAGCAAATAAATATAAAAGAGACATAAGTGGAAATTATGGAACTGAAAAATATAAATGATATAACCTCACCGAATGTGCTCAATAACAAAATATAGATGTCAAAGAAAAGATTCTATGAACTTGAAGATAGAACCACAGAGATGACCCAGAGAAAGTTGACAGAGAGACTGGGTGCAGTGGCTCACACCTGTAATCCCAGCACTTTGGGAGGCCGAGGCAGGTGGATCACTTGAGGTCAGGAGTTTGAGACCAGCCTGGGCAATATAGTGAGACCCCCATCTCTACAAAAATTAGCCAGGCATAGTGGGGCACACCTGTAGTCTCAGCTACTCAGGAGACTAAGGTGGGAGGATTGCTTGAACCCAGGAGTTTGAGACCAGCCTGGGCAACATAGGGAGACCCCATCTCTACAAAAACTACAAAAATTAGCCAGGCATGACAGCACACGCTTGTAGTGTCAGCTACTTGGGAGGCTGAGATAGAAAGATTGCTTGAGCCTGGGAGGTTGAGGCTGCAATGAGCCATGATCATGCCACTGCACTCCAGCCTAGGGGACCGAGTGAGCCCTGTCTCAATCAATCAGTCAATCAATCAAAAAGTTGGAGTGAGAACCCAGGATCCTCTCCATCTTGCCTTCCAGGGGTAAAGGGTTTTTTTTTTTTCCTCTTTTGTTTTTTTGAGATGGAGTTTCGCTCTTGTTGCCCAGGCTGGAGTGCAATGGCACAATCTTGGCTCATCGCAACCTCTTCCTCCCAGGTTCAAGTGATTCTCCTGCCTCAGCCTCCCAAGTAGCTGGGATTACAGGTGCCCACCACCATGCCCAACTAATTTTGTATTTTTAGTAGAGACGGGGTTTCTCCATGTTGGTCAGGCTGGTCTTGAACTCCTGACCTCAGGTGATCCGCCCGCCTTGGCCTCCCAAAATGCTAGGATTACAGGTGTGAGCCACCGTGCCCCTCCTTTTTTCTCTCTTCTTTTAGAAGGGGAGGAGGACAGCTGTCTTTCTCTTTTATATAAATGCTCAGTTTCATTTTCTCAGAATTCCTCACTTACAGTACAGACCTCATTACATAGAGGATGACATCTGGTTCTTATTGCATCCCCCCAGGGATAAGAACTAGGACAAGGGAATCCAGCACAGTAATTATCATAATAATCTGTCTCTGGTGCAAAAACTTCATGTATGCATTCAGGGCAACATAAAGATGAATATTAACAACCCAGCAAAGACAATCACAATCTCCACCACAGGTTCTATTATACATGTAGCAGGGGGCACAAGAGATTTTCATATGTTGGAAGTACCAAAATGACAACCTGAAATACTGCTCCCTACTCCTAAACCAACATTGCTTTCTATGTTTGGAATATGTATCACTTTATTCAAAAGCTAAAAGCCAACACTTTCTTGTTACAGCCCTTAGTGAAATAAAAAGAGATTGCCACACTTAAATAATATTGGGGGTCCTTAAAAAAATTACACACTTCTTTCCACCTGTCTTTCCTTCAAATGGAGATACCCTCCACACTATTCTCCAAGCACCTTGATTAATAAAGAATTGTGTAGTTCACTTGGCCAGGCACGGTGGCTCATGCCTGTAATCTCAGCACTTTGGGAGGCCAAGGCAGGTGGATCACCCGAGGGCAGGAGTTCAAGACCAGCCTGGCCAACATGGCAAAACCCCGTCTGTACTGAAAATACAAAAATTAGCTGGGTGTGGTGGTATGCACCTATAGATCCAGCTACTTGGGAGGCTGAGGCAGGAGAATCGCTTGAACCTGGGAGGCAGAAGTTGCAGTGAGCCGAGATCGCGCCACTGCCCTCCAGCCTGGAAGACAGAGTGAGACTCCATTTCAAAAAAAAAAAAATAGAAAGAAATCTTTCCTTATATCATGAATAAAAGCCTTCCAAAGTCCTTTTAATTTCTTGTCTTTCGCATTTATTTCTTTAATTTATCTTGAATTGATCCAGAAAAAATTCATCATAGTATTTAGGTTGATTGTCTATAAGTTGTACAATGGGTGTTTTCAAGTCCTTTTTGCTTGTCTATGCTTTGAGCCCTTTCTAACCTTTCCAATAAGAAAGTATGAGGCACTTTATATATATATAAAGTAAGGGTGAAATAATGGAAGAAGCATTTCACAAACAGGGAGATAATCTAAGTCTCAACTTGTTTCAGTCTGAGTTGCTTCATTTAAAAGGTGGTGACAATAATTTTCTTTTGGACCATGGACAAATGGTTCAAAGATTCTCTGGCTCCCTCAGCTGAGGTCTTATTGCTCTCTGGGAAGTAGGAATAGATTAAATGGGAGAATTAGAAACTAATCAGAAGCAAGCCTGGCTAAAAAGGAAGGGAACAATAGCAAAAACCCCAGGCACACAGGATATCTGGAAGTTGGGGTCATTGGTATGTTGCAAGTAAAAAGAAAGATAAGTATTACATTAAAAAGACAGCTATCCTAGATTAGTGTGAGGCAGAGGAGTGGATTTATCATCATTATCACATCAATATTATTATTTTTATAAAGTTATTCTACAAACTTGATTGATATAGAAAATCATTTAAATTTTTCTTACCTTAATAAAGGCCTCAGGCAGATCATCATTGGAGTGTCACAGCCAGTTGAGTGTTTTTCTTTTCTAGCAATCACACAGTCTTCCAGCGGAAACCACTGACCACTAATCCATATTTAATTAAATTTTCTCTCACAGGGAAGCATACATTGCTTTGGTTTGCACTGGTCTGTTAGGAAGCCTCAGTTTATGAGGAATTAGATACTGATATGTACATTTTGCTTTGATTTTAAATATTAAATGGTTTTTCTTATTTAAAAGAAAGTACTGTTCAATGGTCCTCAGATTTTTCTAGGGAAAGACCTTATTTTGTTTATTTGTCTCTTCTCCCTTTTTCTTGATGTATCCTATTAATCTTTAACAAAACCCAGATTTTGGCTTCGTTAATCTTCATTATTTTTAGTATTTCATTTCAATGATTTCTGGCGCCTTCTTGATTTTCCTTTTTTAAAGTTGTTTTGTTGCATTTTTTCAATTTATTTTTCTTTTATTTTGGTAAAACAATATACAACATTAAATTTACCATCTTAACTATTTAAACAATTTTTTTTATTTTTAAAATTTTTGTTTTATTTTTATTTTGAGATGAGGTCTTGCTGTGTTGGCCCAGGCTGGTCTTGAACTCCTGGATTCAAAGTATTCTCCCACCTCAGCCTCCTAAGTAGCTAGGATTAAAGGTATGTGCCACTGTGCCTAACTCATCTTAACCATTTTTAAGTATACAGTTCAGTAGTGTTAAGTATATTCATTTTCATATTATTGTGCAACGGATCTCTATAACTTTTTTTATCTTGTAAAACTCACACTCTATGCCCATTAAACACTAATTCTTCCTCTTTCCTTTCTACTTTCTGTTTCTATAATTTTGACTATTTTAGATAATTAATATGAATGGAATCATACAGTATTTGCCTTTTTGTGACTAGATTATTTCACTTAGCATAATGTCCTCCAGGTTCATCCACATTATTGCATATTGCAGGATTTCCTTCTATTTGAGACTCCTTAATATTCCATTGCATGTATATACCACATTTTCTTTATTTGTTCAAACACTGATGGACATTTGGTTTGCTTCTGCCTCTTGGCTATTGTGAATAATACTATAATGAACATGGGTATGCAAATATCTCTTCAAAGTCCAGCTTTGAATTATCCTGGTATCTACTCAGAAGTGAGATTGTTGGATCCTATGGTAATTCTATTTTTAATTTTTTTAAGAATCTCTATATTGTTTTCCATAATGGTTGCACCATTTTATATTCCCATCAGCAGTGCAATTTCTCCACATTCTTGCCAACATTTATTATTTTCTTTTTTTTTTTTCTTAAGAGACAGGGTCTTGCACTGTTGCCCAGGGTGCAGTGGCGCAACTGTAGTTCCCTGTAGTCTTCAACTCCTAGGCTCAAGCAGTCCTCCCACCTCAGCCTCCCAAAGTGCTGGGATTATAGGTGTGAGCCACTGTGCCTAGCCTTCCGTTCTTTTGATAGTAGCCATCCTAATGGGTGTAAGATGACAAGTCACTGTGGTTTTAGTGTGCATTTCTCTTACGATAATTGATGTTGAGCATCTTTTAATATGCTTGTTGATTTTTAAAACATCTTCTTTGTAGAATTGTGTATTTAAGTCCTTTGCTCATTTTGAATCAGGTTATTTCTTGTTGGTAGTATTGAGTTATAGGACTTCCTTATATACTCTGGATATTAACCCCTTATCCGATATATGACTTGCGAATATTTTTCCTCATTCCATAGGTTTCCTTGTTACTCTATTAGTTGCTTCTTTTGATACACAGAAGTTTTTCAGTTTGGTATAGTCCCATTTGTCCGTGTTCACTTTTCTTCCCTGTGCTTTGGTGTCACATTCAAGAAATCATTGTCAAATCCAATATCCTGAAGCTTTCCTGCTATATTGTCTTCTAGGAGTTTTGTGTTTTAGGTCTTACATTTAGATCTTTAATCCACTTTGACTTAATTTTTGTATATAATGTAAGAGTCCAACTTCATTCTTTTGCATATAGACCTCCGGTTTTCCCAACACCATTTATTGAAGAGAGTGCATTTTCCCCACTGCGTAGCCCTGGCACCCTTGTAAGGAATGGCTAAATTGGAATTTTTATTTAGTTGTTTATCTTTTGGGGGGATATAGTTATGAAAAGTAATCTAATTAAATAAGTAATGTAATTTTAAAGAATAAAATGAATAAACCAAATTTACACGTACCGGTGTGGAGAGATGTTTTGACATCTTTTGTCAGAACTTTGGACCGATATCAATTATGATACCTAATTAATCAAAGGAAAATTCTTAGAAATTTGAAAACTTTAGATGAAGAACTTTCATAAAACTAACCACCTAGTTTTACATACCTTAAATGAATATTATAGTTACAAAATTATTTTTACAACAGTAGTATTTAGCATTTCATGTTGTCTTTCTTATTATATATTTTCATTAAGAGTAAAATACCCAATATTTTAATATATTTTTATTTTTTTAAATTTTATTTATTTGTTTTTCTGAGATGGAGTCTTGCTCTGTCACCCAGACTGGAGTGCAGCAGCGTGATCTTGCCTCACTACAACCTCCGCCTCCCAGGTTCAAGTGATTCTCCCACCTCAGCCTCCCAGGTAGCTGGGACTACAAGTGCCCGCCACCACACCTGGCTAATCTTTGTATTTTTAGTAGAGACGGGGTTTCACCATGTTGTCCAGGCTGGTCTCGAACTCCTGGTTCGAGGTGATCCACCCACCTCAGCCTCCCAAAGTGCTGGGATTACAAGCGTGAGCCACCATGCCTGACCTTAACATATTTATTTTTAAAGTTAGGTGCTTTTTTTTTTTTTTTTTTTTAAGGGAGACTCCTCCAAAAAAAAAAAAAAAGAGAGAGAATGGCAATTTTAATCAGTCACTGTATTCTAAAAATATTGGTATCATTTATAGTCAGATTTAGATTTTCCAATAGTGTTTTCTGAACACTGAGTTTATTGATGAAAACTATTTTTAAAAATTATTTATTTATTTATTTATTTATTTTTGAGACCGAGTCTCACTCTGTCACCCAGGCTGAAGTGCAGTAGCGTGATCTTGGCTTACTGCAAGCTCTGCCTCCCGGGTTCACGCCATTCTTCTGCCTCAGCCTCCCGAGTAGCTATTTTTTAAAAGGTTATATTAACACTTCTAACATGTGCATCAAATGTACCTGTAAGCTCCTTTATGATAGGATGTGGGTGTTTTCAAGGGAAGCATTGTAGGTATAGTGGCATCTTCTGTTTACCTAGCACAATTCTTATTTCTGAAAAGCAGCTACTCAAAAATCTGATTTTCTTAGCTAGCTTCCAGTCATTAGTTCTAGTATCTGCCTTGAAATCTTCTGAGTTCATGCATTTGTTATCAGCACATGAGCCTTACCCTGTTATAAGGTAAGTTTTTATACTCTTATTTTATTGCCAAGTGATGTTTGGCTTCTTAAAAGTTTCTACTGGAAAGTGTGTCCTGGAAGCTAAATCTAGTTGTTGGCTCTGGTTAACAAATGAAATACTTGCCAGTAATTTGTAATACTTTTTTCCACTTAATTTCAAAATATTTCAAGTCATTTCTTTGTGTATTTCAGATATTATAAGGATGCATAATCCCCTGTGGTACTTTTTTTTTTGAGACGGAGTCTCGCTCTGTTTCCCAGGCTGGAGTGCAGTGGTGTGATCTCAGTTCACTGCAACCTCCGCCTCCCAGGTTCAAGCGATTCTCCTGCCTCAGCCTCCCGAGTAGCTGGAACTACAGGTGCGCACCACCACACCCAGCTAATTTCTGTATTTTTAGTAGAGACATGGTTTCACCGTGTTGGCCAGGATGGTCTTGATCTCTTTTTTTTTTTTTGTAACAGAGTTTTGCTCTTGTTGCCCAGGCTAGAGTGCAATGGCACCATCTTGGCTCACTGCAACCTCTGCCTCCTGGGTTCAAGCAATTCTCCTGCCTCAGCCTCCCAAGTAGCTGGGATTACAGGCATGCGCCACCACACCTGGCTAATTTTGCATTTTTAGTAAAGGTGGGGTTTCTCCATGTTGGCCAGGCTGGCCTCAAACTCCTGACTTCAGGTGATCCACCTGCCTCAGCCTCCCAAAGTGCTGGGATTACAGGCGTCCACCGGGCAGGTCTTGATCTCTTGACCTCGTGATCTGCCCGCCTCAGCCTCACAAGCTGATACTTGTTGTTTTTAACCAAAGTTTTAATGAAAAAGAAAAGACATTAAATTTTTTTTTAAACAGGAGGGTTTGGGCATGGAGCTGGTTGATCTTAAAAATCCTAACCCAGCTGGGCGTGGTAGCCCACGCCTATAATCCCAGCACTTTGAGAGGCCGAGACAGATGGATCACCTGAGGTCAGGAGTTCGAGACCAGCCTGGCCAACATGGTGAAATCCCCGTCTCTACTAAATATACAAAAAATTAGCTGGGCATGGTGGCAGGCGCCTGTAATCCCAGCTACTTGAGAGGCTGAGGCAGGAGAATCACTAGAACCCGGGAGGCGGAGGTTGCAGTTAGCCAAGATCGCACCATTGCACTCCAGCCTGGGCAACAAGAGCGAAACTCCGTCTCAAAAAAAAAAAAAAAAAATTCCTAACCCATTCATTCCCGTCAAGCTGTCCAAAACTAGTAACTGGAAAGGTCCCGTGATGCTGGTCTCTAAACATCGAACACAAAGACTAGAATAATAGAATTATCTGGTATTTTCCCTTTCCAGAAAATTCCATCTTCAATTGGGGTCTATGGGTTCAACAGCCATATTTATGAACCAAAAGTTAGGACACATAGTCTGGTACAGGGACAATGGATGGTAGGAAAAATAGCCAGGATCTAGCTGTTGAAACTGCAGCCCTCTCGACTCTAATACTCAAGGGATTAAAAGAATCCGGCCCCAGAAGTTTTAGATACAAAAATAGTAACAACCCAATTGAATTTTACTGCATTTAAAAAACATAATTATTTCCAAATCTACTGAGCAACTGAACAGTCTTCAGTGACGCCTACGGTCGCTGGGATTCGAAGACTCTCACTCCCAGGAGCGACGGGCTTTTTTATGCCTATGGGATTTATCTCGGCTCCTACTTCGAGTTCTGTGACTACGCCCTTCGGAACGCCAGTTGTACGGGCTAGAAAGTGTGTCTGAGCTCTGCCCTCTGTCCCTATCCCCGGTTGTTTCTTCTCTTGCCTCCTTCCTGCTTGAGGACTTGTGCTCGTGCTTGGGTTTCTCCTTCTTCAGCTCCCTCTCTAGGTCCTCTGCTCCACCGTAGCAGGCAGTCCTGGCTTCGGGGAGCTTCCGCCTCTCCCTGGGCTGTGACTTCTGAGCTCTCTCCGAGTTCTTGCTGCTGTGCTTCTTAGGGCCAGGGTCATCTTTTTCCTTTACTGTCTTGCTTGTGGGTGACGAAGAGGATGGTTGCTCTGCCTGTACCAACCGATCAGTTTTCTCTTTTTCTTTCTTTCTTTTCTTTTTTTCCTTTTTCTCTTTCTTGTGCTTTTTTATTGGTTTTTCATCTTCAGAGCTCTCAGACGAACTTGATGAGTAGGTATGAGGCCCACAGGAGCCCTTCTGGAGCTCTTTGGTCGCATCATCCATTTCTTCCGAGTTCTTAGGAGCCCGATAGTTAGACACATGATCCACTCGGATAGTTCTTCCTTTGATCTTGATCCCATTAAAATTGTCAACGGCCAGAATTGTGCTCCTCTGGTCTTCATAGCAGAGGAAACAGAATCCTTTGGATTTCCCAGTCTTCTTGTCCCGCACAAGATTAATGTTAACAATCTCCCCATATTGTGAGAATACACAGATGATGTCCCCTTCAGTCAGTTCATAAGGAAGCCCTCCCAGGAAGATCCAGGCGCTGTCCTTGTACTCGGAGTGCCAGGACACCTTATCGGCCACCCCAAGCTGGACCTCTCCCTCATTCAGCTTGTTGATCAGCTTCACCTTAGTTAAAGCATTCATCTCCGCGGGCTCGCGCTCAACGTTCAAGTATCAGTGCCGGGGCGAGGCAGCCCCCGTGTGATACTTCGTGGCGCACGCGCGCGCGCGTGTGTGTGTATGTGTGTGTTTTACCAACCTTATTGAGTTATAATTTACATAAAGTAAAACACATCTATTTAAATGTGTGGTCTTATGTAACCTTCACTACCATAGTTAAGATAGTAAACATTTCCAGGCCGGGCGCGGTGGCTCACGCCTGTAATCCCAGCACTTTGGGAGGCCGAGGCTGGCGGATCACCTGAGGTCAGGAGCTTGAGACCAGCCTGGCCAACATGGTGAAACCCCGTCTCTACTAAAAACACAAAGAATTAGCTGGGCGTGGTGGCGGGCGCCTGTAATCCCAGCTACTCAGGAGGCTGAGACAGGAGAATCACTTGAACCTGGGAGGTGGAGGTTGCAGTAAGCCGAGATCGTGCCACTGCACTCCAGCCCGGGCAGCAAGAATGAAACTCCATCTCAAAAAAAAAAAAAAAAAAAAAAGGATAGTAAACATTTCCTTTACCATAGAAACTTCTCTCATGCCTCTTTTCCACTCCCTGTCCCAGGCAATTACTAATTTGATTTCTATCAATTATAGGTTAAGTTTGCCAGTTACAGAGCTTAATAGAAATGGAATCACATTATATGGACTCTTTTTGGTCTGGGTTTTTTTTCACTCAGCTTAATGTTTTTAGCTTCATCCCTGTTGTTGTGTGTATCAGTAACTCAATGTGTGAATAGACTACAATTTACTCATTTCCCTGCTGATGGACATTTGGGTTCTTTTTAGTTTTGGGCTATATTATGAATTAAGCCACTATGAACATTTAGGTACAAGTCTTTGTGTGGACATTTTTTGTTTGTTTGTTTCTCTTGGATATATATTTAGGAATGTAATTGCTGGGTCACATGGTAAGAAATTGTGAGGCTGTTTTCCAAAATAGTGTACCATTTTACACTCTCACCAGCAATGTATGAGAGTTCCAGTTACCTACATCCTTGTCAATTCTTGGTGTTGTCAATCTGCTACTTTTAGTTAATCTAGTGGATGTGTAAAGATATCTCATTTTGGATTCCATTTTCACTTCTCTAAGGACTAATGATGCTGAACTTTTTTTTTTAAATGAAACTTTTTGGTTGTTTTGTTTTGTTTTGAGACAGGGTGTCGCTATGTTACCCAGGCTAGTCTTGAACTCCTGGAGTCAAGCGAGTCTCCTGCTTCCCACCTCAGCCTCTTAAGTAGCTGGGACTATAGGCATCGCACCAGTGTGCCTAGCATGCTGAATATTTTTGCATATGCTTTTTAGCCTTTTATTTTATTTGTGAAGTGACATTTCAAGCCTTTTGCCCATTTAAAAAATTGGATTATTTTCTTATTGCATTATAACAGCTGTTTGCATTTTAAGTTGGTAGAGTTTTAAGGTACATATTTAAACTGCTAGACTTACATATTTATTCTGCTCTAGGCAAGTGCATAGAAAAACTTCTCTAAAATCGCCATAACATTGAAAATATTACGTGAGATGTCTATCCTTACCCCATCTGACCCCCAAGCTAAAATCTGTTTCCATTTGAGATTGTAAAATCATCACAGCAAATGACCTAATATTTTAAGTTTAATTGATATTTCTTTAGTGAAGGAAAAAAATTTCTTCCTACTGTTTTACAACTAAACATGAAGGATGTGCTATTTTTTTTTAAAAAATTGTCTTTTTCAATTCATCTCATGTTAAAACCAGACATAACCATATTATTCCATTTTAAAACTGTCTAGAACTATAAAATATTTTTATTTGTTTATAAAATGGATGCTTCAATACACAAAGATAAATTATTATTAAGAAATTAATATTATTGGCCTTGCGTGGTGGCTCACACCTGTAATCCTAACACTTGGGGAGGCTGAGGTGAGTGGATTGCTTGAGCTCAGGAGTTTGAGACCAGCCTGGGCAACATGGTGAAAGCCCATCTCTACAAAAAATTAGCTGGGCATGGTGGCATGTGCCTGCAGTTCCAGCTACTTGGGGGGCTGAGGCAAAAGGATTGCTTGAACCTGGAGGTCGAGGCTGCAGTGAGCTGAGATGGTGCCACTGCACTCCAGTTGGATGACAAAGTGAGACCTTGTCTCAAAAAAACAAAAAAAGAAATTATTATTATTCAATTAAGTTTCTAATAAAACAGAAAATCTCTCCCATACATCAGCCAACATGTGGAAATGTCTAAAAATTTAGAGCCTCAAATTGGGCAATGGCTTTAAATGTTTATTTGTGTCATAAAATTATGTTTCTGCAACAAATAAATTAATATTTTTATCAAAATACAAATAATGTAAATGTGAATTCTTAAAAGAAAAATTTTAAGTGAAAAGCAGTAAAAAAGAAAATAATTCAATACATTACAGTAAACTGATGGAAATTCCACTCAGGGTAGAAGTATGGGTTCTTGGTCACCTGTCACTGTTCCAATCTACCCATTTGATAGGGTAACTGAAGCAAAGGGAGGTCAAGTGATTTATCCAGGACCACGCCACTTGCTAGCAAAGATGTGGAATGGGAATGAATATTCACCAGCAGGCTAGTGTTACATAACATATTTTCTTATAATTGAGAACTAAAATTCCTATTAAATATCTATACTTGTGCCAAGCACTGTGGCTCACACCTAAAATCCCAGTGCTTTGGGAGGCTGAGGCAGGAGGATCTCTTGAGGCCAGGAGTTCACCAGCCTAAGCAACATAGTGAGACCCAGTCACTACAAAACTTTTTAAAAAAATTAGCTGGGCATGGTGGCACGTGCCTGTAGTCCCAACTATTCAGGAGGCTGAGGCAGGAGGGTCATTTCTTTCTTTCTTTCTTTCTTTTTTGAGACAGAGTCTCACTCTGTCAGCCAGGCTAGAGTGCAACGGCACAGTCTCGGCTCACTGCAACCTCTGACTCCCGGGCTCAAGCAATTCAGCAGAAGGATCATATCATTGCCTAGGAGTTCAAGGCTGCAGTGAGTTATGATTGTACCACTGCACTCCAGCCTGAGTGACAAAGCAAGACCATGTCACCAAAAGAAAAAATGGAGGGAGAATGCCAGCACTGCACTAGCCTCTTCCCCATCAATTTAAAAAAGAAAATGTTTGTCCCTTTTGATTGCTGAATAATATTCCATAGCATAAATGTACCACTATTTAACCACTTACCCATTGAAAGCCATCTGGATGATTTCTACTGTCCAGCTATTACAAATAAAGTTGCTATAAACATGTATTTATAAGTTTTTGTGTTAACATGTCTTTATTTCTCTGGGATAAAAGCCAGGAATGCAATTTCTAGGTTGTGTGTTAGCTGCATGTTCAGTTTTTGTTGGTATTGCCTTTTATTTTCTTTTTTTTTTCTGTCTTTCTTTCTTTGACAGCACCTTGCTCTGAAGCTAAGGCTATAGTGCAGTGGTGCAATCATGGCTCACTGCAGCCTCACTCTCCCAGGTTCAAGCAATCCTCCCACTTCAGCCTTCTGAGAAGCTGGGACCACAGGCGCATGCCACCACGCATGGCTAATTTTTGCATAGACGGGGTCTCACTATGTTACCAAGGCTGGTCTCAAACTCTTGGGCTCAAGTGATCCTCCTGCCTCAGCCTCCCAAAGTGCTGGGATTATAGGTATGAGCCACCATGCCCAGCCACTACTTTTAATTTTATCCTTTCTAATAGCGATGTAGTGATATTTCACTGTGGTGTTAACTTGCAGTTCTCCAATGACTAACGATGAACATTTTTCTATGGGTTGATTTGCTACCCACTTATTCTCTTCAGTAGATTCATGTCTCTTTGTGTCTCTTTTGCTCTTCTTCTAAGGATTATTTATGTGTTTTTACTGTTGAAGTTTTAGATTTTTAAAAGTATATTCTATATATGAATTTTTGGAAATCATCTATTTCCAGTACTACATTGAACAAGAGTGATAAAAGTGGACATCCTTACCTTGCACCCAATCTTAGTGGAAAAGCATTCCATCTTTTACCATTAAATATGGGTTAATTGTAGCTCTTAATAGATATTCTTTATCAAGTAGGAAAGTTTTTCTGTATTCCCAGATTTCTGAGACTTTTTTTAAAGGAATAAGTGTTGATTTTTTTTTTTTTTTAAGACAGGGTCTTCCTCTGTTGCTCAGGTTGGAGTGCAGTGGTACAATCATAGCTCATTACAGCCTGGAATTCCTGGGCTCAAGCAATCCTCCCTGCTCAGCCTCCTGAGTAGCTGGGATTACAGGTGTGCACAATCACACCTGCCTAATTTTTTATTTTTTGTAGAGACAGGGTCTCGCTACATTGACCAGGCTGGTCTCAAACTCCTGGCCTCAAGTGATCCTCCTGCCTCAGCCTCCCAAAGTGTTGGGATTACAGATGGGAGCCACTATACCCAGCCTTGAATTTTGTCAAGTACTTTTTCTACATGAATTGATATGATCATGTGATTTTCTTAATTTAGCCTGTTAATATGGTAGATTATATAGATTGATTTTTAAATATTGAACCAGCTTTGAATCCCCAAAATAAACCAGTTGGTTGTAGTAGAATACTTTTTTATACTGCTGAATGCTGTTTGCTTAATGTTTTGATAAGAATGTGTGATTTTACATTCATTAGGGATATTGGTCTGTAGTTTTCTGTCTTTGTCTTGTTTTAGTATTAAGGTAACATTGATTTTTAGAAATGAATTGACAAAAAATGAATTAGAAAGTGTTTCTTTCATTTCTAGTTTCTGGAAGAGATTGAGAAGAATTGGTGTTAATTCTTCTTTAAACGTTCAGTAGAATTCTCTTGTTAAAACTATTTGGGCCTGACGATTTTAAGTTATGAATTCAACTTCCTTATTAGCTACAGGACTATTTAAATAACCTATATAATATTGGATGAGTTGTGATAGTTTGTGTGGTTTTTTTTTTAGACAGGGTCTTGCCCTGTCACCCTGGCTGGAGTGCAGCGGTGTGATCATGGCTCACAGTAGCCTTGACCTCTTGGGCTCAAGTGATCCTCAGCCTTCCCAGTAGCCGGGACTACAGGCACGTGCCACCATGGCTTGCTAATTTTTTTTTATTTTTATTTTTCGTAGACGGGTTTCCCCATGTTGCCCAGGCTGGTCTCAAACTCCTGGCCTCAAACGATCCCCCTGCCTTGGCCTCCCAAAGTGCTGTGATTACTGGTGTGAGCCACTGCTCCCAAACTAGTTTGTGTTTTTCAAGGAATTGGCTAATTTATCTAAGTTGTCAAATTTATGTGTGTAGAGTTGTTTGTGTTATGCCGTTATTAACTTTTCAACATCTGCAAGGTCTGCAGTTATATCCCCTGTTTCATTCCTAATATTAGTAGCAATTTGCATCTCCTCTACTTTTTTCCCCTGTTGGTCTTGCTAGAGGTTTGTCAATTTTATTCAACCTTTTAAAGAACTAGTTTTTTGTTGTTGTTAATTTTTGTCCTGTTTTCAGTTTTATTAATTGCTATTCTTCATTATTTCTTTCCTTCTGCTTGCTTTGGGCTTATTTTACTCTCCTTTTCTAGTTTTTTGAGATGGAAATTTATTTTATTTTATTTTATTTTTGGGCAAAGTCTCACTCTGTCATCCAGGCTGGAGTGCAGTGGTGCAATCTTGGTTCACTGCAACCTCTGCCTCGCGGGTTCAAGCAATTTTCCTGCCTCAGACTCCCGAGTAGCTGGGACTACAGGCATGTGCCACTATGCCTGGCTAAATTTTTTTTTGTATTTTTAGTAGAGATGGGAGTTCACTATGTTGGTCCGGTTGGTCTCGAACTCCTGACCTCAGGTGATACACCCACCTTGGCTTCCCAAAGTGCTGGGATTACAGGCATGAGCCACCACGCCCAGCCAGAGGTGGGAATTTAGATTATTGATTTGAGACTTTCAAAAATTTCCTGTAATATCAAATTCATAAATATATAATTATTGCAATTGGCAAATTTTTCTCTTAATAAGTATTAAAAGACATTATTTTTCAAAATGTCTTTCTAGTATTTAAAGAATGTTAGGAAATGTTATTAAATTATTTTATTATAATTAGTGTTCCATTATTATCCTGTTATCTAATTTTATCAACATGATTCAACAAAAATATTTACATGGCAGGGTCTTGTGAATGTAAGAATTTCACAAGAATATTTAACCATTATGAAAGCTACCAAGTATTCTTGTACTGAACTGAAGATAGAATGCTAGGAAAACTTGTTTTACGGCCAGGCGTGTGGCTCATGCCTGTAATACCAGCACTTTGGGGGGCAGAGACGGACGGATCACTTGAGGTCAGGAATTAGAAACCAGCCTGGCCAACATGGTGAAACCCCGTCTCTACTAAAAATACAAAAATTAGTTGGGTGTGGTGACACGCCCCTGTAATCCCAGCTTTTCTGGAGGCTGAGGCAGGAGAATCACTAGAACCTGGGAGGCGGAGGTTGCAGTGAGTCCAGATCACACCACTGCACCCCAGCCTAAGCGACAGAGAGAGACTTCATCTAAAAATAAATAAATAAATAAATAAATAATAAAACAAGTTTTTGGTTTTTGTTTGTTTTTGAGATGGAGTCTTGTTCTGTCACCCAGGCTGGGGTACAGTGGTGCGATCACGGCTCACTGCAACCTCTGCCTCCCAGGTTCAAGCGATTCCCCTGTCTCAGCTTCCCAAATAGCAGGGATTACAGGCGCCCCAACCACGCCCAGCTAATTTTTGTATTACTAGTGGAGACAAGGTTTCTCCATGATGGCCATGCTGGTCTCCAATTCCTCACCTCAAGTGATCCGCCCGTCTCCACTTCTCAAAGTGCTGGGATTACAGATGTGAGCCACCACCCCCAGCCTATCCCAACACTTTAGGAGGCCAAAGTGAGAGGATTGCTTTAGGCCAAGAGTTTGAGACCAGCCTAGGCAACATAGTGAGTCCTTGTCTCTACTAAAAAAAAATTTTTTTAATTAGCTGGTTGTGGTGGCTCGCACCTGTAATCCCACCACTTTGGGAGGCCAAGGTGGGCAGATTGTTTGAGGTCAGGAGTTTGAGACCAGCCTGGGCAACATGGAAAAACCTTCTCTCTGAAAGAAATACAAAAATTAGCCAGTCATGGTAGCACATACCTGTATTTGCAGCTACTCAAGAGGCTGAGGTGGGAGAATCACTTGAGCCCAGGGAGTTGAGGCTGCAGTGAGCTGAGATCGTACCACTGCACTCCAGCCTGGGTGATAGAAGTGAGACCCTGTCTCGAAACAGAAGAGAAAAAATTATCCTGGCATGGTGGCACACACCTGTACTGTACTCAGCTACTGAGGGAATTGAGGTGGGAGATTGCTTGAGCCCAGGAGGTTGAGCTTACAGTGAGCTGCAGTCATGCCTGGGCACGAGTGCCATGAACTCCAGCCTGGGCAACAGAGCATGGACAAAAGAGCAAGACCCTATCTCTAAATATATATATTTAGTGAGACCCAAGCTGGAGGATCATTTGAGGCCAGGGGTTCGAGACCAGTCTGGGCAACATAGGGAGACCCCATTTCTACAAAAAAATACAAAATTTAATGGGGCATGGTGGCTCATGCCTGTAGTCCCAGCTACTAAGGAGGCTGAGGCAGGAGGATCGCATGAGCCCAGGATGTTGAGGTTCCAGTGAGCCATGATGGTGCTACCACATTCTAGCCTGGGCAACAGAGTGAGATCCTGTCTCAGAAAATATATATATATGTGTATATGTGTGTGTATTTGTATTATATATGTCAATATGCATATATATGTATATGTGTATATATGTAATATGTATATGTATGTATACATACACGTATCTATGTATATACATATATATGGAAAAATAGATATAGGGTCAAAATCCAAGTGATGAAGAAGGGAATAAGAATTATGAAATAGAAGATTTTAAACAAAGCAGATTTGTATATGATGGTTTGCGGGATAATTCAAGTCTCATTCTTTATTTTATCGGTGGTACTTATACATTTATACAAAATTAAAAAGGTTTCAAAAGGAGTGTATGGTGAGATCTTCTTAGCCCTACCATTAGGCTAAACCCTGACGTTCTAAAGATGAATGAATCATAGCCCCTAATTTCATAATCTTGCAACCCCATTATTTTTGTCCTCAGAACTGACACTTGTTTTCTCCAGGCAAAAATCTCAACCTGTGCTCTGAATTCCAACCCCCACTGCCTCCTCAGAGACCTTGTCAGTTACTTCTCTCTTGTACCTTCAACATGTTTTTTGCTATTGGTTCCTACCCTTCAGTCTATAAGCAAATTCAATAGTCTCTAATCTTAACACAAAACAAAACGATAGCTCTTATATCCCATACCCCGTTCTAGCTAGAGTCTGAAAAAAGTAGTTCACATTTAATAGCTCTAATTTCTCACCTTTTAAATTAAAATTTTTATCAAAGAGATATATGCAAAGGGCTAAAACAATAAAAATTAAATAAATTGAATGCTTGTTATGTGTCTAGTGTCATTTTTTGCCCTTTACATGTGTTAGCTCAGTTAATCCTCACAACAATCTCTAAGGCAGGCATGATTATCTCCCTTTTACAGAAGAGGAAACTGAGCTACAGATGATAGGAAGCAATAGCCTCCCACACCCGTTTTCCCCCATCAGTTCTACTGTCCAGTAGCCACTGGCTGTAACTGTTTCTGTTCTTTATTCCTCCTTTGGTCACTTCCATTTCTGTAAGTTGTTCACACTGCTATCTCTTGAGTAAAGAAATTTAGACATTGGCTTTTGACTTCCCAATGGGAAATATGAAGATTTAATTCCATTATATTCCCCTCCAAAAAAGCTACATAATTGTTCTCAGTTCCTCCTCTGGTCAACCTCTGCAGCTATAAACAACACACTTTGACATCCTTTTCTTATTTCATAGGTTATGAACAGTAGCTCTTGACCGCTTACTTTTTGATGAGAACATCAGCTCTCATATTTTTTCCTCCACACCTCATCTTACATAGGCTCCTCATCTACTGCTTTAAATTTTTGCTGATGTGACTTTCTCAGTGTTGAATTCGGTGGCATTTTCCAATTATTCTTTTATCTCTATGTGGTGCCTGATACCTTTGACCCTCTTCCTTAAGCATTAGTTTTTCTTAGGCATATTAACCAACAATTTTTTACTAAGCATCTGTTTTATGCCAGGTATTAGGCGAGGTATATGTTAAAGAAACATGGAGAAATATCTGTTGGGAGACAATTCTTCATGGGTTTTTGAGTTATTGTGGCAGCTTTTTTTTTTTTTTCCAGACAACCTCCTTCAAAGGTGTTTGTATGGTGAACAGCCTTGAAAGATTGAAATAGCATTTCCCTCCAGGGAAGAGAGCAGGATTTTTTACCATCCAAGATGTTTCTCCAATAATGTTTCTCTCCAGGGTAAAGGTTGGGTAGGTTAGACATCAGCTCCTTTAAAAGATTGAGAGTTCAGGGTCAGGTGCAGTGGCTCATGCCTGTAATCCCAGCACTGTGGGAGGCTGAGGCAGGTGGATCACTTGAGCCCAGGAGTTCAAGGTCAGCCCAGGCACCATGGTGAAACCCTATCTCTACAAAAAATACAAAAATTAGTTGGATGTAGTAGCGCATGATGAGGTAAGAGGATCACTTGAGCCTGTGGAGGTCAAGGCTGCAGTGAGAAGTGATCATGCCACTGCACTCCAGCCTATGTGACAGAACAAGACCCTGTATAAAAAAAAAAGGGCGAGGGTGAGCATGGTGGCTCACGCCTGTAATCCCAGCACTTTGGGAGGCCAAGGTGGGCGGATCGCCTGAGATCAGGAGTTCGAGACCAGCCTGGCCAACACGGTGAAACCGTGTCTTTACTAAAAATACAAAAATTAACGGGCATGGTGGCAGGCACCTGTAATCCCAGCTACTCAGGAGGCTGAGGCAGGAGAACCACTTGAACCTAGGAAGCGGAGGTTGCAGTGAGCCAAGATCATGCCACTGCACTCCAGCCTGGGTGACAGGGTTGAGACTCTGTCTCAAAAAAAAAAAGAAAGAAAAAAAAAGATTGAGACTTCCTAAGTTCAGGTAAGTTCAGGGTTCCTTAGCTATGAGACAAACCCACAGACTGTGCAGCATCTACCTGAGCCCAACTTTCTGTCGCCACTGTGGAGTCTTGGTGGTAAATGCACAGATGCAAACATGAGGCTCATGCTTCCTCTTCTGTGAATAACAAAGCCCTTTGTTTGCTTGCTTTGTTTTTGTTGTTTTTTAAGAGGGAGTCTTGCTCCCGTTACACAGGCTGGAGTGCAGTGGTATGACCTTGGCTCACTGCAACCTCCACCTCCTGGGTTCAAGTGATTCTCCTTCCTCAGCCTCCTGAGTAGCTGAGATTACAGGCGTGTACCAACACGCCCGGCTAATTTTTGTATTTTTAGTAGAGATGGGGTTTCGCCATGTTGGCCAGGCTGGTCTCGAACTCCTGACCTCAGGTGATCCGCCCGCCTCGGCCTCCCAAAATGCTGGGACTACAGGCGTGAGCCACTGTGCCTGGCCCGCTGTTTGTTTTTGACTCAAGAGTCTCATGTCTTCTGGCAGAGCTTATAAAATTGTGTCAGGTTAATTAGTTAACTTAAAACTAAGGTAAAATCTCAGGCCATTCGTAGCTCTTGACATTGTCCAGCAACCAGCTGAATATGTGATCCTGAGATCAGAAGCAGAGCCTGGCCTAAGGATATGACTTTGTGAGTCATCAACATGTAAGTGGTCATTAAACCATGGTAGTGGACGCAATCATTTAGACTAGTGTGACATCATGAAAGGAGAATTCAGAGAGCTTTGAGGACCTCCAAAATGAAATAATCTGATAAAAGTGGAAGAGTTCAAGGGAGACTTGAAGAAGCTTCCAGGTGAATCAAAGAGAGAGACTGTTTCAAGGAGGAATGAGTGGTCAGGTTTATCAAATGCTGAGAGACCACATAAGATGAGAACGGAAAATATCCACTGAATTTAGAAGTTGGAGGTCATTGTGACATTACCAAGAGCAGTTAAAAGCAGTTTAATGGAGTAACTGGCTGAAATCCTAACTGGATGACAGCTTTGGTCAAGGTGGGGAAATACAGGCAGTAAATGAGGTCTTTCCTAAGAAGAGAAAGAGAAAGAATGGGGAGTTAAGGAATTGTCTTTTTTAAAAAAAAAAAAACAACAGAAATTTGGCCAGGCATGGTGGCTAACGCCTGTAATCCCAGCACTTTGGGAGGCCGAGGCAGGTGGATCACCTGAGGTCAGGAGTTCAACACCAGCCTGGCCAACATGGCGAAACCCTGCCTCTGCTGAAAATACAAAAATTAGCTGGGCCTAGTGGTGGATGCCTGTAATCCCAGCTACTCAGGAGGCTGAGGTGGGAGAATTGCTTGAACCTGGGAGGCGGAGGTTGCAGTGAGCCGAGATCACGCCATTGTACTCCAGCCTGGGCAACAGAGCGAGACTCCGTCAAAAAAAACAAAACAGAAATTTATTTTCGCACAATTCTGGAGGCCAGACACCTGAGATCAAGGTGTTATCAGGGTTAGTTTCTTCAGAGGCTTCCCTCCTAGTCTTGTAGATAGCCATCTTCTTTTTCTGTCTTAACATGGTCAAAGGAAGGGTCTTTGCTTTCAGCTTTATGGGCAAAGTTACACAAATGACAATGTGATCACCACCAGTGTTTTTAGGAGTGACTGAATATCCTTTCTCTACTTTCAAAACTTGTTGATCTAAAGACAGTCCTTTTTCTGGATCTGAATAGCCACAGAGCCCACTGAGTCTATATATACAAAATTTAATAGAGTTATTCTTTTTTTGTTTTGTACTTTTTAGAGATGGGGGTCTCACTATGTTGCCTAGGCTGAAGTGCAGTGTTTATTCACAGGTGCGGTCATAGCTTGCTGCAGCCTTAAACTCCTGGCCTCAGGCACTCCTCCCTCAGCCTCCAGAGTAGCTGGGACTACAGGCGTGCACCACTGCACCTGGCATAATAGTGTTATTCTTATTCCAAGAGATGTTTCAATGTCTCCAGTTTCAAATATAGAGGCAACAAGAAAAGCTCAGAAAGGAACTCAATAGGGATATAGGCCATCAACAAAACTGCAAAAACAGATTAAAAGGATGAAAATTCCATTTTGGAAAAAAGCATATGAGGAAACTTACTGTCATCAAGCTAACAAAGGCCAGAGAGCTTGTTTAGGAGCCCTTGACCTTAAAAGGACACTGGATAGAAATGGTCATAAAGAGAGAGAAAACGCCACAGAGAGAATAAAGTCCTACATAAGCTTAGTCCCTTTGTAAACTGGAACCACTGCAAGCACCCTGTAAGACCTTAATGGGGAAGCAGACACATAAAGAGTCCCTTTTTCCATTTAGTGCATACTTTTCTTTAACTGTTTAACTGTCATTGTGTGTGTGTCTGTGTGTGTACACCTGTAATCTCCACAACTTGGGAGGCTGAAGTGGGCAGATCACTTAAGGTCAGGTGTTCAAGACCAGCCTGGCCAACATGGTGAAACCCCGTCTCTACTAAAAATACAATTGGCAGGGTGCGGTGGCTCACACCTGTAATGCCAGCATTTTGGGAGGCCGAGGCAGGCAGATCACCTGAGGTCAGGGGTTTGAAACCAGCTTGGCCAACTTGGTGAAACCCTGTCTATACTAAAAATACAAAATCAGCCGGGTGTGGTGGCGGGCACCTATAACCCCAGCTACTCAGGAGGCTGAGCCAGGACAATGGCTTGAACCCGGGAGGCGGAGGTTGCAGTGAGCCCAGATTGCACAATTGCACTCCAGCCTGGGTCACAGAGCAAGACTTCGTCAAAAAACAAACAAACAAACAAAAAACTAGATTAAACAGTAGACAGGGAAAAAACACATCTTGTGCCCATTACAGTCTACTTTTGATCTGAAGAAATAAATTTAAGATTTACTGATCACCACACTCCAGGAAGAGAAAATACTAATCAAGGTAGTTGAGAATGCTTATACAGAGAGCAAGCAGTATTCCTACTCTATTCCGTTTTTCTTTATTGAGAAATTTAAAACCATATTTAGTGGCTTGTTGCAGTGGCCTGTAATCCCAGAACCTTGGAAGTCCAAGGTGGAAGGATCACTTGAGTCCAGGAGTTCAAGACCAGCCTGGGAAACACGGTGCAACGCCATCTCTACTAAAATTTTTTTAAAACAATTTTGCCGAGCGTGGTGGCACACACCTGTAGTCCTAGGTACTAGGAAGGCTGAGGCGGAGGATCACTTGAGCCCAGAAAGTTGAGGCTGCAGTGAGCCCTGGTTGTGCCATTGCATTCTAGTCTGGGAGATGCTGTCTTCAAAAAAAAAACCCCAAAAACCAAAACCATATTTAGTGGGTGCTAAACAGTAGGAGGCAAAAAGCCACAGAGCCTTATTTCCCTAAATCAAACTTAATCAGCTTTGAGGTGAAACTGAGGGACAAAGTCAGCCTCAGTTAGTTAGGGGCTCCTTCTTTACCTCAATGGAATTACACAAGAATTCTGGGCTCCTAGGTCTCAGAAAATAGGGGGGTAGGGCTGGCCCTCTGTCCTAGGTGGTCGCTTCATTGGCTCTGCAGAGCTGCTGTCTGATGGGCACTGAGGCTGCAAGCAGCTTCAAGGACAATTTTCACCTGATCTTCCCCATTGACTTTAGAACATGCCCACGTTCTCTGGTCCTCTGCCACCAGGTGGCCCCTATAGTTTCCTGTTGCCTTTCCAGGCCTGAAAGAAGCTACAAACTCTATCTCTTATTCTTGGGTCATGCTTCTTAGTCTTGGGATGAACACATGATATACTACCTCCAGTTGATTTTTAAAAATAACTCACCCAGTTTGTTCATATAACTCAAAAAATATCTTAGTCATATTTTTCATCCTTCTCTTTCAAAAATATCTTTGTTAAAGAAAAGAATAACTTATTGTTCACATCTGTTTCTGGCTTCAGTGTAAGTGGTAAGTGGTAAAAGAATTAGGCCACCAACAGTTAGCTGTTCTCTCTATAGATCTCTTCTAAGCCTGGAAGTATCTGTGTCATTTTGAGTCCTAGTGTGAATTTCCTGGTATAGAGCTGTCAAGCATTTGGTTCAGATGCAAAAACAAACTTACTTTTTTTTCTTGAGACTGAGTCTTGCTCTGTCGCCCGGGCTGGAGTGCAGTGGCGCGATCTCGGCTCACTGCAACCTCTGCCTCCTGGGTTCAAGCGATTCTGCTGCCTCAGGCTCCCCAGTAGCTGGGACTACAGGCGCCTGCCACCATGCCCGGCTAATTTTTTTGTATTTTTAGTTGAGAGGGGGTTTCGCCATATTGGCCAGGC
The DNA here is from genome assembly GCF_000001405.40 of Homo sapiens. Taxonomy (NCBI): domain Eukaryota; kingdom Metazoa; phylum Chordata; class Mammalia; order Primates; family Hominidae; genus Homo; species Homo sapiens. The sequence continues at coordinate 80,346,875 of NC_000005.10, forward strand.
TGGTCTCAAACTCCTGACCTCAGGTGATCCGCCCGCCTCGGCCTCCCAAAGTGCTGGGATTACAGGCGTGAGCCACTGCGCCCGGCCTTTTTTTTTTTTTTTTTTTTTTTTTTTTTTTTAAGAGACAGGGTCTCACTCTGTCTCCCAGGCTGGAGTGCAGTGGTGCAATCCAAATTCACTGCTGCCTCAAACTCCTCGGCTCAAGCAATCCTCCCACCTGAGTCTCCTGAGTAGCTGGGACTACAGGCAAGCACCATCATGCCCAGCTAATTTAAAAATGTTTATAGATATGGGATCTCACTATATTGCCCAGGCTGGTCTCAAACTCCTGGCCTCAAGCAGTTCTCCCTCTTTAGCCTTTCAAAATGCTGAGATTATAGAAGTGAGCCACCATGCCTGGCCAAACTTTTATTTTTGAAAAAGTTTTTCAATTTTTTTTTTATTTTTAAGGCGGAGTCTTGCTTTGTAGCCCAGGCTGGAGTACAGTGTCATGATCTCAGCTCACTGAAACCTCCACCTCCTGGGTTCAAGCAATTCTCCTGCCTCTGCCTCCCAAGTAGCTGGGACTACAGGCGTCTGCCACCACACCTGGCTAATTTTTGTATTTTTAGTAGAGGCGGGGTTTCACTGTGTTGGCCAGGCTGGTCTCAAACTCCTGACCTCAGGCGATCCACCTGCCTCGGCCTCCCAAAGTGCTGGGATTACAGGCGTAAGCCACTGTGCCTAGCCTGAAAAAGTTTTTCTATTGAGCACTTTGTGTCAGCGAAAGGAAAAAAAAAAAAAAAAGGAACCTAACAGAATCATAACTAGACCTTACTTGGATTTGAATTTAACTGCATTGTCTATTTGTGGCATAATTATCATCACTGTTTTTGAATTGAGATTATGTCAATGGATGCTACTTGTGATTATTGCATGTATTAGGTATTTTGATGAAGAATTGTGAAAATGCTTAGGCATGTTAAAGATACAGAATTAGGAGGAATCTCAGACTGAGCGTGGTGGCTCATGCCTGTAATCCCAGCACTTTGGGAGGCCGAGGCGGGTGGATCACCTGAGGTCAGGAGTTCGAGACCAACCTGGGCAACATGGTGAAACCCCGTCTCTGCTAAAAATACAAAAATTAGCCAGGCGTGGTGGCGGGTGGCTGTAATCCCAGCTACGCATAAGGTTGAGGCAGGAGAATTGCTTGAACTGGGAGGTGGAAGTTGCAGTGAGCCAAGATCACGCCATTGCACTCCAGCCTGGGCAACAGGAGCAAAACTCTGTCTCAAAAAAAAAAAAAAAAAAAAAAAAAACGGAATTAGGAGGGATCTCTGATATCCTGGGGAACTGAATTAGAATTCAAAATGACCCTGGAAAATTACATATGTGCATGGAAATTAATGCAATATATATTTACCTGAAGAGTTATAATAGGAATAAGTATAAGGTCATTTACTTATGAAGGAAAAACATGTTTTAGAGAAGCATAATGAGGAAATAATGCTCTTGCACCATGTCACTTGAAAAATATTTTGGGAGACTCAGAGACATTGTGTAATAATATTGAAGTAATAGATCCTAAAATCTAAAAGTATAGCTACCCCTTATTCCAGATTCTATTAATGTCAACCCCAAAATATATCCATCTTTCAAAGATAGCAATATTTAATAACATAACTCATGCTAGTTTTTTGTCTATTTATTTTATTTTACATAGTGTAATCACACCATAGTCAACTTTTGGTTACCTGTGTATGATTTGGGTATTTTATGGATTAACCACAGAAAAATTTTTTTATCACAGTTTAGCTTTTCTTTTATAACAAGCTAAGGTATTACCCTCTGCGATTAGTTGGTATTTGTCAAGAAATATAAATAGTTTTAATATAAGGAAAGTAACTAGGCTATCAAAAATTCAAATGTCTTTCACAAAGTGAAACTGCCCTTTACATTATTATTTATTTCTTCACTACTTCTTGAGCACTTGTCGTATGCAAGACACTACATTACAGTCAGTGAGAATCAGAAAGATAAGCAATAGATGTTTTTGCTCTGGAGGAGTGAAGGATTTGGTGAATTACAACATTGTGACAATTATTTTGAATTACTGATTATTTCTCTCCTTGCATATACTGAGAAAAGACTTCAGAGACTTTGGAAGAGATTTGGTCAATTAAATTTTCTATTATTTCATATGTTAATTGAAATGAAGAAGAAATTTGTACAGCAGATGTAGTACCAAATCAAATATAAATGAAAAGGAATCTCTTAATGTAACTTGAGAAATAACTCCTAAAAGAATTCTGGAGGCCGAGCGCGGTGGCTCACGCCTGTAGTCCCAGCACTTAGGGAGTCTGAGGCGGGCGATTCACGAGGTCAGGAGATCGAGACCAGTCTGGCTAAGATGGTGAAACCCCGTCTCTACTAAAAATACAAAAAATTAGCCGGGCATGGTGGTGGGCGCCTGCAGTCCCAGCTACTCAGGAGGCTGAGGCAGGAGAATGGCGTGAACTCGGGAGGCGGAGCCTGGCAGTGAGCCGAGATCGCGCCACTGCACTCCAGCCTGGGCGACAGAGCAAGACTCCGTCTAAAAAAAAAAAAAAAAGAATTCTGGAGAAGATCTCATTTGTTTCTAACTGAATGAGTGGACTTAAGGAATCGTCAACGGCTTCACGATTTTGAATGTCAATCAAATTTTGTTGATGATTTTAAGAATTTAAATTACCTAGTAGCATGTTGTAAAATCATATTGTTTATAAGTAAGCCATTTCCCACTTATACATAACTTGGATGGAGAAAATACCAGGAGCATATAAGATTGAGCTATTTATAGTTTACCTCTCAATGTTCATTGCTTTTTAATTGGTCTTACTATAAAAAACTTTTTGTTTGTTTTTTGTTTTGTTTTGTTTTTGAGACGAAGTCTCGCTCTTGTGGCCCAGGCTGGAGTGCAGTGGCGCGATCTCGGCTCACTGCAACCTCTGCCTCCCGGGTTCAAGCCATTCTCCTGCCTCAGCCTCCTGAGTAGCTGGGATTACAGGCGCCTGCCACCAAGCCTGGCTAATTTTTGTATTTTTAGTAGAGTTGGGGTTTCATCATGTTGGTCAGGCTGGTCTCAAATTCCTCACCTCAGGCGATCTGCCTGCCTCAGCCTCCCAAAGTTCTGGGATTACAGGCGTGAGCCACCCTGCTCGACTTTATAATAAACATTTTTAAACAAGGAAATAAATACCCTGAAGAATAGCACATGATCTAGAATTCCTAGATTTGTAGTTAACCATTGGGTTTGACAGTATTTTTAAAAAATAAGTAGCATGTGTTTCTTTTAAAACAACTATATTTCAAGAAAACAACTAATTATTTTCTGAAAAGAAAGCATACTTGTTAAAAATTCTTTTCTGGTCCAGGACCAGTTTTGTTGGCCAGAACAGGAATAAGACAGAAAAATAGCCGTGGTTCTGATGACCTGCAGAATGAGTTATTCAGTTCTGTGGCAACAGACCATAACTTGTAACTCTAACTACATCTTCTGAAATAAGTATGTTTCAAAGTAATATGAGTGAAAATCCACAATTTTTGTTTGTTTATTATTAACTAACATTCATACTTTCTTCAGATTTCCTTTGTTTTTAACTTAATATCCTTTTTCTGTTCCAGAGTCCCCCATTACCTTTAGTTGTTATGTCTCCTTAGGCTTCTCCTGTGTATAAGTCCATTTTCTTTTCTTTTCTTTTTTTTTCCGGGGTACAAAAGGTTTATTGCTTATAAAAATAAGTTACCAAACCCCAAGCCCCACAAAACACAAGAACCCCGCATGACGATACCCATGAACACAAGGGCTCATTCTAGTAATAGCTCGCGGAAACGACAAGACACCAGCACTGCCGACACACACGGACGAGGAGCATGCTGCACAGCTTCCTTCTATCAGGTTCTAGAAAAGTCTTCTTTGCCTTCAGTCCACTGGCTAGTGGGAATAATTAGTCTCATCAGCCACAGGGGGGGTCTGCTCCTCAAGAGTGGCCTCAGCACACATGGCGCTGAAAGGGAGGAGCGGCTGTACACATCTGGGCAGTGAGGAACCAGCTGAGCCTTCTGTGGGCTTCCTGAGTGTCTGGGAAGTTGCCGGGTGGGGTCTCACGCTGGGGCCAGCGTGGGGGCTTACTGCCGGCAGGTGTCATGGAAGGCTTCGAGGGTTCGGAAATCCCTCCATGTCGGGGGAAGGCCGTCCTGCAGAAACTTCCCGCAGTGCTGGCATGGGGCCTGGAACAGCTTTATGTAACTTCTTAACCAGGTCATGAAGGATCGGACTACGACATCCGGCATCTGGGGCAGCTGATAGTGGAGCAGGGCCGTGGTGGCGTGGTCTGTCACCTTCTGGAATACTTGATAGTTGGATTTGGACCATATATCAAGCTTGCCATCTTCTGTGTAGACATTCTCGTTATATCCCTTTACTATTGTTCGATCAATGAACAGGCTCCGCATGATGACGATCACTTTCAACACCTTTCCCAAGGTCACCAGAAGCATTGCTGATGTTCCATTGGGTCTGGATAAGTGGATGGACATTTCAGGAAACATCCTGTCAATGCGGCTGATCACATCATCAACATATTGAGGTGGTAGGACAAGAGTTGTGGGCTGAGCCTTTGGTCTACTTTTGGCAGATACTCCCATCTGATTAGCGGAACGCTTCAACGACTACTGATTTAAAAGGCCAGATGCTAGTCCTGCATGGTACTGCAACTTGTTTGACCACTTATATGCTTGAAGGAGTTGACTATAGAGAGGAGTTTTGTCCTGCACAGGATCCAGGCTTAACAGCCCACTGTTATGAAGAGGATGGTTCTCAGATGGCTTGCCTACCAGATTGCTCAGACGTTCCAGCTCATTGAGGTCCCGGTTGACCGAATGTAAGTTGTCCTGGAAGTGCGCAATGAAGGCCTTCTCCCGGCCCTCCAGCGTCTCCTTGTTCCGCATCCCATCCTTCAGGCAGTCGAACAACCTGCTCACGCTGGAGCGCAGCGCCTGGATGGCACTAATGGCCTGGGAAAAGGCCTCCAGGTTCACACTGACATTTATCACGTCCGCCATGTTGCCGCCGCCACAGCCAAGTCCATTTTCGTACTGCTGTAAAGGCCTGCCAGAGACTGGATAATTTACAAAGGAAGGAGGTGTAACTGACTTACAGTTCAGCACGGCTGGGGAGGCCTCAGGAAACTTACAATCATGGTGGAAGGTGAAGGGGAAACATGGCACCTTCTTCACAAGGCAGCAGGAAGAAATGCAAGTAGGGGAAATGCCAGATGCTTATAAAACCATCAGATCTCGTGAGACTCACCCTCTATCACGAGAATAGCATGGGGAAACCCCCCTCATGAGCCAGTTACCTCTACCTGATCCTGCCCTTGACAAATGGGGATGATGGGAATTATAATTTAAGATGAGATTTTGGGCGGGGACACAGCCAAACTATATCATCCTGACTATGACTGTTTTTAGATTTTCCATGTTTTTGATAAACTTGAAAGTTTTGAGAAGTACTGGCCAGTTATGTTGTGGGATGTCCCACTATGGGACGTCATCTGCTGGTTTTCTCATTAGGTTAAATTGGGTTATGAGATATGAAAGGAGACTAGAGAGGTTAAAAAATGCCATTTTTCAGAAGGGCATGGTGGCTCGTGCCTGTAATCCCAGCACTTTGGGTGGCCAAGGTGGGTGGATTGATTGAGTCCAGGAGTTCAAGACCAGCTTGGGCAACATAGTGAGACCCCATCTTTACAAAAAATACAAAAATTAGCTGGATGTGGTGGTGCACCTGTAGTCTCAGCTACTTGGGAGGCTGAAGCAAGAGGATCACTTGGGCTGGGGAAGTGAAGGCTGCAGCGAGCTGTGATTGTGCCACTGCACTCCAGCCTGGGCAACAGGGCAAGACCCTGTCTTTTAAAAAAAAAAAAAAAAAAAGGAGATTACAACTGAATGTCAGAGTGGATTTAGAGGAAGTTTTCATTATCTAGAATATCTAGAATATGAATGACTGACAATACATAATATATATGCATTATTAATTTTCAAAAGAGTAAAACATTTTTAAAAACTTGCCTCTACTGTTATACACACTATCTTTATATATATGTATGTATATATATATATAATTTACAAGGCATTTCAGGACTTTGCAGTGACTGCATCAGGATCATCAACAAGAGTGACAATGTAATTAAATCAGTAAGCAATAGATGTTGTTGACTTGAGCAACAGATAGTCCCACATTTTACTAAAGACCTAGAAAGTATAAAAATTTTACATAAATTTATGCTAACTATATTACTACTAGAAATTCAATAAAATAATTAGCTAATTTTATGTTATCTTGTTTACTGACCCCAACCCCTGTCACTCTCGAAAACGTGGTTATTTGGATGTTTTCATCTTTGGAATGTTGGATGTATAAGGAATTATTCTGTCACTCTTCCCAAGGATCTTCAGTGAGTATCGCTATAGACATTGCAAATATGAGTGTCCTTAGAGCACTGAAAAAGCAGCTCTAACAAGAAGAATTGCTAAAAAATAGTATTGGGTACAAAAGGACAATGGGCTCTCAGCTGATGGTCTGTTCTTGAGGGACTGTTTTCCTGCTTAACAAACAACTGTCTTAACACCAAGAACTAGTGATGTGTAGGTTTGGATCACAGCTAAAGACCAAAATTGTTAACAATTAGGAGTTTGTAAAAAGACAATGAGTAGGCTCTTGGTATGAGCAATTTTGCATATGAAACTCACGGCTATAATCAATGGGTAGGAGGTGCTCTCAGTCTGTCATAGTACGTTTAGACTGGCATAAAAAAATACCATCAACTGGGCAGCTTACAAACAACAGAAATGTATTTCTCACAGATCTGGAGGCTGGGAAGTCCAAGATCAAGGCACTGGCAGATTCTGGTGAGGAGAGCTTTCTAATTTATAGACAGTGCCTTCTTCCTGTGCCTTCATGTGGTGGAAAGGAGGAGCAAGCTCCCGTGGGCCGATTTTATAAGAGCACTAATCGGTAATCCCAGCACTTTGGGAGGCCGAGGCGGGCGGATCATGAGTTCAGGAGATCGAGACCATACTGGCTAACATGGTGAAACGCCGTCTTTACTAAAAATACAAAAATTAGCCGGGCGTGCTGGCGGGCGCCTGTAGTCCCAGCTACTTGGGAGGCTGAGGCAGGAGAATGGCGTGAACCCAGGAGGCGGAGCTTGCAGTGAGCCGAGATCGCGCCACTGCACTCCAGCCTGGACGACACAGTGAGACTCCGTCTCAAAAATAAATAAATAAATAAATAAAGAGCACTAATCCCATGAGAGCTCTGCCCTGATGACCTAATCATCTCCCAAAGGCCCCACCTCATAATACTATCACACTGGGGATTAGGTTTCAACATATGAATTGGGGGGTGGGGGAAGGAACACAAACATTCAGACCATAGCACTATTTTTTGGAATATTTCTGTTCATAAACTTGCCATCAGATATTTATAGTTTGTGGTTACAGTTTATGTGAACTAGCTTAGAAGAAGGGCCTGTTTCAGTTGGCACAGGAATATCATTTTATTTCCATGCCGGGAGCAAATGCTGAAATCTGAATGCACTTTTTTGTGCCTGTTTTGTCAAAGCCAAAGTGAACTACTTATTAAAAATTGGGAGATATATTTCAAATATGACTGTATCAATGCCCTTAGCCAAAAGCCACTAGGAATATGCTGCCAGTTAAACAAATTGGGTTTGTTACTCATTGCAGCGAGGGAGAACAGGCGCCACAGGGAACTGTGGGATATTGCAGCACAGGGGTGTTAGAAAAACTTTCTAGGATTTGGGTTTATGTTAGGTGATTTTGAAGGGTTCAAGGAAGCTGGGTTTGCTCTTGATTGGAGACTCTCAGGATGTAGGGGCAATTCTATGATTAGGTATCTTACCATATTTTATCTAAGGGAAGGGAAGACCAGACCCATGCTAAAGGTGTAATTGGGAAAAAAGCAGCAGGCACTTATATTAATATTTGCCAGGATAGGGAGATGTTTGGTATTTTGAGGCTTGGGCAATGTTCATGCTTTGTCTGTATTCAGATATGATTATGGGGAGGCCTTATTTTTGTCTTTATCCATCATGGTCACAGAGTGACTTTATATGATGTTGATGTTCGGTGAAATTGTTAGTGTTTCACAGGAAAACACTGTGGCCTAACTGCCAGTGCCAGGCCAGCTTCTGATGTCAAGGGCTGCGTTTCTCTTTCTCAACTACTAGGTTATTAATTGGCTAAAATAACATTCATTTCAAAGATTGCTTCCAATATTCTCCATGTTTTATTCGAAATACAAAACAGACACCATTGCATTTCTACGGGTCTGCTAAATTATTGCAATTTTCTTGGTCAACTTCAGAATTAAATCCTTATCATGAAGTTCTTTGGCACTAAATTTAAGAATCAAAGGGTATGCATTTTTCATTCCTCATTTTACAAAATTTTGATCTGTACAGGGTGGCAATCCAGTAAAACATCAATATGTCTCAGCATCTTGTCTCAATTTTATAGTCTTGGAAATTCAGTATATTAGATCATCCACATGAGACTGGGTTCCAGGGCATACAGGAACCCTAACCAAAAATACAGGAGCCTAATTTAGCTGCAAGAATGCTTATGTGTTAATTCACAATAAGAAGTATAAACATCAAAAGTTATAATAGTTAACTCTTACTGAGTGCCTACTATAGGAAGCATGTGACATTCATTAGTCCATGAAACCTTCACAATGGCCTTATGTGGTAGTCACTGGGTCATTTGGAAAACACTAGACTTACCATCTCTGTCCGACCCTCCTCTTCTTCAGGAGCCTCCTAATTATCCTAACTTCTCTCTCAATCTCTCGCTTTCTCTCTCTTATTTCCAAGTCTCATTCCCAAGAGTTGTTGCATCCGCTAACAGTTTCATGCTTTTGCAATACCCATTTCTCCACTGGTATATTTTCTCATCATTTAGACCAACATACTAGGAGGGTGTCGAAAACTGAGAGGTTCTTTTGCACTTCCCTTTCTTTGGAAAAAAAAAAAACCCTCAAAGATGTCTAGAATGTTATATTACTTATGTTTATTTATGTAATCATGAATGAATTCTATGGTTATTACAGATTAGATATTAAATGTGTTGGTGTTTTATGTTAGTCTAACTTGAAACTAGGCTCACAAATGTAATAATCTTACAGTAATCTCTTTTTTATTAAAAAAATCACATGCATCAGCTTAATATATTTTGCTCTATATTTGCTCAGTCATGCATCTCTAATGCTTCAAGATCAGGTTCAACGACTTGGATCCAGAAGATTCATATATATTAGAGTCTGGGTTTTGGGGGGTGGGTGAGAGAGAGTAGTTTTGTCCTTGTCGTTGTTTTGTTACAATACATGCTTATGGTTAAAAAAAAGAAAAGGAAAGTATGAAAGAAACAGAGCACAAAGAATAAACAAAACACAACGAACGTAATCCTCCCACCTAGAGGCAACCAGTTACTGATAACATTCTGGGTTGTACCCTTCTAGAGGTTTCTCTATACATTCCACATCATGGTGTATGCACAATTGAGTTCTCTGCTTTTTTCCCACATTACATCACATTATAAGCATTTTCTCCATCTTTAAAAACGTAAACATATAATTTAATTTAATTATGCATGCAATACATAAATAAAATGTCTCCTTTTTCAAATATTAAAGTGTTTAGGTGTAAAGATAGGTATCAATAGAATTTCGAACACCACTCCCACGTAGAAGTGTCCTCAGTATGAAAATATCAGAGTTTATTTAGTCATTGTCCTGAGTTATTTCCATTATTTTCCTATTCCAACATTGCTGCAATGAATTTCCTTTAATATATGCTTCTTCAGGGTAGGTAAGTAGAAATGGAATTTCTGGGTTATAAATGTGAAAATTATTTAGTTATAGTAGACATATTTAATGCTTAAATTAAAAAATCTATTGCATGTTTTTAATGTTCAGCTTCAAATACTTTGGTGAAAATATCTTTGTTTATATATTTTTGTGTTTATTTCATGTTATTTCCTTAAATTTCTAAAAGAACTACTCAAAGGTTATAAAATGTTTTAGACCTCCTGATAGCATCAAATCATTTTTCAGAAGGATTATTTCAGTTTAGAATCTCCTGGGAATGAATGGGATACTCATTTTACCCTCCAGGCCAACATTAGGTGTTATCATTTAAAATATATTGTTTTCAATTTGATAGGGAAGAAATGGCATGTTATTTTAATTTGCATTTCTATGATAACTGGTGAGTTTGAACATTTTATATGTTTACTAATCATTTTAACTTCCTGTATTATAAATTGTCTTTTCATATCCTTTTTCCATTGTATACTAAAGCCTTTGTGTTTTCCGTATCAATTTTCAGAGCTAGTTTCATGGGCCCGTACCTGTGTATTCACACTGGGTCCCACACTTACAAGGGCCTCGAACTTGGTTTAATGCTCTGCTGTCGCCATCTTAGAATTGTTAACAATTTTAGGACAAAAATTTCCACCTTTCATTTTGCACTGGGCTCCAGAAATTATGGGGCTCCACAAATTATATAGCCAGTCCTGTCAGTTTATATATATTAGCTTTATATATAACAAGAGTATCAGCTTTGGTTACATGTTACAACAAACAATTTTTTCTTCAGCTTTTATTTTCTGCGAACAAAAATACATGCTCATTGTAAATCTTAAATTTTATAAGATATATAGTATAGAAAGTAAAAGTGGCTAATAATCCCATGTCTGACAACCCCACTGTTAAGTTTTGTGTTTTATATCTATATCTATCTATCTATCTCCAAATTTCAAACTGTTTTTTACAATAGTGGCTACCACTCTCCAGTTGGTTGTGAGCTGTTTGAGTGTAAGATAACCATGAACCCACAAAGAGCTGCCGCTTAAAAATTAATGATCTGCTTCTCCACCCTCTTCCAAAGAAAAACTCCACTTCCTTCTTCCATCATAATAGGAAGCTTCTTCTTTTGGTGAATATGACACAGTTTCATTTACTACACTTTATGTTCAAAGTGTATTTATTTACCTTCAAACACTTTTTATTACTTACACCATTTTGTTTTCATTGTTCTGATTTTTCTATTTGTAAGAATTGTTTGGATGTCTTGGGATGGAATACACTGTGATCATAATTTTTCTCCATTAAAATGAATGAAAATACTTTTTCACTTAATGGCAAGATCTTCAGGAACAATTTAAAGTCATTAATTGAGGCCTACGTATTATTTTATTTATATATTCTATGAAAATGAACAATCCATTTTGTATCCTGCCTTTATCAAGGGCACTATATCTTGGACATCTTTCTGTAACAGTATATATAACTTTAAAAGTAAAGATTTTAAGACAGATTTTTGTATGTAATCTTGTTTAATGCAAATAAGCTTTAAATAGTATTTGTTCTAAAATCTCCTTCCTTGTTTTTTTCAAGAGAATTAAATCATTTATTGATTACACATGATAATGGATGATACACAAGCTTCATTCCCATCTATAATTTTATCTAGTACCATTATTCAATTTAGATATATTGCATAGGATGTGCCAACAATCACTTTTATAACCAATAATTCCATGATTTTGCTTGGGTAATCCCTTTTAATGGTGAACTTCAGGTCACAACGGTAACTATCAGTTCAACTACACCAAGGTTTCTGAAGACAATGGCTTCTCCCTCCAAGCAGGTTGTATATAAATTCCAAATAGAACCTGGCATCACCCTGAAGGAATTCTAACTTCACACTGTTGGGGAAATTTACCAAGATGGCTTCAGAGTAGACTAACTTTACACAGCACATTAAAAAGAAAAGACATTTATTCAGCATCACGATCAGACTATTACATTAGCAATCAACAGCATAGGTGCAAAAAAAAAATCTACATTAAAACCCTTTGTTGGAATGCTTTACACTTTCCACAGAACAGAAACTAAAATAACCTGTTATACAATTAGTCACAAATACAGTCCTCGAGTTTTTTGCCCATACACATGAGTATTTGTCTAAAACATGTCTTCTTTGTAGCAGCTAGGCCCTGCCACCACTGTGCTTGGCTGAGTTCACAAATCTGTTGTAACCTGTAGCTTCCCTGTCACTTCTCTGGCTCTCCGCTCCTGCTAAGCTTTGTTTCCTAATTAAAATCTTCTGCCACTGCCATAGCTACCGCTGCTACTGGAACCGCCATAGCCACCTTGGTTTTGTGGTTTTGCAAAGTATTGGCCTCCACCACCATAAGGGCCAGAGCTTCTGCCTCCAAAATTTCCTCCCTTCATGGGTCCAAAATTTGAAGACTGATTGTTGTAATTGCCAAAATCATTGTAGCTTCCACCACCTCCAAAATCGCTTCCATCATTACCAAATCCATTATAGCCATCCCCACTGCCACCATATCCACCACCACCATGACTGCCACCAAAGCCACCACAACCACTGAAGTTTCCTCCATGACCAAAGTTGTCATTCCCACCGAAACCACCTCCACGACCACCACCAAAGTTTCCAGAACCACTTCGACCTCTTTGGCTGGATGAAGCACTATCCATCTCTTGCTGTGACGGGGCTTTCCTAACTTCACAGTTGTGGCCATTCACAGTATGGTATTTCTGAATGACAATCTTATCCATGGAGTCATGGTCGTCAAAATTTACAAAGGCAAAGCCCCTTTTCTTGCCACTGCCTCGGTCAGTCATGATTTCAATCACTTCAATTTTTCCATACTGTTCAAAATCATCTCTTAGGTGATGTTCTTCAGTGTCTTCTTTAATGCCACCAACAAATATCTTTTTCACAGTTAAGTGGGCACCTGGTCTTTCAGAATCTTCTCTCGAGACAGCTCTCTTTGGTTCCACAACTCTTCCATCCACCTTGTGTGGCCTTGCATTCATGGCTGCATCCACCTCCTCCACAGTAGCATATGTGACAAACCCAAAGCCCCTGGGGTGCTTGGTGTTTGGATCTCTCATGACCACACAGTCCGTGAGCATTCCCCATTGCTCAAAATGGCTCCTCAAGGCTCTCATCAGTTGTTTCAAAGCTCAGCCCTCCAATGAAGAGCTTCCTCAGCTGTTCGGGCTCTTCAGGAGACTCTGACTTAGACATGACGGCAGGGTGAAGAGAGACTTTAACAATGCTTCTTCGGCGGTGTCCATGGGCAGAAAAAAAAAAAAATCCTAAAATCTCCTTTGTAGTGTTAATTAATATGCTGTTGTGCATGCCTTTCTTCTAGGCCCTTTTTTTTTTTTTTTTGAGACAGTCTCACTCCATTGCCCAGGCTGGAGTGCAGTGGCACAATCGCTGCTCACTGCAACCCCTGCCTCCTGGGTTCAAGCGATTCTCCTGCCTCAGCCTCCCAAGTAGCTGGGACTATAGGTGTGCGCCATGACGCTGGCTAATTTTTGTATTTTTAGTGGAGATGGGGTTTCACCATATGGGCCAGGCTGGTCTCGAACTCCTGACCTCAAGTTATCCACCCGCCTCGGCCTCCCAAAATGCTGGGATTACAGGTGTGAGCCACCGCACCTGGCAGCCCTTTTTAATTTAATATGATTGCTGGCTTCTGGGCTTATCATATATATCTAGTAACTTGTGACTTACAGGATATGCAAAGGTTGGTGGTGTATGATTTACTTGCAATCGAATGTAGAATTTTCCTCAAATAATATGACATTTATATTTATGGGGGAAAGTTACAGCGTGCTGGCTCTTCTTCTAATGGTTATTTGACGTTTTGCTTCAAATCATAAGTCTTGATACCCAAATCAATCTCAAGATTCCTCTCTGTAGAAAGAAGCTACAACTCACATTTGAAGCTATGTGCTTCTTTCACTATTCTGACTGTGCAGTCCATTTCTATTCTTAGGAGAAGTAAAACAGGTGAGTCTTAGTGTGCTTAAACCTCCTCATAAAGCTGCTTTGCTTCATGGTCCAGGAATTTTGATTCCTTTCATTTCCCTGCCCTCCTCTGCCTGCCTAACCTTTTAAGAAAAATACCTAATTCTAAATCCCTTGGTACCTCATCATGACCACAAATGTGTAGTCAGAGATAATTTAAACTCTCCCTTTTCCATGCCACTAGGGAAATTGTTTGCTTATTCTATAAACTACAAATATTATAGGTGTGAGGAACAATTATATGATGTTGTATTTTCTTTATCAAATTTTGCAAACTTTTGTCCTCTCCTCCCTCCCTCCTTTCTTCTATCCTTCCCTTCCTTCCTTTCTTCCCTCCCTCCTTTCTTCTATCCTTCCCTTCCTTCCTTCCCTCCCTCCTTTCTTCTTTCCTTCCTTCCTTCTCTCTTTCTTTCTTTCATTCCTTCCTTCCTTCCTTCCTTCCCTCCCTCCTTTCTTCTTTCCTTCCTTCTCTCTCTTTCTTTCTTTCATTCTTTACTTCCTTCCTTTCTCTTTCTTTCTTTTTCTTTCTTTTTTCCTTCTTTCTTTTCTTCTTTCTTTCCTTCCTTTATCTCTCTCTTTTCTTTTCTTTCTTTTAGATAGAAATGGGGTCTCACTACATTGACTAGGCTGACTGCGAACTTGTGGACTCAAGTGATCCACCCACCTCAGCCCGCCAAAGTGTTGCAATCATAGGTGTGAGCCACCATGCCTGGCCCATTCCACATTTTTTACTTGTACATACACACACACACACATATACATATATACATATATATATGCACACATTTATCTTCAATTGTACATTTGTTCTACATGATCTAACCGCAAGCTTTATCTTATTTTATTTATTTATTTATTTATTTATTTTAATTTATTTTTAAGACAGTGTCTTGCTCTGTTGCCCAGACTGGAGTGCAGTGGCAGATCTCGGCTCACTGCAACCTCCACCTCCTGGGTTCAAGTGACTCTTCTGCCTCAGCCTCCCAAGTAGCTGGGACTATAGGCACCCACCACCATGCCTGGCTAATTTTTGTATTTTTAGTAGAGCCAGGGTTTCACTATGTTGGCCAGGCTGGTCTCGAACTCCTGTCCTCAAATGACCCACCCACCTCGGCCTCCCAAAGTGCTGGGATTACAGGCATGAGCCACCATGCTCAGCCTATTTTTTTTTTTTTTTTTTTTTTTGAGAGAGCCTCTTGCTCTGTTACCCAGGCTGGAGTGCAGTGAAGTAGTCATGACGCACTGCAGCCTCAAATTCCTGTGCTCAAACCATCCTCCTGCCTCAGCCTCCCAAGAAGCTGGGACTAGAGGCAACGCAACCACACCTGGCATTTTTTATATTTTTTGTAGAAACTGGGTCTCACTATGTTGCCCAGGCTGGCCTCTAACTCCTAGACTCAAGTGATCCTCCCACCTCATTTCCCGAAATGCTGGGATTACAGATGTGAGGTGCCACACCTGACTGCAAGCTTTATTAAATTCTTATTTTTTCCATCTTATCAGCTCATATTTTCTTGTTAGTATTCGTTTGCCTGCTTTTTCTTCTCCATCAAAAATCTGTACCTATAAAATCAACTTTTTTTTTTTTTTTGCTATTCTAAACACATTTCTACAGTTTGTTTGAGAAGCATTTTCCATGCTTTTTTTTTTTTTTTTTGAGATGGAGTCTTGCTCTGTTGCCAGGCTGGAGTGCAATGGTGCAATTTTGGCTCACTGCAACCTCAGCTCCCTGGGTTCAAGCAATTCTCTTGCCTCAGCCTCCCCAGTAGCTGGGATTATAGGTGCCCGCCACCACGATGCACTAATTTTTATATTTTTAGTAGAGGCAGGGGTTTCACCATGTTGGCCAAGCTGGTCTCGAACTCCTGACCTCAGGCGATCTGCCCACCTCGACCTCCCAAAGTGATGGGATTACAAGCGTGACCCACCACGCCCAGCTCCGTACACTCTTAACCAGGAGATTGTTTGTTTTTTCGCACACAATATCTAATGATGAGCTGTTTTATAGCATGAATTTAGTTAATGCCAAAGTACAGCATTTATTTTTAGCAAATGAATCAGCAAGAACAATAAAGCTGTTTTAATCAGACCAAATATGAAATCAAGTGTTATAGATGGCCTTCGCATATAATTTATATCTGCATTTGTTTTGGCTATAAAGTGTGGGGGACATTCTAACTCATTCACATTCTAGCAGATATTTAATAGCTCGATTTTCTTGATACTCTTCAATTAAACAGACAGCAGAGGAAGCTTTATTCTGAGGTCTATACAAAATGAATTATCTGGTAGTGTAAGTATCAATTTGTTGGTAACCTCCAGGATATTTCTGTATAACATATTGAGAATTCATTTTGTTTTCTAAATCATAGTTTTATTTTTTAATTAATTATTATTTATTTATTTTGAAACAGAGTCTTGCTCTGTCACCCAGGATGGAGTGCAGTGGAGCAATCTCGGCTCATTGCAACATCTGCCTCCCAGGTTCGAGCAATTCTTGTTCCTCAGCCTCCTGAGTAGCTGGGATTATAGGTGTGTACCATTTCCGCCGCTAATATTTTTTGTATTTTTAGTAGAGACGTGGTTTTGCTATGTTGGCCAAGCTGGTCTCGAACTCCTGTCCTCAAGCAATCTGCCCACCTCGGCCTCCCAAAATGCTGGGATTACAGGCATAAGCCACCAGACCTGGCCCTAAATCAGAGTTTTAATGTAAAATTCTAATCAAATATTTGCGAACCTCTAAAGAACCTCCTTAGAATCTTAGGATTTGGGCCGGGCATGGTGGCTCATGCCTGTAATACCAGCACTTTGGGAGGCCCAGGCAGGCGGATCACTTGAGGTCAGGAGTTCAAGACCAGCCTGGCCAACATAGTGAAACCCCGGCTCTACTAAAAATACAAAAATTAGCCAGGTGTGGTGGCGGGCACCTGTAATCCCAGCTACTCGGGAAGCTGAGACAGGAGAATCGCTTGAACCTGGGAGGCAGAGGTTGCAGTGAGCCGAGATTGTGTGAGTTCACTCCAGCCTGGGTGACAGAGCAAGACTTTGTCTCAAAAAAAGCCAACAACAACAACAACAACAACAACAAACTTAGGATTCTACAGAACTCAGGTTGAAAACCAGAGATCTAGAGTACTAGACCATTGGGCCAAGAATCTGTGTTTGTTACTCAAATTTCCTGGGCTTCAGAGGCAGTCTTTCTCACATCAGATTGTGTAAGGTTAAAAAAAAAATTTTTAAGTCCTTTTTTTTAAGCAACAGGGTCTTGCTCTATCACCCAGGTTAGAGGGCAGTCACATGATCATAGCTCACTGCAGCCTCGAACTCCTGGGCAATCAAATGATTCTCCTGCCTCAGCCTCCTGAGTAGCTGGGACTATAGGCACACAGCAGCACACTCGGTTATTTATTTATTTATTTATTTATTGTAGAGACAGGGTCTCACTTTCTTGCCCAAGCTGGTCTTGAACTCCTGGCTTCAAGTGATTCTCCCCCCATGGCCTCCCAAATTGCTGGAATTACAAGTGTAAGCCACCTCAAATGGCCAAGTACATTTTTTAATGAAGGATTACCAATGCAACATAATATGTTGGAAAAACTTGAAATCAGAGAACGTTCATTATTCTTACTATTAGTAGAAGGCATGCTATATACTACACACTCTGATAAGTACTTTATAAGTACTATCCAATTAAATTTTCTCCAAAAAGAGCTATCCTGTGGAGTAGCTACTACTATTAGCCTTTCTTTTATGAGATGGAGTCTCACTATGTTGTCCGGGTTGGAGTGCAGTGGCTATTCACAGTTACAATCATCGCACACTACAGCCTGGAACCCCTGAGCCCAAGTGATCCTCAGGCCTCTGCCTTCCGAGTAGCTGGGACTACAGTCATATGCCACGATGCCTGGCAGCCCTATTTTTTAAAATCAACTTTTATTTTAAGTTCTGGCATATATGTGCAGGTTTGTTACATAGGTAAATATGTGCCATGGTGGTTTGCTGCACAGATCAACCCATCACCAGGTATTAAGCTCAGCATCCATTAGCTGTTCTTCCTGATGGTCTCCCTCCCCTGCAACCACCTCCAACAGTCCTCAGTGTGTGTCGTTCTCCCCCATGTGTTCATGTGTTCTCATAGTTCAGCTTCCACTTGCGGTAGCTTGTTCCACTTGCGGAACATGTGGTGTTTGGTTTTTTGTACCTGCACTAGTTTGCTGAGAATAACGGCTTCCAGCTCCATCCATGTCCCTGCAAAGGACATGATCTCATTCCTTTTTATGGCTGCATAGTATTCCGTGGTGTATATGCACCATATTTTCTTTATTCAGTCTACTGTTGATAGGCATTTGGGTTGATCCCATATCTTTGCTCTTGTGAATAGTACTGCAATGAACATATGCGTGCATGTATCTTTATAATAGAATGATTTCTATTCCTTCAGGTATATACCTAGTAATGAGATTGCTGGAGCAAATAGTATTTCTGTTTGTAGATCTTTGGGGAATCACGACACTGTTTTCCACAATAGTTGAACTAATCTCATTCCCACCAACAGTGTAGAAGTGTTTCTTTTTCTTCGCAACTTCACCAGTATCTGTTGTTTTTTGTCTTTTTAATAATTGCCATTCTGACTGGCATGAGATGGTACTGCATTGTGGTTTTGATTTGCATTTCTCTAATGATCTGTGACGTTGAGCTTTTTTTCATCTGTTTGTTGGCTGCACGGATGTCTTCTTTTGAGAAATGTCTATGCATGTCCTTTGCCCACTTTTTAATGGAGTTGTTTGTTTTTTTCTTGTAAATTTGTTTAAGTTCCTTGTAGACTCTGGATATTAGACCTTTGTCAGATGGATAGATTGCAAAAATTTTCTCTTATTCTGTAGGTTGTCCGTTAAAAATATGGAATGCTTCACAAATTTGCATGTCATCTTTGTGCAGGGGCCATGCTAATCTTCTCTGTATCAATCCAATTTTAGTATATATGCTGCCAAAGTGAGCACAGCAGCCTTGTTTTATAGGTGGAAATACTGAGGCTTGGAGTGGTTGATATGCTTAAGGTCACACAAGCAGCAAGTGGTAGAGCTAGAATTCAACCCAAATTGTGGTATTTTTTTGGGTAGAAAACGAATGTCTTCAATTTATACAGCATCTTGAATTGAGAAGCCTCAAGTTAATAAATGATGGTAATAACCACTGTTTTGATGATCCAGGGCCAGTTCTGACTGCTGAATGTAACATTTTCCATAAGTATGTGCTATAGAATTGCCTAGGAAATTCTATTTTAAGCTGTACGTTTAAGTGGTGAGTTACTGACTACCGCTCTTTTTTCTGTTTTTATTTTTACATATTATTTTAGCCACTGATGCTAGACAACTTCAGAAATTTAGGGACGTATACTAATTGTTTTTCAAAAGAACATTTCTTATAGTATAACTAAATTTTTTAAATGTATGTGTGTGTTTTTTTTTTTTTTTTTTTTTGAGACAGAGTCTCGCCCTGTCGCCCAGGCTAGAGTGCAATGGCACAATCTCAGCTCACTGCAACCTCCGCCTCCGAGGTTCAAACGATTCTCCTGCCTCAGCCTCCTGAGTAGTTGGGATTACAGGCAGCTGCCACCATGCCCAGCTATTTTTTGTATTTTTAATAGAGATGGGGTTTCACCATGTTGGCCAGGATGGTCTCGAACTCCTGACCTTGTGATCTGCCCGCCTCGGCCCCTAAAGTGCTGAGATTACAGGTGTGAGCCACTGTGTCCAGCTGACCAAATTGTTTTTAATTAGAGTGTCTACATACACTCCTATACCATCATACTTCTTTAATTTCTTTGGGAAAAAAATTAGTACCAGAAATGATGTAATACTTTATGTGCCTATTCTCTTTATTTATGTTTTAATTCTATTTAATAAGTATTGTTGCTTACTAGTTCAAGCTCAAAAAGCATGCATAAAAAACCAAATTTAAAAATTTAGTTATACTATAAGAAATTTTCTTTTGAAAAACAATAAGTCCCTAAATTTCTCAAGTTGTCTAGCATCAGCGGCTAAAAACCATATTTTATGCATGCTTTTTGAGCTTGGACTGGTAAGTAACAATATTTATTAAGTAGAATTAAAACATAAATAAAGAGAATAGGCACATAAAATATTACATCATTTCTGGTACTAATTTTTTTCCCAAAGAAATTAATAAGTATGATGGTATAGGAGTGTATTTAGACACTCTGATTAAAAACAATTTGGTCAGCCAGGTGTGGTGGCTCACGCCTGTAAACCCAGCACACTGGGAGGCTGAGGCAGAAAGATCACTGGAGGTCAGGAGTTTGAGACCAGCCTGGCCAACATGGCGAAACCCCATCTCTACCAAAAATACAAAAAATTAGCCAGGAGGCTGAGGCAGGAGAATTAGTAATCCCAGCTACTTGGGAGGCTGAGGCAGGAGAATCGTTTGAACCTGGGAGGCAGAGGTTGCAGTGAGCCGAGATTGCACCACTATACTCCAGCCTGGGTGACAGAGCGAGATTCCATCTCAAAAATAACCTCCAAAAAACAAAAAACAATTTGGTGGTCTAGCATGGTGACTCCTGACTGTAATCTCAACGCTTTGGGAGGCCAAGGCAGGATTATCAGTTGAGTCCAGGAGTTTGAGACCAGCCGGGGCAATATAGACCCTGATTCTATTTAACAAAACAAAACAATTTAGTATCACATTCTTTTTAAGAATGATTTGAAATATAAAAAAGTATACTTTGTGTTCTAATAATGGAAGTAAAAATATTCTTATTTAATCACTTTCTGTTTATAGAATATACAGCAAATATACTCTGTCGGCAAGTCTGTGGGGAAACAGGCTGTCTAATATATTAATCAATTCACTTTTCCTTTTGACCCAGTAATTCCATTCCACTTCTGAGAATTTATACTGCAGATATATCCATAAACATAAGGAATGAAACAATATAAGATTTTTCATTGCAGAATTTTTTTAGGAGAAAAATACTGGAAACAATACAACTATTCAACAGCAGGAGATTGACTAAATAAATTATGGGTTATACGTCCACAGAATGAAGTACTATACAATTATAAAGAGTGAAGGAGATAAACAGTATGGTTCATCAAAAAACAAAACTACCATGTGACCCAGCAATTCCCATTTCTGGGTATATATCTGAAGGAATTGAAATCAGTATCTCAAAGAAATATCTGCACTCCCAAATTCATGCAACATTATTCCCAATAGCCAGCAAAAAGGGTGCTGGTGTAAATAAGACAGGATTAGCTATTCTAGAGGCAGCACTCAATCAAGAGAAGTTATGCAAAGTCTTTCCCAGAAATATCTAAAAATAAGATAGTATAAAAACAAACCCATCTGTTTAGTAATGAATATATATTATAGCCAATAAAAGTCTAGAAAATAATTTTATAATAAGTTCCACATGAAAACATTTGAAACTTTAAAAGGCATGGCCTAATATGGTGAACAGAATGTTTCTATTAAATGGTAGAAATAGGAATTTGTTGGGAAAGTAAAAATTTATTGTTTATTGTTAAAATGAGTATTTTAAAAAAAGGATTATTTTTACCCCATTTTTTGTGAGTTAATCAGGACTAAATTCTACATGTCTTCACTTTGCCTTGGGGGTAAGCAAAGATAATTAATGTAAAATTTTAAGAATTTAATTAATTTTAAATTATAATTGACATATAATAATTTTACATATTATGGGGTAGTGTGATGTTTCAATACATGCAGACATCATATAATGACCAGATCAGGGTAATTTTTATTAACTTCTGATCATCTTTGTTATTATAAGGGATCAGGGGCACAGATATTTTTAGAACAGTAGATCATCTAAGAAATTTTTTCTCTTTGCCTTGAAATGTATAATCAGATTATGTTTTTTTTTTTTTTACTGGAGAGGTTTACAGAGTGCTTGTGTTTTACTTGACAATATACTACTATTTATTTGTTATTTCTTAACACATGGCAGCCAAGACTGGAAGGAATTGGCAACAGTGAATGCCAGGCAGCAGGGAGAAACCAGTGTGGAATATTAATTTGTCACAGAAAAATCCACGAGCTACAAATCTACATGTGTATATATGCAAGTGTTACCTGTGAAATTAGGCCAAATTTCTTCTGAGGATTTTAACTACTGAAAACGAATGCCATTGTTTGAGAGTTTGACAGTAAAAAGGAGGAAGATAGGGTCACATTTTATTTTCTATTTCAAATGAAATTTATTCTTTCTCATTTGTGATTAATTCTCATTTGATATGCTGGCCTCAGCATTTCTTTGGTTTATGCTTATTTTTCTAGTTTCTTTGGACATGGAGCTTGAAAATAACATGCAAACTGTGGGCATGCCTTTGTGTTTGTGGGCAAATAAAGCATTAGGATGCCTTTTGGATTTAAAGCTTGCAGTGGCTGGGAACTGCTTCCATTACAACTCCTGTTCCTTTGCTAAAAGGGGCCGCTTCTCTCAGGAAACAGCTTCCTCCATTCAAATCAGAGGTTCAATAATTAGGTAAAGCAACAACTGCTTCGGTTCTCCATTTTTTGTGGAATAAATGAAAGTACCTGTTCTGTAATAACTTTATTGTGGTACTCAAAGGGTATTAAAATGTATTATTAATTTTAGATGATAGAATTAACTCATTAAATAATTTTGTTTCCATGGTTCAAGTGTACAAATAGTTGGAATGACATTTACAACCATGTACAATTATTGATCTAACCAAGACACAATCGGTTCTCTGTTTGTACTTAATGTTTCCTAAATTCATGTGTTTTTCACGTGACCCTGAAATTGCTATGTAAGGGTATAATAAAACCTACTGTGCCGATTAAGATCAAAAGGATAAGCAAATATGGATTAACGTAATGACAGGCATGGAGCGAGTTAGGAAAGCGGATTAGGGCAGCGGAAAGCACTTGTAGCACACAGATGAAAGCGTGCAGCTGCACCTCACCATCTACTAGCTGTGCAACTCTGTTACTTAACATGTTGGAGCCTTAGCTTTCTCCTTTTATAAGCAGGGAGTAGTAACTACCTTGCAGGTTATAGTGAGGGTTCCAGAAAATATTTTTATAGTGTCTAGCTCCATACCAACACTTGATAGAGATTCACTGAAATGGAAGCTGCAATTTCTGGTTTTTAGAAGTAAATACTTAGGGTAGGATTCTATAAATATTTCATTTTTATAAAAGGTGGATAATTTTATTTTACACTTTCAGAGTAGATATGAAAGCAAATAAATATTAAAATGCATTGGTGGGGGGAAGTCTGGTTAAAAGCATAGATCTAAGAGCAGGTATTAGCAGCATGTGGCAGGAATTTGAAAGGTGGCAGCATCATTGAAGGCCCAGGCAGGAAGACAGAACCAAGGTACCGTCACAGAAGAAATTCAAGATGGGGACCTGGTCACAAAAGCGATGGGAGAGCTGAGAGGAACCAGAGGTCAGTGAGGCAACAAAGGGTTTACAAATGTCAGGAAACTGCTATTGCTCCCAAGGTAGGAGGAACAAAGGAAGGAAGTGGTAGAAGCAGAGCTTAGGAAGGCTGGAGAGAGTTGGAACCATGGCAAAGGCCCAAGCCCTGCTTGAGATTCCACACAAAGCAGAGAGAGAGAAAGAAGGAGAAATACCCTGGCTTTCCCCCTTCCCACCCCCCGATCTCCAGTCATTGCCTCCCCACTGGTCAATTCTAACTAGAAACCAATTGTCAAAGAGGAACTGGTTTGGAAATGCAGTTTGCAGAGGTCAGTGACCTGCAATCCAGAGCAGAGTAAAGGAAGGGCAGAGAATGGGTCTGAGACCAAGTGGACAAATGACCAGCACAGTGACATTCACATTTATTTTCTGAGGAATTGTTTGCATGGCCTGGGACAGGATTACAAGGCAGGTAGTTTACTGCTTTTGCTTTTTTCCTTTCTTCACTATCAGTGCCTTCCCTCCCAGGATTTTGCACAGGGCAAGTCTAGGTACTGAGATCCAAAACTGTGATTAGACAAGAACGAGGCTCATAGTTACCACAAGTTAGATTAGAGTATCTCTTCAAGTCCAGAAAAGGAAACTATGGCAGGAAAACACAAATACAAGAAATGGCTTATTCTTCTAAGCAGATAAAATAGATTCTTCGTTGGCAACAGATCTATAATCAATGTCAGTGGAACAATCTGCAATAGACTAGAGATGACGGTGATGGGAACCAGAAGGTGAGGTGCTGTTATATTGTGAGGGTGGAGTCAAGAGGATTTACTAATTGATCCGGTGCAAGCATGAGAGGAAAAAAAGAGTGGAGGATGATGCCCAAGTTTATGCTGAGCAACTGGAAGCCATCATTTATTCAGATGAGCAAACTGCAAGAGAGGTTTGGGGAGGATAGCAAGAATTTGGTTTTTTGATATGCCAAATTTTAAAACTTTTTGTTCTCAAAGGATCCTTTTCAAAACTGCCATTTTTATTATTTTTTAAAATGTAATGCAGGAGGCACACTACTGAAACCAGGGAAATTATTAAGTGAAAGTCTATACGTCCAAACATGGAACCCCATCTTTCTTCCATCCCTTGATTCTGAGAAAGCTGGCAGACAAGATTTACCCATTCACTGTTCCCCAACCCTTCCCCCAACTACAAGAGATTTGGATACTTACTACTCTTGGGAAAATTGATTCACTCAAGAAAAAATTCCTTGCCGAGAGCAGTGGTTCACGCCTGTAATAACAGCACTTTGGGAGGCCGAGGCAGGTGGATCACAAGGTCAGGAGTTCGAGACCAGCCTGGCCAACATGGTGAAAACCCGTCTCTACTAAAAATACAAAAATTAGCTGGGCCCAGTCTGGGCAACAGAGCAAGACTCCATCTCAAAAAAGGAAAAGAAAAGAAAAAATTCCTACAGATACCAATAATTAGGGATTCCCCACAGGAGTATCTGAGTTCATAATCACTCCATAGTCATTCCCCACAAATTCAGAAGCTCCACCTAAGAACTCCCACTAAAAAGTGAAATTCTCAAAAGGGGGAAATAAGGAAGGAGACCACCACTTCTCCTGCTGCCCTTCCCTTCCCCCCACCAACTTCCCTAGTTTATAAGATAGGGAAAAAAGGGAGAAAGCAAAAAGTTGAAAAGAAACAGAAATAAGATAAATAGCTGGACAACCTCGGCGCCACCACCCGGCCCTGGTGGTTAAAATAATAATAATAATATTAACCCCTGACCTAAACTACTTCTGTTATCTGTAAATTCCAGACATTGTGTGAGGAAGCACTTCAAAACTTTCTGTTCTGTTAGCTGATTCATGTAGCCTCCAGTCACGTTCCCCACACTTGCTCGATCTATCACGACCCTTTCACGTGGACCCCTTGGACTTGTAAGCCCTTAAAAGGGCCAGGTATTTCCTTTTCGGGGAGCTCAGCTCTTGAGATGTAAATCTGCCCAAGCTCCCGGCCGAATAAAGCCTCCTTCCTTCTTTAACCCAGTGTCTGAGGAGTTTTGTCTGTGGCTCGTCCTGCTACACACCCATGCACAATTCCAAGCATACTTTAATTCCACATTGTATATATGAATGGACAGGCAAAAATCAGACTTAGCCTGGGCTCAGTGTTCCACCCTGGGAGATATAGAGGCCAGGATCCCACCCCCACTCATCATCCTCAGAATTCAGTCAAGAATTATCCTGAGTTTATCTCTGACACCTGGTAAACACTATCTCAACAACAGTCAGAACTTCTGAAGAAGAGTAAAGAAGGAGCTGATATAATTGAAGATGTTCTCCAAATTGCCTTTGAGAAGCAATTGACAAAGAAAAAGAACCAGGCACTAAAACTGGCACAAATGGATGAAATGTGTAAAAAGAAAATCAGAAAAGATAAATTGGAGGTGCCTTAAAGGGGATGTAAAAGTATTTTTCTAATAATGATAACTAAATATAATGTTTTCTCATTAAACGTAAGTATATTTATTTCAGCTATGCTCAGTTTAAGCATTGTAATCTATAATGTTTCATTTACAATTGTGATCCATTAAACCATTTAGTGTCTCTGAATAAAATAGGAAAGGAGGTCATTGGAGGTCAGAGCTGCCAATGGTCTATTGTAATAATGAAATCATCTTTTCACATAAAGAGTAGAATCACTTCTTTATACTCTACTGTCTCCTGTGAACAATACCAGATTTAGTTGGGGTGGAGGGGAGTAATGAAAGCTGCATATAATTAGAGGAGAACTCCCCAGAAAGAAGTAGTATTGACAGTGTTGATGAAACACACCATTGAATTTATTTCTTTGATTTACTTAGCCAATGCTGCATGTGTGAAATTCTGGAGGGAGCATTTAAGGGTGAGATAAGATCATTTTGGCTTGAAAAATTTTACAAACTATTCCCATGATAAATGAAATAGTACATGAGACAGTGGGTGGCAGAGAGAGGGAGTATGTGGAAACTCTGTACTCTATGCTCAATTTTTCCTATCAACCTAAAACTGCTTTAAAGCATAGTCTATTAATTTTTAGAATTGTATTTAATAAAATAGGTCTTTTTGGATACCTTTAGCCTTAGAAACCTACCAAAATTTTATGGCGATTTCAGCTTTTTTGCATTGCTCTTTTCCTTCCTTCCTTCCTTCCTTTTCTTTCTTTTCTTTCTCATCTTTCTCTTCTTTTCTTTCTGATGGAGTCTCACTCTGTAGCCCAAGCTGGAGTGCAGTTGCATGATCTCGGCTCACGGCAACCTCCACCTCCCAGGCTCAAGCGATTCTCCTGCCTCACCCTCCCGAGTAGCTGGGATTACAGGCACCAGCCACCATGCCCAGCTACTTTTTTGTATTTTAGTAGAGATGGGGTTTCACCATGTTGCCCAAGGTGGTCTCGAACTCCTGAGCTCAGGCAATCCACCTGCCTCGGCCTCCCAAAGTGCTGGGATTACAGGAGGCGTGAGCCACCGCGCCTGGCCTTTGCATTGCATTTTCTAAGCAAAATATAAAAACAGCATGGGAGAATGACATTACAATTGAAGAGGTTTTGCAATCTAAACAAAGCAGGTTGTATTCTTTTTTTTTTTTTTTTGGGGTTGAGGGGTACGTGTGCAGGTTTGTTGTATAGGTAAACTCACGTCGTGGGGGTTTGTTGTACAGATTATTTTGTCACCCAGTACTAAGCCTAGTATTCAATAGTTATTTTTTCTGCTCCTCTCCCTCCTCCCACCTTCCACTCTCAAGTAGGCCCCAGTGTCTGTTGTTCTCTTGTTTGTGTTCATGAATTCTGGTCATTTAGTTCCCACTTAAAAGTGAGAACATGTGGTATTTGGTTTTCTGTTCCCAAAGCAGGTCATATTCTATAGAGACTGTGTTTTTGCTAAGTATTCAATACATAAAAACAATTCTAATTTTTTTAAATTAATTATTTATTTATTTTTGAGACAGAGTCTGTCTCTGTCGCCCAGCCCAGAGTGGAATGCAGTGGTGCAAACATGGCTTGACCTCCTGGGCTCAAGGGATCCTCTAGCCTCAGCCTCCTGAACCACCATGCCTAGCTTATTTATTTATTTATTTATTTATTTATTTATTGGTAGAGACAGGGTCTCACTTGGTTGCCTAGGCTGGTCTCTAACTCCTGGGCTCAAGCAATTCTACTGCCTCGGCTTCCCGAAGTGCTGGGATTACAGGTGTTAGCAACTGCACCCAGCCTTTTAATTTTATTTTACAGAATTCATGATGTGTAAATTAGTAATGCCAATCAAATAACAATTTAAATTTACAGGTGGTGGCTCATGCCTGTAATCCTAGCACTTTGGGAGGCCGAGGTGGGTGGATTGCCTGAGCTCAGGAGTTTGAGACCAGCCTGGGCAACACGGTGAAACTCCATCTCTACTAAAATACAAAAAATTAGCTGGGCATGGTGGTATGCACCTGTAATCCCAGCTACTTGAGAGGCTGAGGCAGGATAATTGCTTGAACCCAGGAAGTGGAGGTTGCAGTGAGCTGAGATCATGTCATTGTACTCCAGCCTGGGCGAGACAGCAAGACTCCATCTCAAAAAATAAATAAATAAATAAATTTTTAAAAATATGTATTTGTCATTTTCAAGAAAGATTAAATTGAAGTTTAGAATATATTTGAATGTTTGTAGTTACAGTATTCAAATTCTGAGAAGGTAATTCTAAATATCTTATTAAAATTTGTTAAACCTTAGCCCTCATTCCAGTATTTCTTATGTGTTTACAATAACTGGAATGATACATTTCCTTTAACATTAAAAAAAAAAAAAGAGGCTAGGCACTGTGGCTCACGTCTGTAATCCCAACACTTTGGGATGCCAAGGGAGGCAGATCATGAGGTCAGGAGATCAAGACCATCCTGGCCAACATGATGAAACCCCGTCTCTACAAAAAATACAGAACTCAGCTGGGCGTGGTGGCACGCACCTGTAGTCCCAGCTACTCAGGAGGCTAAGGCAGAAGAATCACTTGAACCTGGGAGGCGGAGGTTGCAGTGAGCCGAGATCGTGTCACTGCACTCCAGCCTGGGCGACAGAGGGAGACTCCATCTCAAAAAAAAAAAAAAAAAAAAAGATACATGGCACAGTAGACGGTATCTCTTTCCTTAAAAGATTTTTTTGTAACTTATCCTAAAGGAGATATAGCTAGCCAGCTAGCTTCTGTATGTTTACATACAGTAAAATAGAAACAGAAAATTAGCCATGAAAGAAGGTAAAAAGTCATCATAAAGGCTGTGAACTTAGTGTGATTGACTGTTTGATTTGCCTCTTAACTTCCTGGTAGCTAGGACCAAACCAAATCAGAGTAGATTTCAGAAAGGAAGAAGCATACTTATTCTTCAAAACATGCATCATTCTTTCTGGCATTAAATTATAATAGCAATTTCTGACAAAGGATTACAAGAGGCCATTGAGCAAGAAAATGACCTTCAGTGATTGTTTAATAACAAAAACAACATCAAGTTTTATATGACTTTCTCTTATAATGACTTTGGTAAAAGTTGAGCATATAACATTGAATCTTAATTCAGTACTGGTGACCTTTTTTTTTTTGAGACGGAGTCTCACTCTGTCGCCCAGGTTGGAGTGCAGTGGCGTGATCTCTGCTCACTGCAACCTCCACCTCCCGGGTTCAAGCAATTGTCCTGCCTCAGCCTCCCGAGTAGCTGGGTCTGCAGGCGCATGCTGCTTCACCCGGCTAATTTTTTATATTTTTTAGTAGAGATGGGGTTTCACCATGTTGCCCAGGTTGGTCTGGAACTCCTGACCTCAAGTAATCCACCCGCCTTGGCCTCCCAAAATGCTGGGATTACAGGTGTGAGCCACCGTGTCTGGCTGAAATATAATTTAACCCAAAGAAAATACTTAGAATACCAAGGAAGACTATGGAAAATATTACCCTAGATGACTCCTCAAGAACTACTTCTTTCATCTGAGCTTTTGATATAAAAATAAAGTCTGGGCTGGGCACGGTGGCTCCCACCTGTAATCCCAGCACTTTGGGAGGCCAAGGCGGGCAGATCACTTGAGGTCAGGAGTTCTAGACCAGCCTGGCCAACATGGTGAAACTCCGTCTCTACTAAAAATACAAAAATTAGCCAGGCATGGTCGCACATGCCTCTAGTCTCAGCTACTCGGGAGGCAAAGATGGGAGAATTGCTTGAACTCAGGAGGCGGAGGTTGCAGTGAGCCAAGATTGTGCCACTGCACTCGAGCCTGGGCAACAGAGTAAGACTCGTCTCAGTAAATAAATAAATAAATAAAGTCTGAGGAAGACTCAGGAATGTTGGCATTCTGTGTAGCTGATGAAGGCAGAGCCAGGAGCTTTGGAAAACAGATGGGGTCTGATGAACAGTGGTGAGGTAGGATAGAAGACCCTCATGTCTGCATATAAGTAGGTCATAGGAATAGGTATCAATATGCAAAGTCAGGGATTTTTCTTAAGAGGTAGACTTGGATATCCCTTAACGTTTGCATTACTCCTGACTTGCTATCTCAGTGTTCCACACCAGAATATCCACAGCAATCATTTTGGTCCAAAAAAAAAATTCAAAACAAATGTAGGCAAACTTCAATAATGTTCCGTGGAGGATAAAACTCTGAAAGGTATAGCTCAAAAATATTTCAGTTTTATTAAGGTATTTGAGGCATATTTGAATTCTTAAACTCAATTATTCTCTCTCTTGTTATTACATCCTCACCATTACAATGGCCCTATGATGGGTGGAGTAGACCTTTTCATCCCTTAACTTGGGCTTAACCATATGACTTACTTCGGTCAGTGAATGCCAAGGGCCTTGTAAGCACAGGTTTGAAATGAGCATTTGGGCTTGCCCTCTTCCTCTTCTGCCTTTTGCCGTGAGAATAATATGCTGCTGGTCCAAGGAAGAGAAGAAATCTGTGGGGCAGCCTGGTGTAGTGGCACATGCCTATAGTGTCAGCTACTGGAGAGGTTGAGGCAGCAGGATTGCTTGAGTCCAGCAGTTCAAGGTGCACGATGCACGATATGGTGCCTGTGAATAGATACTGTGCTTTAGCATGGGCAACACAGCAAGACTCTGTCTGGAAAGAGGAAGGAAGGAAGGAAGGAAGGAGAGAGAGAAAGAGAGAGAAAGAAAGAAGGGAGGGAAGGAAGGAAGAAAAAAAAGAAAGAGAGAGAGAGAAAGAAAGAAAAAGAGAAAGAAAGAAAGAAGGAAGGAAGGAAGGAAGGAGAGAAGGAAAGAAAGAAAGAAAGAAAAGAAATTCATAGATTAGACTTGGACCCAACCTACAGCTTGGAGCCAAGCCCAGCTGGGTCCAACCTAGGTCAGCTTGAACCACAACAGATCCAAAGATGGATGAGCAAGAAACAAATGCTAATTGTTGTAAGTCACTGAGTTTTGCAGTGGTTTGTATAGAACATTATCATTGTAATAGCTGACTAATACGATATCGAAGTTTATAAAACAATTCATCTATATAAACATTTTTCCATTTCAAACAGTTTTCACCTTCTCTTTACAGATTTCTTAGGAACAAGACTTTGGTTATGACAATTTTGAGAAATGCTATGAATTAGGTTATTTTAAATGTTTCATTTTTAGATGGTAGAAATAGGTACATAGATTTCCTTTTTTAGACAGAGGAAATGGGTACCTAGTTGACCATTCACTGTTGATATGAGTACCAGGTTATCTGATTATTTTTCTAACCATAGCTTCTTATGCAAGAAATAAAATAAGCATGTGAGCCTCATAATTATATTCTATTTAAGGATTAGATGAATTAGAGAAGGGCATTTCCTTTGTCTACCACTTACATAGCATCCAAAGGAAAAAAGATTTCTGAATTTTTTTTACTTTTAAATAAAAATATCTACTACTATAACAAGATGTGTCTTCTATGACGAATAATTCAAAGAGCAACCAGCGTAAGTGTTTGAGAGTGTGAGATATTGAACTAGCATTTATGGAGCACTTTCCATATGCCAGGCTCTGAACTAGATAAGGAAAACAAATCTCAGAAAAGACCAAACAGTCACCATGTGGAGAAAAAAGTCAAGATGCAAATCCAGGTCTTTCTGCTTCTGAAGCAAAGATTCCAGATGAAGGTTTGTAGCCTATATTTAACACCATGATTAACCCACTCAGACACATTTGTTGTGGTCTGTACAATTTTTTTTTTGATAATTTGAATAGTCAATATTTAAAAACCAGCTGACTGCATAAAGAAATCCAGATTTCTGACTTCTCTTAATAAATTGACAAAGGTGGCAACACTGGGCCTGACCTGACAACTGTCACTCAAGCTAAGTCACGGAGGGTCCTTTAGGTAGGACCCACGCCTTTTTAGTTGGAGGTTTTCTTGCTTGTATTACCTAATGGTGCCCACAGGCTGGCTTCATGCATGTGGGTCATGGACAGTCCTACCGGCGCGCATGCTTAGAAGATACTTGTGCTTGAATTAATGTTCTGCTATCACTATTTGAAATTCATTAAAATTCTTGATCAAGGAGTCACAAATTTTTATTTTGCACTAGGTCCTGCCAATAGGCCTTTGCATTTACAAGCTCTGCCCTAAAATTCTTGCTTTTTTCTTTACCTTGTGCTACTTGTCTTACCTTTACTAAAAGTTTTCTCATCAATTCAGCAATGAATTAATATTAGTTCATTCCTATCTATTTTTCAGGGATGATCAGATTTTATGGGGCCTGAAGCTGAAATAATTTGGAAGGTTTTCTTTTAAAAATATATAATTACAAATGTGAATATTTATTTAAAATAATAAAAGAAGACTGGGAGTGGTGGCTCATGTCTGTAATCCCAGCACTTTGGGAGGCTGAGGTGGGAGGATCGCTGGGAGTTCAAGAGCAGCCCTGGCAACAGAGCAAGACTCTGTCTCTACAGAAAAGTTAAAAAAAAAAATTAGCCTGGCATGGAGGTGCATGCCTGTAGTTCCAGCTACTCAGGACGCTGAGGTGGGACGATGGCTTGAACCAGGGAGTTTGAGGCTGCAGTGAGTTCTGATTGCACCACTGCACTCCAGCATGGGTGACAGCAAGACTTTATCTCCAAAAAAAAAAAAAGATGTTGTTTCTTTTTTATTTATTTATACATTTTTGCATGTTATATAATTTATTCGTGTTAGCATTCAGACATTTTTAGGTGGGGAAGATGATTTGCAGAATTCACTACAAGGTACAACAGAAAATCATATTTGAAAGGACGGTACATCTGGTGCAGACCGGCAGTGGTACGATTCCAAACAAATGTCAGACGAGAGCGCTTCATGGGGAGAAACTGAAAATAATAATTTAAAGCTTCATGAGGCAAGATATGTTCTAATTTAAAACACTAAGAAATAGTACCATTAGTTTGTTTTCTAAATTCTCAATGAAATTAGCTGGGTGTGGTGGTGCACACCTGTAATCCCAGCTACTCAGGAGGCTGAGGCAGGAGAATCGCTTGAACCTAGGAGGCGGAAGTTAAAATGAGCTGAGATTGTGCCATTGCACTCCAGCCTGGTCAACAGAACCAGAGTCCCTCTCTAAATAAATAAATAAATAAATCCTAAATGATATGTACAGAATATGTCTGGGAAACAGTAGACACCTAATTATTTATATTGATTGACAGTTTAAGGGACAAAAGATTAAAATTACAATTATAGGGTATAATAATAGCTATAATAACTTTTTTCTCAGTATGGTTGTATGGTTTATGGTTTACTGATAAGTTCACACATTTTTAAATTTCTGCGCATTTTGATGAATAATAAAGAAGTGCCTTTAGCTAATCAAAGGCAAGTTAATCACTTGCTCAGGCACAGAAGGGAAAAAAAGCTACTGCAACACAGAATAAAGAAATTGTTCAAGGAAAAGTTTTTCATTCAAAAACCACTGCCATAAAACTTCAAAATGCTATGTTTTACGTGATCTTGTTTATTCAAATTCCCAAATTTTTACTCCCAAGGGCTGCATTGGTTTAATCCAAAATCCCTTATGTCAAACTGCATAAAAATACTTGTTAAAATGCCATCTTTTGTTATCATGAGTTGGCTACTTAGACAAAAATCCAATTCATGTCAGAATTAAAGATGTTTATATCAAGTCCTTTAAGAAAGACTGAATGTCAACATAAATTGAGAAGTTGCCTGTTTTCTGGGTATTTCTAATTTTCAGGATTAGCTTATGTAATCAAACCTCATGGAAAAACACTCTACAAAAGATATGTTGGTATTGTGTATAGAAATATTTTGTTTGCAGGCCGGGCATGGTGGCTCATGCCTGTAATCCCAGCATTTTGGGAGGCTGAGGCAGGAGGATCGTTTGAGGTCAGGAGTTCAAGACCAGCCTGGCCAACATGGTGAAACCCCATCTCTACTGAAAATACAAAAAATTATCTGGGTGTAGTGGCACACACCTGTAGTCCCAGGTACTTAGGTGACTGAGGCAGGAGAATCACTTGAACCCAGGAGGCAGAGGCTGCAGTAAGCCAAGATCATGCCACTGTACTCCAGCCTGGGCAACAGTGAGACTCCATTTCCAAAACAATAAATAAATAAAAAGAAAAATTTCATTTGCAAATTGTATTTAAAAGTTGTATGACGTGTTGGCCGGGCGTGGTGGCTCACACCTGTAATCCTAGCAATTTGGGAGGCTGAGCTGGGCAGATCACTTGAGGTCAGGAGTTTGAGACCAGACTGGCCAACATGGTGAAACCCTGTCTCTACTAAAAATACAATAAACAAACAAAAAAACAAACAAATAAATATTAGCCGGGTGTGGTGGTATGTGCCTGTAGTCCCAGCTACTTAGGTAACCGAGGCTGGAGAATCACTGGGACCTGGGAGGTAGAGATTGCAGTGAGCCGAGATGGAGCCACTGCCCTCCAGTTTGGGCAACAGAGTGAGATCCTGTCTCAAAAAAAAAAAGTATATCAAGTGTTTACTGGCCAACATTCTAAAACTCTGGACATTACATGATTTAGAAAGAATCTTGAAAATCTACTTAACAAACTAAATATTTTAAAAAGGAAACAGATTGACTAAGGAAAAATAGAATCTGTAAGTGTGGTCCTTTAAGAAATGACAATAACCAGTTGTTAAGCAGAAGCAATTGATATTTAAGATGTATTTCTTTTAATTTCCTTTCTTTTGTGTGTATATTCTAATTTGTTATGCAAAGTTTAGGAATAATAGTTGTTTTTTTTTTAACTTCAACCCAAAAAACTATGATAGTTGGACTTTGCCAGAAGTTTATATCTTGGCAGAAGTATACAAGAAATATATTACTTTACAGCTCTTTTTCTTGTCAAAGTCATTAATATTATATAGCCTAGAACTTACGCAGAATGCTAAGTACAGTCAGGCACTTCTTAGTCATTTTCATGATATTGGTGCTGAATATTAGGCTACATAATTTTAATTCTGTGCCAGATTTACAGAAAAGAAGCTAGCAATCTTTTGATACATTATGGGAATATTGCTATATACATAGCATTATAATTATGTTAATTATATATTGTTAGCAGTTATACTAGAAGTTACTTAGATGAGATTGCATTTGGGTACTATTAATACAATAATTGATGTAAACCATTTATTTTGTGGTTGTGCTAAACAGACAGATATGTAATTGGCACTTGTATAAACTGAATGCTTGACAAATAGCATCTGCTGTATAAAAATTATCCATTGAATTATGGAAAATAAGCCAAACTAGACATTAAAAATGTACAAATCTACTATAAATCTTTATTAATTTCAGCAGCATGGTACTGGTAGATCAATGGATTGAAACAGATTTCCTACAAGCATATGCCAAAATGTGACTATCTCTTAGACTTTCCCTGGTCCCAGAGGGTCACTCCTTTCTCCCAAAGCCCTTTCAGCCCACCCTTTCAGAGTCACCCTGTGTCTTAGTCCATTCCTCTTGCTATAACAAAATATCTTAAACTGGGCAATTTATAAATAATAGAAATGTATTTTGCACAGTCCTAAAGTCCGAGATCAAGGTACCAGCATGTTCAGTGTCGCCAGGGTTTGCTGTCTGCTTCCAAGATGGCATCTTGTCGCTGTGTCCCCTGGAGGGGATGAAAACTGTGTTCTCACATGGCAGAAGGGACAGAAGGGCTAAAAAGGGACAAACTCACTCCTTCAAGCTTTTATAAGGGCCTAATCACCTCCTGAAGGCCTCACCTCTTAGTATATTGTGTTGGGTCTTCGGTTCCAATGTGATTTTTGGAGGGACACAAACATTGAAACCATAGCACTACAGGTGCCAAGTTCACCTACCATTTTCCTCTCTGCTCCTTTATTCTGCACCCACATCCTAACTAGGCACTTTTCTGTTTCAGGCCTTTCCTCTTCCTTTTCTGCTCTCTCAGCGCTTCCACTGTCTAAGTTTCAATTAAGACTACTATGCAAATAACCTTCAGTTCTGAGCTAAAGATCCTTTTTTGACTTCTCTTACCTATGCTTCAAACAAGTTTTTGTCTGCCTATCCGCAACCTTGCCAACATCTCAAACTTAATACGTTTAACTAAATTGGCCTTCACTGCCAAAAGGCCTTCCTATTTCACATAACTTAATTATTTTACTCATTTTCTTTTAGATCCTGGCTTTCCTCTTCCTGCGTAACCAAAGTTTCTAAAGACTGGTTCCTACCTGACTTTACTTGTTTACCTCCATTCTCTCCTCAATCTTTGAATTTTCCTCCTTTACCCCCAGTCTATTCACTGCAACTGATCTTAAGAAAATTTCCGACAGCTCTATCTTATTTGACCTCTTTGCTCCTTTTGACAATGTTGACCTTTGTAAATCTCTTCCTCCTTGACTTTCATGATAACTAGCTCTCCTAATTCTCAACCTAGTCCTTTTGTCCTTCTGTGATTTCTGTTGGGTTCTCTTTCTGTCCACCATGTAAATGTTGGTCTTCCCCTAGGGTTACATCTTTGACTCTCTTCTTCCATTCTATATCCTCTATAGTAAAACTTTGTTATCATGGCTAGTAGCTGGATCCTTTTCCCATATTCAGATAATTTCTCTATCTTATAAACTTTGGTAGAAGGTAATGTTTGACTTCTCCCTCAAAGAAAAAAAATAAGCTAGGAATTATCTTTCTCAGTTTTCTTTATAGCTAGGACAGGATAAAAGTGTATAACCAAGACTATCAATCATATACACTCAACGTGGAATAGCAATCATAAGGGCTTCCAAGAGACAGAGGTTGTGGAAAGGTAAATTCCTGGGACACCATTGGCAACAGGGCTGCAATCAATCTCCAATATCTAGTGACAGTAATACCATATCAGTTCTATGGCAGGATTTTGGATCCTATTTCTCTCTGTGACCTGAGGCTAGTTCTCCAGCCCTCTTGAAAATTATTTGTGATATTTAATATCTTTTTGGTAAATTTCTTTTCTCCTTTTAAAATATCCAGTGTGGTTTCTGTTGTTTGTAACTAAGAATCCTACACAATTAAATCCTGAGTTTTGACTCCTACCTATATGCTCATGGATCCCAAATCTATCTCCTGACCTCTGCTCAAACTTCTAAATCTCTGTTGGATATCTCCACAGGCAACTCAAAACTCAACATCTCCAAATATGGACTCATCGTCTTCTTCCCAAATCAAACCTATTACTCTTATTATTTTTATTATGAATACCACAATTCAGCTAACTCCACTCAAAAGAGGACATCTAGATTCATTCTTATTTTTCACACTTGTTCATTCATAAACAGAGTATGCCAACTCTGTCTTAGGTACTATGACATATCCTAGGTGACTGACAAGATAAGTAAGACACTGATCTCAAAGATGTCACAGTATAGTGGGATACTTTTTTAAAAGAAACGAAAATACTCCATCAACTTTAAAATTCAACTTCTTTTGCCTCCTGCATGATCTTATTTTATCAATTATATATTTTAATTTGTAAACCTTAAGCCTCTTGCACTTCACCAGATCTTACCCATCAACCCCTTACATTATAAACTTGTTTTTCTAATCTTAACTAAACTAAAACTAACTGAATTTAGGAAACTAACCTAAAAAAATCCAATCTAGCTAGATTCTGTAAACAGTAATCTTTGCTCAGTGATGTCAACTCCTCACTTTTGTAAAATTAAAAAAAAAGTTTAACCAAAATAATGTATGTGTACGTTAAGTAACTTTAAAAGTATTAGTAATAATAGTTAATAGCGATTGAGTTTTTATTTGTTCCAAGTATTGTTTTTAGCCTTTCATGGAAATTATCTTATAATCCTCACAACCATATGAAGTAAGTACTATTATTATATCCGTTTTGTAAATAAGGCAATGGAGTACAATAACATTTATAATAGAAATGAACAGTCCTCTGCCCCATTTTTTCCAATTGGAAGCTATTCTACCCAACTCTTTCGCAGTGTCAGTTCTTGTTAGTAACCTTCATATTTATAAATAATGCACTTATACATTATATCTTGATACATCAAGTTTAGACATTGTCTTTTAACTTGATGATGCGTTAGATAAGACTTTTTCTTACTTACATACCCCCAGCACAAACTTCTGCCTTTACCCCTTCCCCTAGCCCTGACAATGTGGTTACTTATTCTCAAATCGTCTATTAATGGCACTGCCAAATTCAAACACACTTAAACCTGCTTTCCTTGATCTATCAACTATGAAAGTAGTTCATAGTTTGCAGTGGGCCGAGATTGGGCCACAGACAGAGTGAGACTCTAGCTCAAAATAAATAAATAAGTATATATACACACACACATATAAATACATATATATGTATCCACATATAACATATATATGTTTTATATATATATGTTATATATATATATATATATATATATATATGTATATCCTGCTGTACCTGGGCATGGTAGCACACACCTGTAGTCCTAGCTACTCAGGAGGCTGAGGCAGAAGGATCACTTGAGCCCAGGAGTTTGAGGTTACAGTGAACCATGATTGCTCCACTGCACCCCAAGCTGGGCAGCAGAGTGAGAGCCTGACTCTAAAAAATCCTGCTTTTATGGAGCTTATTTTCTATTAAGATGATATCAAACAAGATAAGCAGGTAAAAGATATGGGATGGTCTAAGGTAACAAAAAATTAGTTGGAAAGGGAGATGTTAAGTGCCAGGTGTTAAATTTTTAGATAACATAATCAGGAAAGTCTCACTAAGGAAGGACTTTTTGATTAAAAGCCTAGAGAAAGTGGGGGAAGATGGGGAAGAACATTCCAAGTCGAGGGAAGAGCAAAGACTGTGAGACTATGAAGAGACTGACCTGTTTGCAGAACATGGAAGCCACCCTGGCTATAGTGAGAAGCTGGGGTCAGGGAGAGGATGATGGCTAAGAAATCAGATCACATAGCCCCCAATAAATCAAGAGGGTTGGGGGCTGATGCTTTGAGGATTGATTGGAGACATGTTTAGAAGAAACTTCATCGGCATGTGAATAAGAGAGTGTGTGTGTCTGTGTGTCTGTGTGTGTCTGTGGCGGGTGGGTAGTGGTTTGGGAAAAGGAGGCAAAGTGGGTGACTCCCAAATTTCTGTCTTGAGCAAATAAGTGAGTACAGTTCACAAATACAGTGGACACTGGAGAAAAACTGGTTGGGTGAGAAAGATAATAATTTAAAATTGTAATATGGGAAATTTTAGTTCTTTTGTTTCTCCCACAGGACACAACATTATTAGGTTATACAACATACACAAAAATGCTAAGTTCAAAAACGAAAGGGAATTCTATATGTCTATCTTTTTAATGGTACTGTGTAAGTATATTTGTCAATTAGCTAATACTTATTGAGATTCTATTATGTAACAGACACTGTGCTAAGTATTATAACACGTTATCATGAGAAATGTAAGTAAAAATTGTCAGCAATTAGTTGAATATAAAGGTCCGTTGCTCAGAAAAGGGACATGGGAATCTTCAGCACATGGTGATAATTGCAGCCTGCAGTAGATTAAGTCATCTAGGTGTGGTGGTGGAGAGGGGCAGGCCTTAGAACTGAGCCCTGAGGAGATCTGTCATTTTGTGTTCTGATGGAGGAAAAGCTCACACAGGAAATTTACAAAGAGCTTCGCAAAAAATGTGGTGTCATGGAATCCAATTGAAGAGAGGGTTTCAAGAAGGAAGAAGTATCAGCTAATCTTTAAAAATGAGAGACAAGCCTGGTGCAGTGGCTCATGCCTATAATCCAAGCACTTTGGGAGGCCAAGGTGGGAGGATTGCTTGAGCCCAGGAGTTCCAGACCAGCCTG
Source organism: Homo sapiens (assembly GCF_000001405.40). Taxonomy (NCBI): domain Eukaryota; kingdom Metazoa; phylum Chordata; class Mammalia; order Primates; family Hominidae; genus Homo; species Homo sapiens. The sequence goes on from NC_000005.10 coordinate 80,386,580, forward strand.
GGCAACATGGTGAAATCCTGTCTCAACCAAAAATACAAAAATTAGCCAGGTGTGGTGGCGCGCATATGTAGTCCCAGCTCCTTGGGAGGCGGAGGTGGGAAGATGGCTTGAGCCTGGGAGGCAGAGGTTGCAGTGAGCTGAGATCACACAACTGCACTCCAGTCTGGGTGACAGAGGCAGACCCTGTCTCAAATAGATAAATTAATAATAAAAATCTGAGACAAAAAACTGATGAGAGCCTTATTATTAGCTCTCATGATAGAGGGCAGAATTCTACTTAGTATATATGCTTTTTGCTGAGAGATCACTATTATAAAACTACATATAATGAGCATGAGTTTTATTCTAAAATGCCAGGGTACAAGAAATATCACACTCCCACATTTCTTAAATCAAATGTAATCCGTTCTGAGTTGAAGGGAAAATCCAAACAATCATTTTTGGGACTCCCTTTGCCCCCTTGGTGGGGTCCTACAACAATGTTGGGTTTCTGTAATGTCAAAATCAAGAGGTTGAGCTGGTCCTTTGTTCTTCATGTTTGCTGTCATTGCTCTGTTGACTCCAGGATGCTGTTATAGAGCCTGGAGCCTGCCTCTTGGGCATTGAGGCTCCAGACAGTCTCAGAGACACACCTATCAGAGATCTTCTCACTGTATTCAGACTGTGACAGCCACAGCCAAGTTAGCGAGAGAGTCACTGCATGCCCCAGGACTTGGTCTCTGCCACTCTGTGGTGAGTTCCTTCTCTTCTCACCTGAAGCAAGCTAAAAGTCTTTCTTCCAATGTTTGGAAACATGATGTCTTTTCTTGAGTATAAGTATGGAAAGGAGAAGGTAACCCCAGTTAATATTTTTCTCCTAGCTATGCACAATGTTAAACTTAGGTAACTCAGAAACAACCATGTTTTCAGTTGTTTTCACAAAATATCATGATTCAAGTGACTAACAAGTAGAATGTTTAATTTCGCTTCTCTCACTTGAATTTCAGTTCTCTTTCTGGCTCCAGTTTACAGGCTAACTAGCAGTGGAATTAGATGGCCAACTGTTGGCTCTTCTTTCTTCTGATTGCCTGACATTGTCAGTTCCATCTTAACATCCTTAAGCTCCTGTGAGTTTCCTTTTTATACCTATATCTTTTTAGAAAATTTAACGGTAGAAATGGCCTTTATTAGTTGCAGTGGGAAGTGGAAAAGAGGAGGGGATGCAACAGCTCCCGCTCCTGGGGCAGCATCCACAGACCCAGTTATCATCCTCCAAAAGCAGTATGTCTATATCTTTAAAGTTTTTGTAGAGGAATTCGGTTGTGACTATCCTTAGATATATATAAAAGTAACTAATAGTTTTGAAAAGTTTTCTTATTGAAACTGTTTTTGACTTGATGGGAAAGTAAGAAAGTAGAAATCTAACATTAGAATTATAACTAAATCCTAATCTGATTTAAACTTAAGTATGGATAGGATGCACTGGCTCACACCTTTAATCTCAGCACTTTGGGAGGCCAAGGCTGGAGGATCACTTGAGCCCAGGAGTTCAAGACCCACCTGGGCAACATAGTGACACCCCATCTCCACAAAAAATAAAATTAGCTGGGTGTGGTGGCATGCACCTATGGACCTAGCTACAGGAGGCTGAGGTGGGAGGATTGCTTGAGCCTGGTGGTTGAGGATGCTGTGAGTTGTGATTGTGCCACCACACTCCAGCCGGGTGACAAAACAAGACCCTGTCTTAAACAAATTAAATTATGCTTCCTTTGACCATTTAAATATTTTGTAGTATTATGACTATGGCAATTGATATGACATGTTTATTACAGTATTTAACATTTGGTTGAAGAATAGTTAAAATGCTTAAATTTGTTTACAAAAATACTAAAAAATCTAGATACCTGATTTAATACCATATGTAGATATTTTTGTATATTTACATTTACATATGTTAACCCCACCACCACAAACATTGGTCTTCTTTAGAAAATACAAGGGAACTGACTCATTTTTCTGAAAACTATCAATAAAAGGATATTTAACTTCCTCTTCCTGCATAAACTTTTTTTTTTTTTTTTTTTTTCTGAGACGGAGTCTTGCTCTTTCACCCAGGCTGGAGTGCAGTGGCGCCATCTCGGCTCACTGCAAGCTCCGCCTCCCGGGTTCACACCATTCTCGTGCCTCAGCCTCACGAGTAGCTGGGACTACAGGCGCCCGCCACCGCGCCCGGCTAATTTTTTGTATTTTTAGTAGAGACGGGATTTCACCGTGTTAGCCAGGATTGTCTCGATCTCCTGACCTCGTGATCCACCCGCCTCGGCCTCCCAAAGTGCTGGGATTACAGGCGTGAGCCACTGTGCCCGGCCACTTTTTTTTTTGAGGTCCATGTTTATTCTTCAATACAATACATATACATGATTGTTATACATCTTTATAAAGCAAAGAAAAACAGCCAAATGAAACTATGTTCAGAAATTTAAAATATACATGATAGACACAATCACCACGTTATGAATCCTTTTTTAATTTCTTATCAACACCAATAAACCTAGTCAGAAAGACTCACTGACATCTATCAGCTGAGATGACAGCAAAATACACATTAGGTAACATATGGACGCTCACACAGCAGATACTTTCTGCTCTTCTGAATGGGTAGTAGTGGTTGAGTTATAAGCCTTCATGGAAGGTGAAACTGCCCATAGAAAGACCACTTATACAAAGCACAGCCCACTAAAATGGAGCAAAAAGAAATATAGAACACTTCTAATTGAGAAACTGCAGACTCCAAGCTACGTAAGGAAGTCATCTTAATCCAGGAACCCAACATCTAATAAATCCAGCGCCCACTTCCCTTTAGGACAGACGGAAAGCTGCCTCCTGGTAAGAAAATTTCTTAAATCTCAAAAAGGCTTTCAGGGAACATGGTGATGGATAAGAAGACAAATTTGGATTCTAACTTAAGAAAAAGGAAAGAAGTAAAAAAATGTAAAAGAGTGCAAAAGCAAAGGCGAAGCTTTGTGGATATTGAGAAGTGGGCTGTGGTGATGCTGCAGCACACAGGGACGACAGGACGGCCAGGGGACAGGAAAGAACCGAGTCCGAGGACCACAACCCTCCGGGGGCCTGATGCTGCCTCTCACTTGTGCGTTTACAAGTGGATTTTCAACCGGGGTTCTGTCATTTGGCCCCCAGCACAAACTAACCCAGCACACACATGCACACTGGCACCCCGTGACGGGTGGCTGGGGGAGGGGCAGAGGAAGCAGAAGGGACAAACAAGGAATGACATAAAGAGCAGATTCTGTTCCTAGTATCAAATCCATATTTTGACTCTTAAAAGAGAAAAAAATTGCTAAGCTAATTTCCATAAAATGGATAAAAATTAAGTATTCACACATCTTTCCAAACATACATCAAAGCAAGCCACAACAATGGCAACATGCCTACTTACATTTTTGAGGAAAGAAAGCAAATTAATATCAAGTTAGACAAAATAACGGAAAACAAACTTATGGCACTCAACAGAAATGAGCGTTACCAGCTTCAACCTAGAAATTATTTCCCCAAGTTAGTTCAGGTGAGTCTCTTCCAAAGTTTCTAATGTAACAAATGGGGACATGTGCCCTCCTCTCCCTGATTTTTAAATAGCAACAGATTCTGGGTAAGTGTTGGTGTCTTCCAAATTACCAATGTGGCATGCCTTCTCCTTAATAACTTGCGAGGTTTATTTCTCTCCAGGCAGTGGGAAGTGCCAAATCGGTGCTTAATTTCCTCCATTTGCTAAAGAAAGTGGGAACTGCCTAGTGAATGAGCAAAGCCATAGCATCAATTAAGAGGGTGGAGGAGAAATACAGCCTCCCAAATCCTAATGACCTGTTGGAAAAATTTATCTCCATAGCCCTGGTCTAGCCAGACTCAGCTTTTCTGAGTCCATGCTCGCATCTGGCTTGATTCCTCGGCTTTGCAAAGCTCCCTTCTCCCATTAGAGCAGCAATCTACCTAGTTACCAGCTCTCGCTGGAGCAGCCACACAAGGACATGGAGCAGGGGCAGGATGAACACTAGACTGATAATCTCCCATTTCAAGTAACTCTAGACTGTAATCATCAACTCTGCAATGCAAACTATCCTTAGCACTGATATAAAAGGCACCCTGCTGGCATGGAGATGCCTTCCCATTCCAAATGTAGAAATTTAACTACAGAATCAAACAAGTTCCATTTTCAAAGTAGAGTCTCCTTTCTAAACCTCAAAACAAAACAAAAATCACACCCACTCACTGCAGGGTCATCAGTGGATTAACTTGGCAAAGAAATCATGCCTGTATTTGGCCTGAGCTGTCTCTTCCATGTGTGGCAGGGTCTGGGGACAGTTTATCTGCCAACGTGAGTCAGAAGGGAAGGTGGATGCAAATTGCACGTCATGCAAAAAATCTCATGCTCGATTTGGTAGAGAACGCACACCATAGGACAGAAAACGCCCTTCCATGAGGGGCTTCAAAACAGACCCTCGTGTCCTGTTTAGCATTTGAGTGAATGCCAGCTCTCTGTGGTCTAAGTATTTTTTTTTTTTCTAAAATAGTTTTTCTTTTTTTATATACTTTAAGTTCTAGGGTACGTGTGCACAACGTGCAGGTTTGTTACATATGTATACATGTGCCATGTTGGTGTGCTGCACCCATTAACTCGTCATTTACATTAGGTATATATGCTAATGCTATCCCTCCCCCATCTCCCCACCCCATGACTGGTGTGTGATGCTCCCCTTCCTGTGTCCAAGTGTTCTCATTGTTCAGTTCCCACCTATGAGTGAGAACATGCAGTGTTTGGTTTTATGTCCTTGAGATAGTTTGCTAAGAATGATGGTTTCTAGCTTCATCCATGTCCCTACAAAGGACATGAACTCATCCTTTTTTATGGCTGCATAGTATTCCATGGTGTATATAATGCCACATTTTCTTAATCCAGTCTATCATTGATGGACATTTGGGTTGGTTCCAAGTCTTTGCTATTGTGAACAGTGCCACAAGGAACATACATGTGCATGTGTCTTTATAGCAGCATGATTTATAATCCTTTGGGTATATACCCAGTAATGGGATAGCTGGGTCAAATGGTATTTCTAGTTCTAGATCCTTGAGGAATCGCCACACTGTCTTCCACAATTGTCGAATCAGTTTACAGTCCAACCAACAGTGTAAAAGTGTTCCTATTTCTCCACATCCTCTCCAGCACCTGTTGTTTCCTGACTTTTTAATGATCGCCATTTTAACTGGTGTGAGATGATGTCTCATTGTGGTTTTGATTTGCATTTCTCTGATGGCCAGTGATGATGAGCATTTTTTTCACATGTCTGTTGGCTGCATAAATGTCTTCTTTTGAGAAGTGTCTGTTCATATCTTTCACCCCCTTTTTGATGGGGTTGTTTGTTTTTTTCTTGTAAATTTGTTTGAGTTCTTTGTAGATTCTGGATATTAGCCCTTTGTCAGATGAGTAGATTGCAAGAATTTTCTCCCATTTTGTAGGTTGCCTGTTCACTCTGATGGTAGTTTCTTTTGCTGTGCAGAAGCTCCTTAGTTTAATTAGATCCCATTTGTCAATTTGGATTTTGTTGCCATTGCTTTTGGTGTTTTAGACATGAAGTCCTTGCCCATGCCTATGTCCTGAATGGTATTGCCTAGGTTTTCTTCTAGGGTTTTTATGGTTTTAGGTCTAACATTTAAGTCTTTAGTCCATCTTGAATTAATTTTTGTATAAGGTGTAAGGAAGGGATCCAGTTTCAGCTTTCTACATATGGCTAGCCAGTTTTCCCAGCACCATTTATTAAATAGGGAATCCTTTCCCCATTTCTTGTTTTTGTCAGAGATCAGATGGTTGTAGATGTGTGGTTTTATTTCTGAGGGCTCTGTTCTGTTCCATTGGTCTATATCTCCGTTTTGTTACCAGTACCATGCTGTTTTAGTTACTGTAGCCTTGTAGTATAGTTTGAAGTCAGGTAGCATGATGCCTGCAGCTTTGTTCTTTTGGCTTAGGAATGAATTGGCAATACGGGCTCTTTTTTGGTTCCATATGAACTTTAAAGTAGTTTTTTCCAATTCTGTGAAGAAAGCCAGTGGTAGCTTGATGGGGATGGCATTGAATCTATCAATTACCTTGGGCAGTATGGCCATTTTCATGATATTGATTCTTGCTATCCGTGAGCATGGAATGTTCTTCCATTTGTTTGTATCCTCTTTTATTTCATTGAGCAGTGGTTTGTAGTTCTCCTTGAAGAGGTCCTTTACATCCCTTGTAAGTTGGAATCCTAGGTATTTTATTCTCTTTGAAGCAACTGTGAATGGGAGTTCACTCATGATTTGGCTCTGTTTGTTATTGGTGTCTAAGAATGCTTGTGATTTTTGCACATTGATTTTCTATCCTGAGACTTTGCTGAAGTTGCTTATCAGCTTAAGGGAAATTTTGGGCTGAGACGATGGGGATTTCTAAATATACAGTCATGTCATCCACAAAGAGGGACAATTTGACGTCCTCTTTTCCTAATTGAATACCCTTTATTTCTTTCTCTTGCCTAATTGCCCTGGCCAGAACTTCCAACACTATTTGAATAGGAGTGGTGAGAGAGGGCATCCCTGTCTTGTGCCAGTTTTCAAAGGGAATGCTTCTAGTTTTTGCCCATCCAGTATGATATTGGCTGTGGGTTTGTCATAAATAGCTCTTATTATTTTGAGATACGTCCCATCAAAACCTAATTTATTGAGAATTTTTTGCATGAAGGGCGGATGAATATTGTCAAAGGCCTTTTCTGCATCTATTGAGATAATCATGTGGTTTTTGTCTTTGGTTCTGTTTATATGCTGGATTACATTTATTGATTTGCATATGTTGAACCATCCTTGCATCCCAGGGATGAAGCCCACTTGATCACGGTGGATAAGCTTTATGATGTGCTGCTGGATTCGGTTTGCCAGTATTTTATTGAGGATTTTTGCAGTGATGTTCATCAGGGATATTGGTCTAAAATTCTCTTTTTTTGTTGTGTCTCTCCCAGGCTTTGGTATCAGGATGATGCTGGCCTCATAAAATGAGTTAGGGAGGATTCCCTCTTTTTCTATTGATTGGAATAGTTTAGAAGGAATGGTACCAGCTCCTCCTTGTACCTCTGGGAGAATTTGGCTGTGAATCTGTCTGGTCGTGGACTTTTTTTGGTTGGTAAGCTATTAATTATTGCCTCAATTTCAGAGCCTGTTATTGGTCTATTCAGGGATTCAACTTCTTCCCGGTTTAGTCTTGGGAGGGCATATGTTTCCAGGAATTTATCCATTTCTTCTAGATTTTCTAGTTTATTTGCGCAGAGGTGTTTATAGTATTCTCTGATGGCAGTTTGTATTTCTGTGGGATCGGTGGTGATATCCCCTTTATCATTTTTTATTGTGTCTATTTGATTCTTCTCTCTTTTCTTCTTTGTTAGTCTTGCTAGCAGATTATCAATTTTGTTGATCTTTTCAAAAAACCAGCTCCTGGATTCATTGCTTTTTTGAAGAGTTTTTTGTGTCTCTATCTCCTTCAGTTCTGCTCTGATCTTAGTTATTTCTTGCCTTCTGCTAGCTTTTGAATGGGTTTGCTCTTGCTTCTCTCGTTCTTTTAATTGTGATGTTAGGGTGTCAATTTTAGATCTTTCCTGCTTTCTCTTGTGGGCATTTAGTGCTATAAATTTCCCTCTACACACTGCTTTGATTGTGTCCCAGAGATTCTGGTATGTTGTGTCTTTGTTCTCGCTGGTTTCAAAGAACATCTTTATTTCTGCCTTCATTTCGTTATGTACCCAGTAGTCATTCAGGAGCAGGTTGTTCAGTTTCCATGTAGTTGAGCAGTTTTGAGTGAGTTTCTTAATCCTGAGTTCTAGTTTGATTGCATTGTGATCTGAGAGACAGTTTGTTATAATTTCTGTTCTTTACATTTGCTGAGGAGTGCTTTACTTCTAACTATGTGGTCAATTTTGGAATAAGTGCGATGTGGTGCTGAGAAGAATGTATATTCTGTTGATTTGGGGTGGAGAGTTCTGTAGATGTCTGTTAGGTCCGCTTGGTGCAGAGCTGAGTTCAATTCCTGTATACCCTTGTTAACTTTCTGTCTCGTGGATCTGTCTAATGTTGACAGTGGGGTGCTAAAGTCTCCCATTATTATTGTGTGAGAGTCTAAGTCTCTTTGTAGGTCTCTAAGGACATGCTTTATGAACCTGGGTGCTCCTTTATTGGGTGCATATATATTTAGGATAGTCAGCTCTTCTTGTTGAATTGATCCCTTTACCATTATGTAATGGCTTTCTTTGCCTCTTTTGCTCTTTGTTGGTTTAAAGTCTGTTTTATCAGAGACTAGGATTGCAACCCCTGCCTTTTTTTGTTTTCCATTTGTTTGGTAGATCTTCCTCCATCCCTTTATTTTGAGCCTATGTGTGTCTGTGCACGTGAGATGGGTCTCCTGAATACAGCACACTGATGGTTTTTGACTCTATCCAATTTGCCAGTCTGTGTCTTTTAATTGGAGCAGTTAGCCCATTTACATTTAAGGTTCATATTGTTATGTGTGAATTTGATCCTGTCATTATGATGTTAGCTGGTTATTTTGCTCATTATTGATGCAGTTTCTTCCTAGCATGGATGGTCTTTACAATTTGGCATGCTTTTGCAGTGGCTGGTACCAGTTGTTCCTTTCCATGTTTACTGCTTCCTTCAGGCGCTCTTGTAGGGCAGGCCTGGTGGTGTCAAAATATCTCAGGATTTGCTTGTCTGTAAAGGAGTTTTTTTCTCCTTCACTTATGAAGCTTAGTTTGGCTGGACACGAAATTCTGGATTGAAAATTCTTTTCTTTAAGAATGTTGAATATTGGCCCCCACTCTCTTCTGGCTTGTAGAGTTTCTGCCGAGGGGTCCGCTATTAGTCTGATGGGCTTCCCTTTGTGGGTAACCTGACCATTCTCTCTGGCTGCCCTTAACATTTTTTCCTTCATTTCAACTTTGATGAATCTGACAATTATGTGTCTTGGAGTTGCTCTTCTGGAGGAGTATCTTTGTGGCGTTCTCTGTATTTCCTGAAGTTGAATGTTGGCCTGCCTTGCTAGATTGGGGATGGTCTCCTGGATAATATCCTGCAGAGTGTTTTCTAACTTGGTTCCATTCTCCCTGTCACTTTCAGGTACACCAATCAGACGTAGATTTGGTCTTCTCACATAGTCCCACATTTCTTGGAGGCTTTCTTCGTTTCTTTTTACTCTATTTTCTCTAAACTTCTCGCTTCATTTCATTCATTTAATCTTCAATCACTGATACCCTTTATTCCAGTTGATTGAATCGGCTACTGAAGCTTGTGCATTCGTCACGTAGTTCTTGTGCCATGGTTTTCAGCTCCCTCAGGTCATTTAAGGACTTCTCTACATGGGTTATTCTAGTTAGCCATTCGTCTAATCTTTTTTCAAGGTTTTTAGCTTCTTTGCAATGGGTTCGAACTTCCTCCTTTAGCTCAGAGAAGTTTGATCGTCTGAAGCCTTCTTCTCTCAACTCGTCAAAGTCATTCTCCATCCAGCTTTGTTACGTTGCTGGTGAGGAGCTGTGTTCCTTTGGAGGGGGAGAGGCGCTCTGATTTTTAGGATTTTCAGCTTTTCTGCTCTGTTTTTTCCCCATCTTTGTGGTTTTATCTACCTTTGGTCTTTGATGATGGTGACGTACAGATGGGGTTTTGGTGTGGATGTCCTTTCTGTTTGTTAGTTTTCCTTCTAACAGTCAGGACCCTCAGCTGCAGGTCTGTTGGGGTTTGCTGGAGGTCCACTCCAGACCCTGTTTACCTGGGTATCAGCAGCGGAGGCTGCAGAACAGTGAATATTGCTGAACAGCAAATGTTGCTGCCTGATCATTCCTCTGGAAGCTTTGTCTCAGAGGGGTACCTGGCTGTGTGAGGTGTCGGTCTGCCCCTACTGGGGGGTGCCTCGCAGTTAGGCTACTCGGGGGTCAGGGACCCACTTGAGGAGGCAGTCTGACCGTGCTCAGATCACAAACTCTGTGCTGGGAGAACCACTACTGTCTTCAAAGCTGTCAGACAGGGACATTTAAGACTGCAGAGGTTTCTGCTGCCTTTTATTCAGCTATGCCCTGCCCCCAGAGGTGGAGTCTACCGAGGCAGGCCAGCCTCCTTGAGTTGTGGTGGGCTCCACCCAGTTCAAGCTTCCTGGCCGCTTTGTTTACCTACTCAAGCCTCAGCAACGGCAGGTGCCCCTCTCCCAGCCTCGCTGCTGCCTTGCAGTTCGATCTCAGACTGCTTTGCTAGCAATGAGCGAGGCTCCATGGGCGCAGGACCCTCCAAGCCAGGTGTGGGATATAATATCCTGGTGTGCCATTTGCTAAGACCATTGGAAAAGCACAGTATTAGGGTGGGAGTGACCCAATTTTCCAGGTGCCATCTGTCACAGCTTCCTTTGGCTATGAAAGGGAATTCCCTGACCCCTTGCACTTCCCAGGTGAGGCAATGCCTTGCCCTGCTTCAGCTCATGCTCAGTGGGCTGCACCCACTGTCCTGCACCCACTGTCTGACAATCCCCAGTGAGATGAACCTAGTACTTCAGTTGGAAATGCAGAAATCACCCTTCTTCTGCGTCACTCACACTGGGAGCTGTAGATTGGCGCCGTTCCTATTGGGCCATCTTGGAACCACCCCTAACTTTTTTTTTTTTTTTTTTGAGACAAAGTGTCACTGTGTCACCAGGCTGAAGTGCAGAGGTGCGATCTCAGCTCACTGCACCCTCTGCCTCCCGGTTCAAGCGATTCTCCTGCCTTAGCCTCCAGAGTAGCTAGGACTACAGGTGCGCACCACCATGCCCAGCTAATTTTTGTATTTTTAGTAGAGACAGGGTTTCACCATGTTGGTCAGGATGGTCTCGATCTCTTGACCTCGCGATCCACCCATCTCGGCCTCCCAAAGTGTGGGATTACAGGTGTGAGCCACTGCACCTGGCCTCCTGCATAAACTTTATTTCAGGAGAACTAAATAGTTGTTAAGGGAATTAAAAAAAAATGTGTAACTATATTTTAAACTATATGAAAAACGTGTAGTCAATTCCAAGAAGAAATGATAGATTAGAATGTCATCATTTGGGCCAGGCGTGGTGGCTTGTGCCTGTAATCGCAGCACTTTGGGAGGCTGAGGCCAGCGGATCACCTGAGGTCGGGAGTTTGAGATCAGCCTGGCCAACATGGTGAAACCTCATCTCTACTAAGAAATACAAAAAATTACCCAGTCATGGTGGTAGACACCTGTACTCCCAGCTACTTGGGAGGCTAAGGCAGGAGAATTGCTTGAATCTGGGAGGCAGAGGTTGCAGTGAGTCGAGATCACACCTGTACTCCAGCCTGGCGACGGAGTGAGACTCCATCTAAAAAAAAAAAAAAAAAAAGAATGTCATCATTTGCAAACCCCAAATCAAAGAATGGATCCAAGCAGCAATTATCAATGTTTGTTAACATCACTGAATGAGAGCTAACAAGGTATCATGTGTTTTCTGATCGAAGTACACAACACCACTTATAAAGCAGCCTTACCAAAACACTGAGCCTGTATCAAACCATGCCTCTAGACCTAACTACAAGTTTACAGGAAACATAGTGGGGAGAGAAACATGTTAAAAGATACAATGGGGAGGATGTATGCAAAGAAGAAAAATGTAGATATTGTCAATTTTACAGGCCGAAAGACACAACTTTTTTCAAAAATAAACTGTTAGGAACAAAAAAGAAACAGGAAACATTATTATGCATGAACTAATCTCAGTATGTGGATCTTATTTGGATTTTGATTCATTTAAACCATTAAAATTATGACATTTATGAAACAATTAGAAATATGAATACCAGTACCTAAATATCTGGTAATATTGAAGAATTATTATTAAAATTTTTCAGGAATGATTATGGTATTATCATTAGATTTTTGTGAAGAGTTCTTTTCTTTTCTTTCTTTCTTTTTTTCTTTTTCTTTTTCTTTCTTTCTTTTTTTTTTTTTTGAAACAGAGTGTTGCTCTGTTACCCAGGCTGGATCTCACTTACTGCAACCTCTGCCTCCTGGGTTCAAGCGATTTTCCTGCTTCAGCCTCCCAAGTAGCTGGGATTACAGGCATGCACCACCACGCCCAGCAATTTTTTTTTTTTTTTTTTGTATTTTTAGTAGAGCGGGGTTTTGCCACATTGGCCAGGCTGATCTTGAACTCCTGACCTCAGGTGATCTCCCTGCCTTGGCCTCCCAAAGTGCTGGGATTTCAGGCATGAGCCACTGCCCCCAGGCAGAGTTATTTTCTTTTGCAAATATATATTGAAATATTTATGGATGAAATAATACAACATATGGCATTTGCTTTCAAATCATATGGGTATGTAATGGAATAGATGAAACTAGGTTGTCCATATTGCAGCTGGATTATGGGATTGGCTACGAGGGGATTGATTACATTATTTCCACTTTGTAGGTTTTCTACTTATCTTTTAAATATACATGTAGAAAAATTTAGAGATAAAATATATAATAAATGAGCTTTGCCTCAAGATAATCTAATTGTGGGGGAGAGGGGATAAAATGGGGTGGGTGTATAGATAAAAATAAGATCTGTGACAATGAATATAGAGTAATTCACTTGCAAAGGAAAAACATGCCAGGAAACAATGCTGTTGCAGATAGTCTCGTTGAAGCACTCTCTCAGTGTATCAATCAGAATAGCCAGCCACAAATCTCAGGGGCATAACACAAAGTTCCAGTTTATCTTCAAGGATAGACTGAATTATGCTGCGGTACTAAAGCACTCTCAAAATCCCAGGGCACAAAACAACAAGGTTTTTTTTTTTTCTTCCTCTAGATGTGTTCTGTTCATTGAAATCCCACAGAGACTCAGGCTGATGGAGCAGTCACAGTATCAAATCTTGTCTATTGTTATGCCAGAGGGAAAGTAGGATCAGTAGGATCTCACATTGGTGAGTAAAGAATTCAGTCCAGAAATGACATGTCATTTCTGCTCACAATTTATTTGCCTGAATCAGTCACATGGCCCTATTTAACCTCAAGGGGGCCAGGAAGTACGCTGCCATCATATGACCAGAAGAAAGAAGAACTGAAAATATTTGGCAAATAATTTGATGAGAGAACCTGTGTCATGATGTTGAAGCTGTATCATACTTGAGCCTTGGGAATGACTGTTTCTTGTTGCCACCTCTAAGGCAGCAACCAGACACAAGTGCTCATTCATCCTTTTGGTTTATTTGTGGCTTGTGATGCACAGTCATGCAATATACTGTATGCAGAGATTGCATCATAAATGTGAGGTAATAGGTTGACTTAATTATGAATTTAGCAATACTTTTAAAAAGAAAGAGTTCAATTATTCAAGTTTTTTTTTCTCAGAAAGAAGAGGGGAATCACTCATGATTTACCATCCAAAGATAATCACAGTTAATATTTTAGTGAATTTCTTTCCAAACTTTTCTTTGCATTTAAAAAAAATTAGTTCTCATGATCATCAAAACTGTAACCATTTTTTTCATTAGTGACTGTCATATTGTGCTGCTATAACAAAATACCTAAGACTGGGTAATTTACAAAGAACAGAAACTTATTTTCTTGCAGTTCTGGAGGCTGGGAATCCAAAATCAAGGTGTAAGGAGGTTTGGTGTCTGGGGAAGGTTTGTTCCTTCTATATAGTGCTGTTTTGGTGTCCTCACATGGAAGAGTGGAAGAGAGTGAACCCAAGTGCATTTCATAGCCCATTTTCATGCTGCTGATAAAGACATACCCAAGACTGGGAAGAAAAAGAGGTTTAATTGAACTTATAGTTCCACATGGCTGAGGAGGCTTCAGAATCATGGTGGGAGGTGAAAGGCACTTCTTACATGGCAGCAGCAAGAGAAAATGAGGAAGAAGCAAAAGCAGAAACCCCTGATAAACCCATGTCAGACCTCAAGAGACTTATTCACTATCATGAGAATAGCATGGAAAAGACTGGCCCCATGATTTAATTACCTCCCCCTGAGTCCCTCCCACAATGCGTGGCAATTCTGGGAGATGCAATTCAAGTACACCCAAACCATATCACCAAGCCCTTTTATTTATTTTTTATTTTTTAATTTTCTTTTTGAGACAGGGTCTTGCTCTGTCACCCAGACTAGAGCAGTTGTGTGATCACAGCTCACTGCATGCAGGTCTTGACCTCCCAGGCTCAAGCAATCTTTCTGCCCTAGCCTTCCTAGCTGGGACCACAGGCACACGCCACCATGCCTGGCTAATTTAACAAAAAAAGTTTTATACAGATGGGGTCTCCTTATGTCACCCAGGCTCCAAGCCCTTTTATAATAGTCCTAATCCTGTCCATGAAGACTATGCCCTCATCATGACCTAATTATTTCCTGAAGGCCCCACATCTTAATACTATCATATTGGCCATTAAATTCCAATACATGAATTTTGGAGAACATAGTCAATCAATAGCAGTGACATTGCTCCAAACAGCTGATCTTAATGGCCATGGACCAGCGGATAATTTTAACAAAGGTCTTATCTTCTTTAAAAAAGTTTAAAATTCCTTTTTCTTGAAATATGAGTGTTTTAACATGGTTATATAGCACTTAAATACCAGTGGATAACTAATAGTTCCAGGTCACATTTTGTGCTTTGGGGCAAAGAATCCCTAGTTCTAAAATTGCATGTTAGCATAAGACCAGCCAAGAAACAGGAAAGAAATGAAAAATTGCAATACTGCAGTTAAGTTTAATTTGCTTTTGGTATTTTCTTTACCCAGGTTACTTATGAAAAGTGAATAGGTTTGGGAGTTCATATTATTGTGGAATTTAAGCCTCTTAAAATCATCAGGATACCTGTTTCTCTTGAAAATAATAAAAACTGGCCAGGCGCAGTGGCTCACGCCTTGTAATCCCAGCACTTTGGGAGGCAAGGGTGGAAAGATCACTTGAAACCAGGAGTTTGAGACCAGTCTTGGCGACGCAATGAGACATTCCCACCACCCCTCACCCCCTCCCGCTGTCTCTAGAAAAACATTTAAAAATCAGCTGGATGTGGTGGTAAGCACCTGTAGTCCCACCTACTTGGGGAGCAAAGGTGGGAGGATCACTTGAGTCCAGGAGTTTGAGGCTGCAGTGAGCTATGACTGGGCTACTGTACTCCAGCCTGGATGATAGAGTGAGAGCTTGTCTAATAATAATAATAATAATAACTGTAGATTATTCAGTCATGGCTGGTTGGTCTAGGGAATAAATTGCCCAGACATGTTACATTTGGGATGATTTCCTCAAATGCAGAAACCACTGTTATAAACTGAGCTCTTTAGAGGCCAAAGCTGACACATGGAATTTTTTAGCAATTATGATCCAAACTTTGCCAAGGATACGTTTTCGTCAATATTTGATTTGACACTGAATTTGATATGCAGATTTCTTTTTCATTTCAATCAACAAAGGAATTCATGGAAAATTTAATTGACCAAGAATCTACACAAAGATCTTGTAACTTTATCACCTGCCATCAGTCTCTCAAATATCTGTTAGTAAATAAAAGAATGATACAGTGGATTGTGAACTTCTTCATGGCAAAAAACATGAATTATTCACCTTTCTTCCAACTCCTAGCATAATGCACTGCACAGCAGAAGAAACACCCATAAACAAATAAAGGTAATACAGAGTTCAATTTCATTTGTGTGTGAAAGGCATTTGAGTTTTTAGTAGCTTGTTGATTTTCCTTATTACTCAGTTCCAAAGCCAAAAACTAAGCCACATTTCTTGTATTTAGTGTTATAAAGTAACATGAATCTACAAAGTAACATAACTACATGTTACAAAATAACATGAAACCACTAGCTAACATAGCTACAATTGTTGAATCTGTTAACAAAATAATATAATCAATGTATTATAAAATAACAATTGGTTTTAAAAAATAATTTAAGGTTCATGCCATACTGACCATTTCTTTTTGCTTATTGAATATATGTGTAGAGAGGGGTTGGACCAGGTTAATTGAATAAGCTTTCATTTATTATAATGGTTAAGGAAATCACCTTAATATAATAAAACACAATTTAATTCTAAAAATTCATGTAACTTTATCTCTATTTTCTTTGTCAATTCAAAAGCACTGCAAGATCTTGCAATGACTGCAAGATCAATAGGAAAAACAATGCAATTATGTTTAATAAACTGTCTGGGCTTGGTGGCTCACTCTTCTAATCCCAGCACTTCAGGAGGCCAAGGTCGGTGGATGGCTTGAGCCCAGGAGTTCCAGACCAGCCATGGGCAACATGGCGAAATCCTGCCTCTACAAAAAATACAAAAGTTAGCCAGGTGCAGTAGCATGCGCCTATAGTCCCAGGTATTTGGGAGACTAAGGCAGGAGAAACACTTGAGCCACAGAGGTTGAGGCGGCAGTGAGCCGAGATCGAGCCATTACACTCCAGTCTAGGCAATGGGAGTGAAACCCTGTACCAAACAAAACAAAACAACAAAAAAAAAATGAATAAGTGTTTGTTGAATTAAACACCAGTTATTCCTCTTTTTTACTGTTGATATAGAAAGCTCATAAGATTTATTATGTTTATCAACAAATCATTGCTATGTCATTAATTTATTGTTTGTCATATATTTCTAAAGAACTCAGAAAAAATATTGGTTATTTGAGCTTTTTGACTTTATAACTTTAAGTAAATACAGTTGCTGTATTAAATACAAGGATCTACAGCGATTATCTGAGCACCACAACTAAAACTTTCCTTAGAGAATTGAAAAGCCTCTCTCACAAGAACCAATACTAAATTATAGCACTTTGTACAAAAGGAGAATGGGCTGTTGAGAGTGTGTTCTTCAGTTTGCTGTTTTGATAAAGGCCTTGACCAGTAAGTGTTGCTGTACTTAACAAAGTAGTTATAACAGCCTGTACTTAACAAAGTAGTTATAACAGCAGGGAGAAATCCTGAACTTCAGGTTTTGTTTATGGATGAGCAACAATGTTCATACTGCGAGAACACCTGGTTTACTTATAAGATAAAGGCTGAAAACAGTAGGTGATCAATAAATGACAGCTATTTATAAAGTGGTTCTTAGTAATAAGTGATGATACGTGTGTCTGGTGCAACTGAACAATAGGAATGGAGCATTTTTCTGTGCCAGAGTACAACTGACCAGCTGTCTGCTCCATAAAACTGGTCATTGTAGATTTTTTATCTCTAATCTAGTTAACTTTGGGTACTACTTGGTACAAAGTTTAATTTTCATTGGTATAGGGCCTTATGTAGAAGTTCAAAACCCAGTTCTGAATTTCTGAACTCACATTTGTGCCGCTGTGGTCATCAGAAAAAAAAAAAAAAAAGGAACTGTTTACTAGGAATTGGAAGAAATATACTAGCTTTAAACCACTCACTGGCTAAATCAGGGTTTCTCAACCTTGGCACTGTTGATATTTTAGGCTGAAAACTTCTTTGTTGTTGGGGGTTCTCCTGTGAATTGCAAGACAGTTAGCGGCATCCCTGGCCTGTATCTATTAGATATCAGTAGCATTCTTTCAGTGGTGACAACCAAAAATGCCTCCAGAGATTGTCAAACGTCCTCTGGGAGGCAAAATCACCCCTCACCTCCACAGAGAACTATTGGGCTAAAGTAGTAGTCATTGATTTGAACTTTGGTTTGTTGGTTGATTTCATCTATTTTTACTACTTTATAGATCAGAAGTTTTGTGGAACCCAAATTAAATACTCTTTCAAAGCATAATTAGGAAAGGTTATTATAATTCTAAACATCTACTAAAAGTATTGCAATTGCTTTGTTAGCAGATTAAATTTTTAGTAGACATTTGGCATTAAAAGGTAATCAAAGGCTACAAATTTTATATGAACAAACTTATTAATTCTCCTTAAAAAACAAAAACAGAAACAAAAACAGAGCAAACGAGTCTTCATATAGTGACAAACATGTGGAGTGGTCATCAAGTCCCTGTATCTTATTCTCAGTTTAGTAGACTAAGAAATTCAGTTTTAAAATGTATTTGCAAGTAATTGTGCTCCAGGGAACTTATACTTGCATTAGCCAAATTCATAGGCTACTGATATAACAACATGGATGTAACTGATCAATTTATAAAAAGAAATATAACCATCAAGAATAGCAATTGTTAGGCTGGCACAGTGGCTAATGTCTGTAATCCCAGCACTTTGGGAGGTTGACTACCTGATTACCTGAATTTGAATTCTAATTGGGAGGATTGCTTGGGCCCAGAAGTTTGAGACCAGTATAGGCAACATAGTGAAACCTTGTCTTTAAAAAAATAAAAATAAAAATTATCTGGGCATGGTGATGCACGCCTGTGGTCCCAGCTACTCTGGAGGCTGAGGTAGGAGGATCACTTGGGCCCCAGGAGTTGGGGCTGCAGTGAGCCATGATCCAACCACTGCATTTCAGCCTGAGTGATATAGTAAGATCCTGTCAAAAAAAGAAAAAAAAAAGAATAACAGTTATTCATCATTTACAGTCAGTGCTTCAGTTAAGTACTTTATGTGGATTATCTCAATCAATGTATTAGTTCTATTAGCATTTGACTACAGGAGCATCAAGCTTAGAAAATTTAGGCCACACAACTAATAGGTTATAGAATTAGAATTCAAATTCAGGTAATCAGACTCTAAAGACCATACTTGAAATGACAGGGGAAATGGATTCTTAGGTTTCCTGGTCAACTTATCACACTTGTTACATTAGAGGTTTTTTTCTTTTTCCCCAGAATATAAAGGTAATATATAGATGTTGTAGAAAATGTAGACTGTCCAGGATAATAACATCTACATTCTAATCAGATAGACATGACTACTATCAACATTTTGATATACTTTCTTCACTCTTTTACATACATTGTATACTATAGCTGACCTCATACTACATAGGCAATGTTAAATATTTTTAAATATTTAAAATGTTTTTTCATGAGGTAATTTCCTCAGGCCATTAAAAATTCTTTGTAAACATAATTTTAATAGTTTTAATCACATACATGCAGTAATTATTTTAACCATTCTCTTAATGGTGGATTTTCGACTTTTATCAATTTACTTACTATGGTTAAGTATCTTTCCATAGAGATCTTCGTCTTCTGGACTACCTTCTTATAACTTCCAAAAGAGAAATGATCAAATTGGGTCATGTGAACACTCATAAGGTTCTTGATATGATTTGACAAATAACTTTCCAAAATCTTTGTCCCAATTTATATCCCTCCCAGGGTATAAGTGTCCACTTCACTCTTCTGTCACCAATCGAGTTTATTCACATTTTAAACAGATTGGGTAATTAGATGCCAGACAACCTCTTTTTTGTCTCTGTTTATTATTAATGACTTTGAATATTGATTGGTAAAATGTGTAGTAGGCATTTAAATTTCATATTTTGTGAACTGACCATTGTATATACTTTCCCCATTGATCTATTTAAGGTGTTTGTGTCTTTTTTCTATTCTCTTTACCCTCACACTTTACCGTATAAATACTTCTGTCCCCAGTATGCATTTGTATATGTGAGTCTCTGCTACTAGACTGTGGTTCCCCATGGGCAGTGGCCCCATTTTATTTTATCTGTGAACAATGCCTAACACATAGTAGGAAAAAGGCATACTGTAGTTTGTAGAATTATTCTTAGGATTAAATGAGATAACGTAAGCAAAGCATCTAACACACTGTCACAAAGCAGATGCTCAATACACACATTACTTTAGGCAATCAAAAGTTTGGCTATTTCATTTTGTTGTTTAGGAAAACCAAGGTTAAAGATTAAGTATCTTTCAAAGATCAGGAACTATAGTTGTAAACTGCAGATTTAAGATGCGAACCCTGATTCTCAAATCTTTCATCACAAATCACATGTGGCTGGAATACTCGAAAAATTATAATTCTTGCAATTTTTTTTTTTTCTTTTTTGAGACGGAGCCTTGCTCTGTCACCCAGGCTGGAGTGTGGTGGCTCGATCTTGGCTCACTGTGACCTCTGCCTCCTGGGTTCATTCAATGGTCCTGATTGTCCTGCCTCAGCCTCCCAAGTAGCTGGGATTACAGGCGCCCGCCACCACACCCAGCTAATTTTTGTATTTTTAGTAGAGACGGAGTTTCACCATGTTGGCCAGATTGGTCTCGAACTCCTGACTTCAGGTGATCCGCCTGCCTCGGCCTCCCAAAGTGCTGGGGTTACAGGCGTGAGCCACTGCGCCCGGCCAATTCTTGCGATTTTTGAAAGATCAGTATGAACTGTGAGCTGTTTAACCTTTGAGGAACTGCTTTTTCCCTGTATCTGTCTGTATCTGATCCCACATGTATGTCTCTTCCCTTGTTTTTATTTTTTATTTTTTTAGAGACACGGTCTGGTTCTGTTGCTCAGGCTGGAATGCAGTGTTGCCATCAGAGCTCACTGCAGCCTTGACCTCCTGGGCTTAAGTGATCCTCCCACTTCAGACTCCCAGCCAGTAGCTGGGACTACAGGCACGCGCCAACACGCCTGGCTAATTTTTTCATTTTCATTTTTAGTAGAGACAGGGTCTTGCTATGTTGCCCAGGCCTGTCTGGAACTCTTGACTTCAAGCGATCCTCCCGCCTCGGCCTCCCAAAGTGCTGGGATGACAGGCGTGAGCCACCGCGCCGGGTCTCATTTAAATTTATAGGAAACTTGTGGTAAAAATAGCAAAACTCAACAAGCAAATATACATCAAGTGAGTGACATTTTATTTCTACATCAGATAAGTCAGCTTTTGCTTTTAGACAGGGAGACAGCTGTTCTACCAGCTGCTTTAAAATAAAAATGCAGAACTAACGCAGCGAAGGGAAGGAAAGTGTGGCTGGGAATGTCCAGTCAGCTGGAGGGGCTTGGAGCTCGGCGTTGGCTGGGAGCATTTTTATTGCTGCCGGGAGGAGGAAGGGGAAGCGGGGGAAGCGGGGGAGGCGGGGGGGCAGCGTGTTGTAAAATCAGTTTGAAGTAAACAAAAAGTTATGTTTTCCGAGGGGCCAGCAGCGCGGAGAGCAGGCCTAGCCCGCTGCCGGGAAGGCGGGTCTGTCCAGTAGAGACCGGAACGCCGCGCAGGCTCAGCAAAGGGCTAAGGCTGGAGCCGGGGAAGCTGCCTCTAGGTTAGCGAAGGGTAAAGGAAGTCAGACACTGACGCGAGTGGCCTCCCGATCCCGCAGTCGAGTGGAGAACCGAGTCCCGACCTAAGGTCGAATCATCAGGCGTCCCCGTCACCCAACAACCCACTCAGGCACTTCCGGTAAGAAATCTAGTGCCCTTGGCTCGGAACCTGCGTCGTAGTGCGCAAGCGCCCCGGGCCTGGAGACGGCCGCGGATGCCGAGGGAGGGGGCGTGTGAGCCGAAGAGGAAAGCGTCCTCTGCGCCTGCGCTCTCTGCGCTGCCCGGTGGGGCGGGGAAAGAAGCCCTGAGCCGGGATCTGGCACTCCCAGGACTCCCGGCCGGGGTAGCTCTTCACTCCTCAGCGCGACGTCGTGTCGAGTTCCCAAAAAGCTCCGCAGGGGCTGTAGGGAGGTAAGAGCCCCCCGTGACCGGTCGTCTCGGCCTCCCCTCAGCCCTGCTGTTCCCACAGGGGGGCGGGGTGACCGCTGGACCCGCCGACCTGGGCGCTGGGTCTGGCCCTCTTCCTCTGGGGACAGAGCCTGGGCCCCGACCGATTCCTTTTCCGAGCCCCCGGAGCTGGCCGGGGAACCCTGGCCCTCCAATCTGATGTCCCCTCCTGGAGCCTGAAGGGCCAGACCGGACTGGACCGGGAGGGCAATCACGGCGGCTGTTTGCCCGGTTCCCCGCTCCCGGGCCGCCGGAGTGTTCGGCGCTCCTGGGGGAGAGACCCCAGCGGACGGAGGGAGAAGCGCCCTGGCGCCGCCGTCCCGCCTGGGGAGGGGCTGCGACTGCGGAGGGGACTGTGGTTCTTCAGGAGTGGCAGAGGCTCGGTCCCCGCAGAGGAGTCTCATCGCCGCCGGTGCTCTCGCACTGTCCATTCCCGCACCCATGCATTTTCTCTTGGTTAGAGACCAGAAGGATGCAGTGGCCGTCTTTCCCGCTGCCTTTCCTTTGGTACTTTTGAGAACTCCAAAAGAGGACCTTATTTTTAACTCTTATTTGTACTATCGTGATTGCAAATATTATGTTCCAGACTAAGGATGTTCTTTCTTATTAGTTTGACTTGTATGAAAACCAGTCCATACATTTGATATTAAGTTAATCTTTTCAATTCAAAAAATAGGCACTTTGTTGATTCAATCAGATTCCTCCATTTATTCACTTGAGCTTGTCGTCTCTTGAGTTGGCGGGAGTTTAATGGTTTAATCCAGTAGAACTATATATAATTTTTCGCCTAATTTCTTCCTTTTTTTCCTCTCCTGGATATTAAACCGCATGCTTAGTGGCAAAAATTGAAAAAATAGAATAAAGAATAAGGAAAAATGATCAATCATAATTCCACCATGTAATAGTAATCAATTACTTATAATATTTTGACTTTTTTCCTTTGAGTCTTTTTTTCCCCTGTGCATTTTCTTGAGATGAGATTTTATATCGTTGGATTGTCTGCTTTCCTTGATTTAAATTACGTTGTAAGCATTTCCCCATGTTTTTAAAAAGCTTCATAAAAATGACTTCTTGATTATACATGAGCAAAGTATCTTTTGAAACAGTTATATTACAGATAAAGCCAAATCCGCATTAATTATCCTCAATCATAATGTTACATGATAGAATAGTGCTACAGTTCATTTAACATTATGATTGGGGATAATTACGCTTAAAAATTATTGAGGACCAATAGAGTTTTTGGTTCCTAATGCTGCAGTATATTTACCATTTTGGAAATTAAAACTCAGAAAATTGAAAATGTTTTATTCATTTAAAAATCACAGACTCATGTATTAAATAATTTTTTAGTGAAAAGTAACCATTTTCTAAAACAAAACTTAGAAGAGGAGCGTGGCATTGTTTCAAATTTTTGCGAATCACTTTAATGTCTGGCATTATAGAAGACAGCTGGATTTTCATGTTTGCTTCTGTTCAGTCTGTTGTGCTATCTGGTTTAGGTTGAAGCATATGAAGAAAACACCAGCCTTGAACAGATACGTAGCAGGAAAAGCGAGGATCTTACAAGCCTGCTGAAAGGCTCCTGGGGACATCCAGGGGTCCTGAGACCACAGTTTGAGAAAGCTGATTTAACCATTTTTGGATTGGTGGGCTGTTAGGTTGTTTAAAATTTTACACTGTTACAACCCTTGCAACAGTGAAAGTTCTTTGTGATGTTTTCTGGTGTATGCGTGCTAGTGTTTTTTCTGTAAGTAGAATTGCTAGGTCATAGAGTTTTGCTTTTTTTTAAGTTTGTTAAACACATTACTTTTGATGCCTGTATAATTTGCTTTTGTGCACTAATGTTGGTGTTTAGATTGTTTCAACTAATGATTTGGTGAAATATCTTTGCATGTTTTTAGTTGTTTTGAATTATTTTCTTTTTGAGGGGGCTGGGGGGAGTCCAGTAAAAACCAGACAACTGCCAGATACATTTTAAGAGAGCTTTAACACATGGATTCTTTTCTAAAATTTCTAAAAAGATAATTGTTAGATCAAATATTAGGAATCTTTCTCAGGCTATTGGTACATATTGTCACATTGTTTTCATGGGAGATAGTACCAGTTTGTTTCCTGTCAGCAGTGTCTGACATGCTTTAAAAAAAAAAATCACACCCTTACCAACATCGAGTACTTTTATTATTTTAAAAAATTGTTTCAATTTAGCAGGCAATAAATGGTATATGTTCTAATTCTCATTACTTTGATAGTGCACTGAATAATTTTCATAATCTTACTAGTTGTCTGTTGATGTTATTTGCTCGTTTATAGTCCAGTATCCAAGTGTTTTTCTAACACATTTTTATCTTCTTAAATATATTGTAAGGAAACGTGCTGTACTTTGTTTGTTTGTTTTTTAAGACAGAGTCTCGCTCTTTCGCCAGGCTGGAGTGCAGTGGCGTGATCTCGGCTCACTGTAACCTCTGCCTCCCGGGTTCAAGGGATTCTCCTGCCTCAGCCTCCTGAGTAGCTGGGACTACAGGCACGCGCCCCCATGCCCAGCTAATTTTTGTAGTTTAGTAGAGACAGGGTTTCACCATGTTGGCCAGGATGGTCTCGATCTCCTGACCTTGTGATCCGCCTGCCTCGGCCTCCCAAAGTGCTGGGATTGCAGGTACGAGCCACCTCACCCGACCTTAGGAAACGTGCTGTACTTTTTTTTAAAGGAAAACAACAAAATTATGTTTTCTCGGTTTACAAGAGCACATGCCTTTTTTTTTTAAATTTATTTTATTTTTATTGATTTAGTTTTTTGAGATGGAGTCTCGCTGTGTCGCCAGGCTGGAGTGCAGTGGCACCATCTCGGCTCACTGCAACCTCCGCCTCCTGGGGTTCAAGCGATTCTCCTGCTTTAGCCTCCCAAGTAGCTGGGGCTACAGGCACGTGCCACCACGCCCAGCTAATTTTTTTTTTTTTTTTTTTTTGTATTTTTAGTAGAGACAGGGTTTCACCATGTTGGCCAGGATGATCTCGATCTCTTGACCTTGTGATCTGCCCACCTCAGCCTCCCAAAGTGCTGGGATTACAGGCATGAGCCACCACGCTGGCCAAGTATATGCTTATAAAAAAAAAGTAAAATAGTATGAAGACATATCATGTAGCTCTGAAAGGCTTACATAATCCCATTCCTAGATTTATAGTATTACTAACATCATTAATGTTTGTTCCTTCATATTTTTTTACTATGCATTTGTTAATTTTTTTTACAACTTATTTGTAAAAATAGGTTTGCACTATGCATAAAGTTTTGTGATTTGATTTTCTTTCATTTAACATTATATATTGGATATTTTTCTACTGAAGTACATATAACTGGGCAAAGTTTTATCCTGAGTGGTTTTAGGAACATGAGTTGTGATCTTTAGTTATCTGATGGCAGGCTCTTGTCCTCTTCTAAATATATTCTCTTCCTAGGTGATCTCATCCATTAACAGCTGTGTGTTGCCAGTTCCCAAATCTTTATCTATCTCAGACTTCTCTCCTGCATTCCAGATTCTTATATTCAGCTGCCTTTTGGATATCTCTCCCAGGATGTTCTCAAGGTACTTCAAACAGTCCAAACGTGAACTCATGTTTTCCCTTAATCCTGCTCCTCTTTGTATTGCCTGTCATGGTCAGTGGCACCACCATCTACCCTAGCCACTCATGGTGGAAACCTGGCACTAATCCAGCTTTCTCCCTTGCTTTCGGTCTCCAAAACTTCTCATTATTTTGCCACTTTTATTTCATTTTATTATTTTTATTTGAGACAGGATCTCACTCTGTTGTCCAGGCTGGTCTCAAATTCCTGGGCTCAAGCTAATCCTCCCACCTCAGGCTCTGGAGTAGCTGAGACCACAGGCGGGCATCACCATGCCTGGCTCATTTTAGCCACCTTTATATGTATTTCCTTTTTTTCTCCACTGCATTATCTCAGCTCAGGCCTTCATCTCTTACCTTAACCATTTTAGGTGTCTCCTTACTGTTGGTTTTGTTGGTTTTCTGGTTAATCTTCCATGTTACTGCCAATTTTTGTAATCATGAAGAGATTTTTAAAAACCATTTTATTGTAAATATTACGAAGATTTTTTCTTAAATTTAAAAATATATAAATAGCCAAGTGAGTAAAAATACTACCTAAAATAAGTTATATGTATACATAAATAAACCTATTTTAAAAGGGAGTATATCTTATATTTCTTTTATGTCTTATACTGAATATGGTAGATTATTGGCACAAAAAGTACATACTGATTGATTGAAATGGGAAATATACACAGCTTAATGAGATTTCATGTTAAAACATTTCAGTATACCGTATTTACATTGTCATATCATACCTTTTACAAATTATATTATCTTTTTTTATATCTTTCTTGGCACCTGAAATTACATAATGCTTAGTAGAGCATTGCTATATAGATAGGAATGTTTTGTAAATATATGTTATTTAATGAATTCCATAATTTATTTCTAAAAAATTCTCTGGCTTTTGCTAATAAGAAACTATTTCTAGACCTTTCAGTTTCTGTGCTTAATTTGTTAAATACATCCTGTATTCAGAGTTCCGTTACTACTACTTTTTACTATTATGTTTATTTTAAATTTAATGTTTATATTTATCGAA